>NC_000021.9:34574662-34884616 GCF_000001405.40 Homo sapiens | reverse complement strand
TCAAAACCTGCCTACATCCCGGGCTCATTTAGTGTGTGTCCCTGGCTTCACTCTATCTGCCCACCCAACCACCTCACAAGCAGCTTCAACAGAAATTATTACTTTAAAATTTGGATCTTAAATAAGCCGCAGGCAATCTCCCTAGGAAGTTAACCAGTAAATAATTATTATATTCCCTATGGTAAAGAGAAGCAAATGTGAAACAATGATAAGGCCTGATGATATTGATGAAAAGATCACTGAAGGCCTTCTTAGGAATCTCCTGAAGTTCTGTAGGTAAATCCTCTACGTCAATCTTCTGAACTAAAGAGAGATTTAAAATTATGAATTTTCTTTAAAATAGATTACAATAACCCTACTTGCTTATTTTGAGCCCCAACCTGTTCTCCCCCTACTCCTTCCCTCCCATGGAACACCTTTATTTTTTACAGTATGAGAGATACATGTTTTTTACTACTAAGAAAACCTTAAGTTTGCTGTGTGTTTTGCTGTACTTACAGAATTAGCCTAAAAAGCTGTTTTGATGACTTAGGATGTATTTGGTAATACCATGGTGTTATAGCTTGTTCAGGCCCTGGTACACCAGAGTCCAAAGACGTAAACGTGCCTTCAGCAGGGAAGTTCGGAGGTCTTGGATTCTGATGGTAATATTCTTTTCATAAAAAGGAAATAAGTAATATTTTTGTCGGCAAGATCACAGTCCCTAGCTATGCCTTAAATATCATCTCAGCTGAATTCTGTGTTCCACTCCACAGCCTTCTTTGCAACACTGGAAGGTTAACGGATTTGAAGTAAATGAATTGTAACTGTAATTTCAACCTAATTAGAATTGGTTTAAAATGCCAGTTTGGACCGTGAACAGGCTAGCCAAGAACAGTATTGGGAGGTCCATGTAATATAGAAGAGAGTTGATATTTGGCCCAACTTCCTGATACTTTAAAAACAGAGAAGTAAAACAAAATATGAGATATCTTTGGCCAGCAAGTCCCTTCTTGCCTGTTTGGTCTGTGTTAAAATGTAAATGTTTGTGTTTCCTTACCTATTGTTTATAGCTTTTCATTCCAGTTGTTTCTTTTTTCTGTTTGAAGTTAGATATTTTTACATTCTCTCCATATTGCCCATCAGTGACAAAACCTGTATCAAATTAGCACGCATGTTAGTTTTGAATTAAAAAGAAACTTTTTAAACCTGGCTTAAGTATGCTTGTTAACAATTGGACGATATACAGTATTAATGAATTGCCCTGGATTTACTAGTTCCCCTTTACCCACCCGCCTCCACCAAAAAAAAACCCTCAGAGATCAATACAAGGCCAAGTGAATGATATGTAGGTGCCCAAATATGGTTGATTCTGCTGCATTTAAAAAAAAAGAGGAGTGGGAGTTAAACTTCTAATTTTTTTCTTCTTAAGTTCCAACATCAACAGCCTTTTCTTATTTAGCCTCCATGATAATTTTATTCTATGTTTGTTTCGACTTGGCGAAGGTCTCCTGAATTTGCCAAATTACCAATGAGGATAGTATTGGAAAGATGAGAGAGGCACAGGCTTGGAGCACTGTGAGGGGAACAGCAGTAGGAGGCAGATAATTCAGAATACATTCCTGTAGTTATAAAAGAAGATTTATTTATTTTCACCTTTTTACAGATCCAGACCCAACAATGAGTTATTCAGTTTGAAACCCACGTAGTGGAGGCAGTCTCTGTATACCTGCTGAATGTTGAGTTACAATAGAGAAGCCTGGGTTACCACAGGGAGAGGAGGATGAGGAAGTAAAAATATGTGTTCAAAGAGGGCATTTCAACACTGTGAGCTAACTTTACAACGGGAAGTGAAAATCATGAAAAAAAGGGGAAAATTTGTTGTGAGAGACTAAAAAGAGCAAAATAAAGCAAGCCCATTTTTCGGGAATAGAAAAAAAAAAAAAACAGTAGCAATAACCAAATAACTGATCAGGGAGATTTATTTCCGTGATATCTTTTTAAAACAAAAAGGGAATTGTCGTATCACTGCTCTTAATTAAATGGCAACAAACACACTTATAATGGGAACTAAATAGCTAATTAGAGGGTGCTTGGGGAATAAATAGCAGAGTTTTAAAATCTCCTATATGGAAAACATGTCCAACAATTGGAATGAAAGGATTAAAAAGAGAGAAAAGGCCCAGACCTTGTTTGGCAGTGCAAGTTGGATAAAATAGAGGAAAATGCCTCCCTGCTTCTATGAGACTAGATTATCCTGGTGTAGTCTTGGGGTTGGAAGTATGTTCATCTCTCATAGTGAGTTAGTTCGTGTTCTGTGCCACAAGGACTGAAGCAGTTCTAATGAATAAAAACAATAGATAGTCATCTGGAGGCCACAGGGAAAGGGTGATGGCTAAGCAGATCATGAAAATGGGAATCTTGAGAAACATGACTTCGATATCATACAAGTGAGTCTATGGCAGCCTTTTTTACATATAGAAAAAGAGGCCTGAAAATATATACTACAAAAAATTATGTAGCAGTTATTAAGGTAAAAATTGGGAAGTAGGAGGCAGAGGAAGGAGTGATAACACTAGATTAAGGAATGCTTTACTGTTACCAATTCAAAAACAGCAACCAAAAATGATGATGTAATTGGAATGAGTAATATAAATGTCACTACTGACTTTACCGTAAAGAATGTCAGAAATGATCAGAATAAATACAGCTTGGGGCATTTCGATTTGAAGTTGTATGACTGCTTTGAAAAATAGAAACAAAGGAAATACAGCCAATAGTAAATGTCTAGACCAAGAAAATAGTTTCTAGAAGGCCTAAATGATAGCCAAGAAATTGATGCTATTGTACAAAGTATCTTTAGGTCATGCTTTTCAGAGTATTTTACTTTGGAATTCATTTTCTTAATTACCTGAGTATAAAAACATTTATCTACCAGTTTTCTCCAATAGCCCTGATAAGACTTCATACTTACTCAGTTACATTAAATAAATTCCTGGTCAAGATCAGCTGGGCTAGCAGAAAACCTCAGGCATCTGTGAGGACATGAGTTTACACACGCTGAGACTCACAGATACAAAAATGCAACCCAATTCCACCCCTGAATTGAGGGGAGTGCATAGAAGTGAATGTCCCGTCTTTCTGAGGTCTGTTGATTTTGTAATTAGTAAACGAAGGGTGCATTTCTGATTTTTTTTTCTTGTGTGCTAGAATTCATTGCTAGTAAAACTCAAGATAATAGCGATGAGTAGGAGGTATCAAAGATGAACTGTAGAGGGACAGTTTAAGTTACTTAAGAATCGTCAGCAAGATGAAATCTACTTTTAGCAGAAATTGGGTTTTTTTGTGTTTTTTTGTTTTGTTTTATTTTCTAAAAGTAAAGTCTGCACCTTGTTCAGCCTGTTAGTGGAGGTCTGAGCAAGTAAAAGATGGGTTGGATTATAAACTTACAAACACAGGATGTTCTGTTTCTCAAACGGGAGAAATTAAGAAGAGATGCTTGTATTCAGGAGACGGCATAGCTACTCAAAATCCTTGATATCTTGCTATGGTTAGTCTTGTTCCAACTGTGCTATGTGACCTACTATGGCTTTATGAGGTAAATTTAGTATATGTGTCACTATTTGAAAATTTACATATAGTTATACATAATGTATTAGGTTGGTGCAAATGTAACTGCAGTTTTTGGAGTTAAAAATTGCAAACACTGCAATTACTTTTGCACCAACCTAAAATATAATAAAAAAGTGTCTTCTCTTTATAACTTTTCTGTTGTTTTGCTTAAGTTATCATTGCTATTCCTCTGCAACCTAAAAAGAAATCATTGAATATACATTTAATTTTAGAATAATCACTACACAAATGCCCTAAAAGTGTATGTATAACATCCCTGATGTCTGCATTTGTCCTTTGACTGGTGTTTAGGTGGTGGCCCTAGGGGATGTTCCAGATGGCACTCTGGTCACTGTGATGGCTGGCAATGATGAAAACTACTCGGCTGAGCTGAGAAATGCTACCGCAGCCATGAAGAACCAGGTTGCAAGATTTAATGACCTCAGGTTTGTCGGTCGAAGTGGAAGAGGTACGTTATCTGTCAAAACTATGCTTGAAACACGTTTCATGGCAACAAACCCACATTTCAAAATTCTAGTGATTTCTGTGATGGAATCCCTAGAAACTCGGTCTGTCTTAACATTCTTATTGCTATGTCAAGCTCTTAAAAATATTTATTTGAAGTTTAATATTTTTAGCAGAATCTCTATATTATTGCTTTATGTTACTGAGTGGATTTAAGACTGATTTGGAACATGCAACGTAGGAATTGTGAATTTCAAAGAAACGCCTGAGATTTTTACTAAAATGCAAAAAATATAAAACTGACTTTAATGAAACTAGGATTATACAATTACAATGAGGATTCTCTCTTGGATAACAATACAAAAGCTATTTAATGGAAACTGTTGACGTATGATCTGTGGGCTATCTGTGAAAAGTGACAGAGTTTCGAATGACCACTTCTAATAATTTTAGGGATTTCTAGTGTATGATGTTGAAACATGGTTTCAAGCAAGCTTACCTTTTTAGAAAAAGACATGAAGAAATAATGTTAGTACCATTGATGGCAGTATGATCTTCCTGTTGTATTTCTTTTCAATGCCTTATTTAGGAGGAGGGGTTGGGCCTGGTTAGCATTTTAGATACTAATAATATTAGAGATTGGATTATCCAAGAAATTGTTGCATTACTTCAGCTCCATGTGTGATTTTATTTTTCCTTGCCTTTAACTCATTATCAAAGCATTAGAGCAGAAATAGGAATCTTGGCTTATTGTAATTTTTTCTGGTTTCCAATTATTTTCAAGTATTATGTTTTCTTTACATTGTAAGAACCAAATCATATTTTATAAATAGCAACAAGTAGTAAAAGTTTAGTTGAGGGAGGTAAGATAGTTTTTTAAACTCATTTTTTGTAATATAGTACCGATTAAGCTTACAAATAAGTTATTTCAAGTATAATAAAAAGACTTATGGTAAATACCTAAATAACAGTAATAGTTCTCGTATTGAAAAAAATGGAAGCACCAATCAAACAACATTTAAAATAAGAGAAATTATTACTCTTTAAAAAGGCATTTAAAAACAAGAAAATCTCAGTTCTCAGAGAATTTGATTAGTCAGAAAGGAGAAAGGGGTAAATGTGAGTTGATTATTTTGGTGATTATTTTTGCTATCCTAGCTATCTGGAGCATTTTCATAATAGAATCATAGCTGGAGAAAATAAAAAATTTATATAATGTGATTGAAAATATATATTCATAGTACTATATTAATAATAGGGTAATGCAAAGAAAATTATATCCACTTTTTGAAAGCATGAGTGATGCTATAAGATATAAAAGCATAAGTCATTAAATGGGTTCACTTGTTGTATTAAAAGTCCCCACCTTTCAGTAAATGGAATTTGCATTATGATTCAGAGATGTGTGTCTAGAAAACATCTTAAAGGCTTCGGATGAGTAGCTGGCAGAGTGGGTGAGAAGCCAATAAAAAACAAAGGCCCCACAGCCTGGTCCATGCCCATCGGCCTAGCTAACTCTCTTAATTCAGTTCTTGTGGATTTCTGCTGTTAGGAATCAATAGCTAAGTATCATTGAATTGCTTTTCTAGAGAAAGTGTTATCATCATACTATGCATCTGTGTGGGTCTTCAAGTTAGGTTTTGGTCATAAAAGTTTTAAAAACTATTTAGTGATCCGTGCCAGTGACATTTTCCCACAAGAAGTTCAGTAGTGGCTTTCCGGCAATGCACAGTAAACCAGTGATAATAAAAAAATGAGATTTTGAAAGCAGTGTGCTTTCTTTTCTGGCATTGATGGCTGATCTTGCATCCCTCATTGACCATTTCTGTTTTGAGTGGGTGACTAATAGGTGCTTGTGTTTACTTGGGTAACAGTGAACTGTTTCCCCAAGGTGTGGAGTGTTTGCATTTGGCTGCAGGATTCGTGCCAGTATGCCCTTGAGTTTGCATAAACCCCAAAAAGTAAAATAGCTGCAACCAAGGCTGGGCTGTCTTCCCATACTCTGGAATGAGAAAATTAATTGAAATGCCATAAACAGACAATATTTTGAACAGACTCTCCTTCCCACCAGTGATAATAAGCAATAAAAAATACGGAAACCCTAATGGAACATTTGACCCAATTGTAATTACTGTGGATATGAATATTGTTGGTCTTGAGATGTATATATATATGTGTGTGTGTATATATATATATATATTTTTTTTTTTTTTTTTAGTCAGCGCTACAAAAGTAAATGAGCTGTCTGAAGGCCCGATTTGACTCTGTCATAATTTCTTTCCATAGTCATAAAATATAACTTGATTTTTCTCTTTCAAGTGTAAGTGTCAACACCAAAGCCTGCCAGATTTTTTTCTTTCTTTTTCCTTCTTCTTCTTTTTTTTTTTTTTTGCAATTTGCTTCCCATTAGGAAGAGAGCAGATCATTCTGACTAATTTTAACAATTAGTCTTAATCTTCCTCACTGAATCTTACCTTTAACAGTTTCATTACGTTTTATTAAGTGATCTTAAGACAACTGTCTCATTTTCTGTTTTTGAAAATGTGCTTGAAAATATACCCTTGGCATGAACACACCACGCCATGGCTCAGAAGGCCCTGGCTCTTGGCTCATCCAAACTTTCAGTGCCAATTTTGAATTCTGTCAAAAGCCACCAGTCTGATGGATTCTCCAAGGGGCCTAGTAAGTGGTGCAAAATGAAAGGTAGAGAAAGAAGTTCTCTTTCTGTGACCAGCTGCCAGTCCATGGGGATTGTAAACCTCATAGAAACTGCCAGAGGTTGAACATGGAAGGGTTTTTCTCTGTTCTACAAAACGAATCTATCTGGGCGCTGGCTGCCATCCAGGATCACAGCTCCTAACCTCGGGTTCATTCCGTAACTGGGAAAACCTGCCTGTCCGGCTTTGATGGCCTCGCTGGCTACACTGGCCCTGTAGAAGCCTGAACCTTCTCTCTTTTCTTCCATTCCCTCCTTTTTCTCCTTGGCAGTTTAAATCTTGGTTCAGAGTGTATCTCACCCTTGGAATGTTTCTCTCTTTGATTCAGTATCTCCATGTAAATCGACCGCTCCTTTACAAAGGAGGAAGAGATAGCAGCTCCCAGGAGATGAGGGTTAGGGAGCTCTGGGGACCGGGCTGAACTCCAGAGGTCATGTGAGCACAGAGGTTATTGTTCAGAATAATTCACATTTTAGCCAAATGGACTGGGACTCCATGACACCCCCAAAAAATTGAAGTTCAGGGTCAAAAGGAATTCTCTTATGTGAAACGAATTCACTGAGCAGCTTATATCAGTTTACATCTGCAGTTGAGGCAAGTGCTACATCACCTGCCACCTTTAGAATGACAAGAAAGTGTATCATGGCTTCAGCTGAGAGAAATTTAAGAAATTTTAGCAATTGGTATCCGGGCACAGTGGCTCACACCTGTAATCCCAGCACTTTGGGAGGCCGAGGTGGGTGGATCACCTGAGGTCAGGAGTTCAAGACCAGCCTGGCCAACATGGTGACACCGCCATCTCTACTAAAAATACAAAAAATTAGCCAGGTGTGGTGGCGGGCGCCTGTAATCCCAGCTACTCAGGAGGATGAGGCAGGAGAATCGCTTGAACCCAGGAGGTAGAGGTTGCAGTGAGCCGAGGTTGCGCCACTGCACTCCAGTCTGGGCAACAAGAGCAAAACTCCATCTAAAAAAAGAAAAAAGAAAAAGAAATTTTAGCAATGAAATCTGTGACTGCTTCATCCCAGTTGGAGTATTTAATCAGTCAGAGAATAACTGATCAATCAGGAAATACAGCTTTAGTAATTTCATTTCAGAACCAAAGAAGAAATCTCTCCAGCTGCTTTATCAGCTGCATTGTTGCTGCAGGAGGAAAGATGGTCTACTGCACATTTCTTTCTAGTTTTTTCTTAGAATATGATTTTTAATCTTTGGGGAACATCATAGATACTTTTGAAAATCCTTTGGAAGGCTTTTTCCAAGGACAAAAAAAAAATGCACGTGTTCACTTACACACAGAATTACGTATATCATTTCAGTTTCTAGGCTACCAGAACTCATTTATGGACCTTCTGGGGATCCACAGACCCTAGGCCAAAAATTTGTGAATTTGGAACTTTGCATTGATCATGGAGGGCCAGCTTAGCCCTATGCCGCATATAGTAGACACCTGAAAATGAATAAATACATGTACAAATGAGCTAGACATTTTCTTGAACCTGTGCTGTTTTGGTAACACCTGTGTTTTTGTTATCGCCGGGGTCTGGTTTGTCTAATTAAGAAAGTAGATCTCCTTGAAACCACTGGCCAGGCCTTTGGATGGCCATCAGGTATGCCCACATATCATCACGGGTAAAGGGGAGGGGGCCTATTCTGTCATTGAAAGGACAGTCGCTTCCCTCGTACTGTGTCCACACCCAGCCCTGTAAGGCCAAGTGTTCTGTGGCCTGTCAGGATGGCGTTGAGTTTCTTGGCGGAATTTGTGTTTACATTGACCTCCCTGGCAGCTTTAATCTTGCCCACTTTCAAAATAGTATCCTTTCCCAACACATTTATACAATGAAATTCCTTCGGTATGTTCTTGCTGTGAATATCTTCCCAGACATAATATTTATCCTGTCACAATCTGGGTTATTGCATATTTGTGTAATGTTAGTTGCTTAAGGCATTTTCATTCTTAAATTATTCTACATTATTTGGGCTAAAGTGTGGGAGGTTGCCCTTCAGGTGAGTGGAAGACTGTGGTCAAGAGGAAGGGAAGGTACATTTAGGGAAGGATAAACGGTACTGATATTCTAAACAAAGAGACATGGCTTGGCTTTATGTAGCGGTTGTTACCAAGAGATGATCTGAATGACTCGCAGTATTATCGTAGGATCCCAGTCCTTCTCTATTCTATTAACAGATTCATATAATAGAAGAAGGAAAAATTCATCTGACCACCCCAGAGTTGTTTCACGGGTAATGTTCATGGTATAAACTGGCAGTCAGATCTCCTGGAGAGAATATAAGGAAAAGACATGAGTTATATTAAAATCAACTCTCCCATTTTCCCACTTTCTTCTGTTACATACTGATCTACACTTTAAAATAATATATATACTGAAATCTGTATTCAGATCTCATTGCAAGCAAATATAGATGAATAAAGACCCAGTCTCTGATATACCAAGCCTCAACCAGCCCTAACAAATGCTGCTTTTCGACGGGCAGGTCAAAAGCTTGCCTCCATGATCTGATGTAGAATTCATCTCTAGAGACCAAGTTTCTCATTTCGGTTTCACATTTGCCAATAAAAGGATAGCAACACTTTCCTAAAGCAAGTTGCTCCCTGCCCTGCTTAAAGCCTGGGGTGGCCCAGTCATGGCAAGGACCAGCAGGAAAAGCTTTCTTGAAAACTGCTTGTGCTTGCAACAGGCAGTTTCGCAGTTGATCCCTTCATAGTTTTCTTGCTGATTTTGTGAAGTGTCAGGCATTGCTGATGGCGTCACACAGCTTTTTTAAATTGAGGTTATTTGTATGAACAATATTTTATAGTTTGATGGGCAGAAGCTGTACTTCTCTCCACCCACCCTCAACCCCTTCCTTGCCAGCCGGCTTGTGTTTGGTGGAGGCATTTCTTTTTGGTCGGGACAGAAGACTATCAATCAGAAAGTGCCTGCAAGAGAAATAATGGTTGAGTGATTTTTAGAGCTTCCTGTTTCAGCAACAAGCATTATAGACATAAACAGTGATCCAGCCAACGGCTGCAACCCTGCTCTGGTTCTAATAAATCAGTTTTGTATTTTCTTTTTTGTGCTGGTTGGCAAGGGGCAAGAGAGGGTGGAGAAGGTTGGCTAAAGAAGAACATATTCTGTGTTTCTGGTTTTTTTGTTGTTTTTTTTTTAAGGAAAAATTACTTGTTGACAAGGAGAGATGGTGTACTGTCTTTTTTTTTTTTTTTTTTTTTTTTTGAGACAGAGTTTCCCTCTTGTTGCCTAGGCTGGAGTGCAGTGGTGTGATCTCAGCTCACTGCAACCTCCACCTCCCAGGTTCAAGCGATTCTCCTACCTCGGCCTCCCAAGTAGCTGGGGATTACAGGCATCCACCACCACGCCTGGCTAATTTTGTATTTTTAGTAGAGACGAGGTTTCACCATGTTGACTGGGCTGGTCTTGAACTCCTGATCTCGGGTGGTCCACCTGCCTTGGCCTCCCAAAGTGCTGGGATTACAGTCGTGAGCCACCGTACCTGGCCGGTGTACTGTCTTAAGGCTGTTTTCTTTCTGTAGATGATTATGACACAAGTTCAGATCAGTAAAGAGATGTTTATGAATAATCATATACTGTCAATATGGGGAGAGTGTATGCTTTTGAAGGCTTCATTGATTCTTAGCCAGTGGAGTGTGTGTGCGTGTGTGTGTGCGTGTGTGCAAGGGGGAGAGAGAGAGAGAGAGAGAGAATGAGAATATCCATACTTCCATTGAGAGACTTCTTGGGCCAAATTATCTTTGAGGACTAAATTCATGCTAATAACATCTTCTCATCTAAAGCCCAAATAAAGCAATTAATGGAAATTAATAAGTGAGCAGTGTGGATTTAATGAGCTGCCTATGAATACTATGACATGCGCTCGTTTTGTCGGCTCCCTGGCGGGGCATGGGGACAGATCGCAGCACTTCAACGTCTGTATTTATAAACATGCATTCCTGGACTTCAGGCAGCGCGCATACTCCATCATTGGTTCTGCTGTGAGTCCTACATTCAACGGAGATGTATTTTGATCTCTGTTGAAGACAGAGCAATCGACGGCATTCAGTTTGCACTGCACTGATTTGGGATTCCAGTACATTGCCCAGTCCCTGTTAGTCTATATTGGGCAGCATGTCCCATTCAGGAGCTCCATTTGACATCACCGAACGTTCTCCAATGAAGGTGTCAGGCAGTTGAGGTCCATAGAGGAATCCCAGCAACTTCCTTTGAGAGGCTCACGGCCATTCTGCTGCTAGACTGAAAATGCGTTTCCTCTGATTTCCTTAGTGAGGAAGCATTCATTTAGGAGCCATTTAAACTGTGTTTTTCTCAAAGAAGATGTAAGTACATTTCCTGTTTATTTCTCAACTTAGATTAATTTGGGCTTTTACCTTGAGATTTAAGACCATCATTAAGAATGTATGGGCAGGGCCATCTGCAGAACTACCCCACCTCCCCCATCACCTATCCCAAGGACGTGCCTGTCCAGTTAATAGGAGGGCTGGCCAGCACTCTGGGGTGGTGTATGGCCCTAATTGAGTCACCGTATGCAAACCAAGGTAAATCACAGGAATATGGGCAGATTGAGCATAATTGGTCATCTGTGTGCTCATCAGATCTCTGGAGGTGGAAACACTCCAGTTTGCTCAAGGCATTGGGTTGGGGTCTTTACAGATTTTTTTCCTTCATTCTATTTGAAACTATTGTATAGAGGATAGTCAGTATTAATCATCTATCTTTCTATCTATCTATAATTAGTAAGGAGCTAGTCTAACTCACATCATAATAAGGCTTTGTCTGCCTCTTTAAATGGTGTGTCTCTAGTACCTAGGACAAATGTCCTGCCTTCATTATTCTATCTGAAACCACTGGGCAGTTTATTATCAGTATCTTGTCTCCCTGCTTATCAATTTTGATCATAATCTTGCTCAGTGTTTCCCAGCTGGGGTGATTTGACTCCCAGAAGACATTTGGCAATATCTGCAGACATTTTTGGTGGTCGTGTATTGGGTTGGGGAGTGCCGGTGGCATCTAGTAAGTAGAGGCCAGGGATCTACTAAACGTCCTACCATGAACCTGACAGCCTCCCCAACAAAGACCCAAATGTCAGTTGTGCTGAGATTGAGAAACTCATCTAGCTCCAGTCATGCGTGATCTCGCCCTGATCATGCATAGGTTGTAAAATGTTTCCCTTGCCCCTTTTATTCTGACATTCTGCCTCCCTACAAACTTATCAAAATGTATGAAAAACTTATTTTAAATTTTATGAAAAACTTATTTTTAAAACATTGCACAGAATAAAAAATAGAGAACATCACTGAATATTAAAAGTTTTTTTTAAAGGGAAAACAGCAGTGTTCTGTATGCATAGAATTGCACCATCCCCCTGGCGCCACTGACCCTGCCTGCTATCCTGGGTCAGGGATGTGCAGTGGCTGGAGGAGTGGCTGCAGGTGGGGGTGGTACACACAGCAGGGCAGCTTCTCCGAGAAGGCTCCCCACTGTAGCCACCCCCTCATGAATGTCACACAGGTGAGGTCCACGAGGACTGCAGAAACTAGGAAGCCCTCTGCCAGAGGCTCACTGCTTTTCCCTGAATACTTCAGCAGAGAGTCCATGGAGCCACTGATCTAGGAATGGGAATTGATGTCAGTGGACAGTGTCCACTCATATTAAAAAAGTGATAAAGAGCCGGGCATGCTGGCTCACACCTGTAATCCCAGCACTTTAGGAGGCCAAGGCAGGAGGATCATCTGAGGTCAGGAGTTTGAGACCAGCTTGGCCAACGTGGTGAAACCCCATCTCTACTAAAAATACAAAAATTAGCCAGGAGTGGTGGCACATACCTGTAATCCCAGCTGCTCTGAAGGCTGAGGCAGGAAAATTGCTTGAACCAGGGAGGCGGAGGTTGCAGTGAGCCGAGATTATGCCACTGCGCTCCAGCCTGGGTGACAGAGCAAGACTCCGTCTAAAAAAAAAAAAAAAAGTGATAAAAGCAAGGTCTTGGTGTGTGTCACTGACAGACAACTCCCAGACACCAAAATGGCTCAGTCTGCATACCCTAAATAAAAATGAAGGCACTACGTGGCAGGAGGGGAGACAGGACCAAGGTTTGTGGGTTTGCCGCCCACAGGATGGGCTTGCAGATGCCACCCGCAGACAGATGGCTGGGTTCCTCTGGAGCTTTATCCCACCTGCCCCAGCATGTCAGTTTTGCCATCACCGGTTTTTACACTGAGATTCAGGGCACGATGATTTGAAAACAAAAATCCGTAGGGAGACTCCCCTAGGTGTTCCCAGTGCATCAAGGTAGAGCCTGCTGCAGGTTGAGTTTCTGGAATAGGTCAGGCTGTGTCTGCTTTGTTTGTTTGTCCGTTTCCTTGCTTTTGTGCTGCATGGGGACCCTCACGCCTAATTTTCCTTCTCCGTGTATACATCTGCTTCCTTTAAGCTCCCTACAGTAGAGCAACGCTCCTAGATTCGACAGAGATCACTTGTGTGTCATGTAATCTGTGACTAGTAAGCATTAACTATCCAAATGGGAGTTCGTGGACGGTGTCTGAGCCAGGGACTGCACAGAGCTCACGAGTTGCTGTAGGTGTGCTCTAGAGAGAAGGTCACTGGGGAAAAAGCTTGAAAACAGCTGTGGCATGCAAGGGTGTGTGTAGGAACGGAGACCCAAGCACTGTGGAAAGGAAGATGTGCTCAGGAGCCCCGAGGAAGTGGGCTCACAGGAATTTTCCAAAATCAAGAGATCCAGCCTTTAACTAGAAAGCTCCAGGTGGTATCATGAGTGACATTAGATGATGCCTGATACATGGTCTGTGAATGAATGACTGTTCAGGACTGTTTGTTTTTTTGTTTTTGTTTTTTTTTGAGATGGAGTCTCGCCCTGTCACCAGGCTGGAATGCAGTGTCGTGATCTCAGCTCACTGCAGCCTCCGCCTCCTGTGTTCAAGCAATCCTCCTGCCTCAGCCTCCCAAGTAGCTGGGATTACAGGCTTGCACCACCACGCCTGGATAATTTTTGTATTTTTCATAGAGACGGGGTTTCATCACGCTGGCCAGGATGGTCTCGATCTCTTGACCTCGTGATCTGCCTGCCTCGGCCTCCCAAAGTGCTGGGATTACAGGCATGAGCCACTGTGCTGGGCCCAGGACTGTTTTGATGTTAGGCAGTACAGCCTAGTGGTCAGCACGTGGACTTTACTGGCTTCCCCACTGTGTTTCAACTTGGGTGTTGCTGACATTTAGGGCCAGTTATTCTTTGCTGTGAGTGGCTTTCCTGTGCATGGTTGAACATTTAACAGCACCCCTGGCCTCTACTCAGGGGCTACTAGCACCCACCCTCCTGGTTGTGACAACCAGAAATCTCTGAAGCCATTGCGTCATGTCCCCTGGGGGCAAATCGCCCCTGGTTGAGAACCACTGGCTTGGAGCTATCTGTCCTTGAACAAGCTACTTGACCTGTCTAAGCCTGATTTTGCCCTTGTCTGTGGGAAGACAGAGGGACAATGAGGATTGATTACCTGAGACAAGACATAGGTTAGGAGTTGTTACTTTTTGCAGTGACACCAACACCATGGGGCAGACAATGGGGACTCTGTGAGTGCATAGCAAACAACAGCAAACAGCAACAACAACCAGAGGTCTGCTTTTTTTGTTTGTCTAAATGGGTGAGCTTCCAAGGAGGAAACACAATCCTTATCCTTATTTCAGGGCCCCATACGGTTCTGTGGTCGTGAAAGGGTTATATGCGGCAGGCCCTGAGATTCCTGTTAGCAATAGGAGAAACGAAATTAAATATGTACTGTAATTTGAAGCACTGCTTTTCATGGGAAAAGAAGTTCTCCCAACTCAGCCTTTCCAACTCTTTTGTCCAAACATTAATGGCATGCAAATATTTATGATTCATATGTGCCCCTTTTAATTCCCAATCGTATTTTAACAGTAAACACTTCATTTTAATAATGAAGCAGAATAATCCCTTTGTCCTGTCGCTGGGTTACACAGGCTGGCACCTGGCAGCATCACATTCTTCCTGAGTGATCATTGCTGCCTCCACCCAAGTTGAAGGGGTTTTGTAGCAGTGCCACGGCAGCTCGCCTTGGACTACTTGAGGACTTCCGGATGTTCCGCTGGAAGCCATTCTTAAGGTTGTGTCTCAGCATTTTCATAAACTGCAAGTGAACATCCATGCATATTTTTCTCTTTTGGCCACGTATAAACTCAGCACTGGTTCATCTGGCTGTCACTTGGAAGGGTTCTTACTACACTATTATCTTGCATTCTGGCCAAATCCCTGAACTCTAGATTACACCGAACCCATTGTGTCCTATTTAATATTCCTTTGATTCGTAATGATGACATAGAAAACACACACATCTATTAGCGATGATTCTGTGAGTCCTAGAAAAGTAGCATAATGTAATATGAGAAGAGGGCACACCTGTAGGACTCAGATGTGCCAGCCTCAGTCTCCCCATCTGTGTTCAATAGGTTTAAGAGTGCCTTTCATCTATGACTTATATCATCTATGTTAGGATGATAAAAGCGAGATGGTGTGTATGTAACTATACTTAGGAAGAAGAGCTAGGGCCCCTCTTGATGATGTTCTTCCTTCTACAGCGAGAATCCCTGAGGGAGGAGGGGAGAGAGCAAGCCAGAGGCAGCATGGGTCTTGCTGAATTTGAAAAGTTGGGAATGATGCTGTTTTTCAGGGCCCACTCCTCGATGGCAAGGAATTTATATTCCTTGGTCCTGCTAAGGGCCTACTAAAATGAGAGTGCATGAGATAACAGCAGGCATTCCATAAGTATTCACAAGTAAAAGCCTATGTAATAATAATATAATTACAAACTTTTATTGGGCATTGACCCTGTGATGGAAATATAGTACCTATTCCTGTTTTATTAGAACTCTCCCTCTGCCCCACCCCCCAAGGTCATTTACTAAGGGCATTTCTTTCATTCATTCATTTATCAGATATACATTGTGCACCTACTGTGTGCCAGGAACTGGGCTAGCATGAGAAATACGACGGTCAGCCAAAGAGAACCCACAGCCTTGGGGGCTAGTAAGGAACATGGCAATTAAGTAGGCCATCCCTGTTGTGAGTAGATAACACATGATAGATGGGTGTGGCGGGAGCCAAGGCTCAGAGGTACAGAACCTGGTGAAGGTTCAGAGGGTCTCCCTGGACCACTTGTCATTCACTTGAGACCTGCAGGTGACAAGGAGACTAACCCGGTGGAGGCATGAAGAATCATGTCCCAGCAGAGAAAGCAGAGTGAGGAAGGAGCACCTGGCCTGTTGGGAGCTGAGAGATGCTCCAGTGGCGGTGGTTGGGGAGTGATGGCGGGGAGCCTTACAGAGAGATAGGGCGGGGATTGCCTTAACATCCACGTTGGGAATTTGGTCTGATCCTAATGAAATGGAGAACCACTTATAACTAACTCCAGATACAAATTGTGGAAAGATACTTGGCTTACAGTTTAAAGAATGGAAAGGACATTTGGAGGGTGCGTGGGGAGCTTAGAGACCCATCCAGAGACTGAAAGCTCTCCTTTCTCCTTTCAAGCAGCGCCAGGCATGTGTATATCCAGCTTGCAAGGACCCCATTTGGTAGATGGCACTGTACCTAGAAGTCAGCTCCCTCCTCAAGCTTGCCTCAAGCTTCCCTCTCTTCCCTCTCTACCTCCACACTCACCTGCCTTTCTTCCTACCTGCAGTGGCAAGTGCTGCAAGGCTGGTGAGCAGGAGCTGACGCCCCCCAAGCCTTCCTTCCCTGAAGAATGTCCATGCCTCAGGCCTCCCAGCTGCAGCTCTGTGTGGCCTTGGGCTGTGTGTTTGAGGCACCCGGCTAGGGGCACTATCGGAATCAGGAGGAGGCCAGGCCCAGGAGGTCACTTTGGTCACTTGCCCTGTGTGACCCCAGCCCAAACACACAGCCTGATGGATGAGTGAAGACTGGTAAATCTGGTGGCTGTCCTTGGGGGAAGCACAGGGCAGCAGGTGTGGCCTTGGTCTCCAGGGGGCTGCGAATTCAGGGTTTTGGGGTGTTTTGGTTAAAACTTGGTTCCCCAGCTGAGATCCTAGGGAACTGTGGTATCAAAAGGAAAAGGAAGATTAGAAAGGGAAAATGAAATCTCAGGAAAGGAAATGCAAGATTGCATGAGAACATCATGGTGTTTTGTGGGATAGGTGATATTCTGCCAAATAAAGAGGCCCGCCCCTCCACTCCTTTTGCAAACCTGAGCTTTTCCCCTGCCTGCAGTTGAGCCCAGCATACCTGTGCCTTGGAAAAAGCAAGCTATGCCTTCCAAGTGAAATTCGACGTTGTAAAGGACTGGCTGTCAAACTGAAAGTTTGCAGAGTGATTCATTGATTTTTAGAGACAGGGTCTTACTCTGTCACCCAGGCTGGAGTGCAGTGGCGTGATCTCGGCTCACTGCAACCTCCGCCTCCTGGGTTCAAGTGATTCTTGTGCCTCAGCCTCCCAAGTAGCTGGGACTGCAAATGTGTGCCACCATGCCCAGCTAATTTATTTTATTTTATTTTTTATTTTTATTTTATTTTATTTTATTTTTTATATTTTTGGTAGCAATGGGGTTTCACCAAGCTGCCCAGACTGGTCTTGAACTCCTGAGCTCTAGTGATCCTCCCGTCTTGGCCTCCCAAAGTGCTGGGATTACAGGCATGTGCCACCATGCCTGGCCTCATTTATCAAACTTTTCTTTATTGCCTCAGAATAGAAGATACAAAGATGAATAAAATTCTGTCCCTGTCCTCAAACAACTCATTTTCATAGAACATCTCCAGAGAAAATGCTTTGCATGTCTTCGGTTTTCTCCAAGTAAAACAGCTATTTTTCAAACAATCCATAATTCCAAACAAATGCCATTTCCATGGAAAACTGAGTTCTATATTCTAAGGACCTGATTTTCAGTCTGACTTTTGAGGGTAGTCCTGGTGCCAGTAGCTTAGGCCTCAAGTCTGCATTTTGCATGTGTGATGTGAGTGCGATTGGATCAAGCAATCTGCAAATACAGGCACTTTGCACACAAGTATATACAGTACGCCGACATCTTAATTCAATTCAGCATGGAGAATCAGGAAATTATGTGCAAGTTGAAGGATTTGTATCCCGTCCAGAAATCCCCAAATAAATTAATTATACAACTCCACTGTCAAAAATAGTGGCAAATGTTTGGGTAAGGAAATGGAAGAGGAGCATAAGCATGAATTTTGGCTGTTAGGTTGTTCCAGTGGAAAAGTGAGAAATCAAAATTAAAAATACTTCATAAAAAATACTCCAAATGCAGACTACTCCTGGAATCCGAGGGTACGTTAATTTTTATACTTAGTTATCCGCAATTAAAATTAGACCCAAAGCCATCTATTGTAAAAGGAGAAATCTCCCTGCAACCTTTCAGGATCTTGTGGGATTTCCTGAATTTGCAAAGAGCAGAACCTGAGCCTTCACTGACTCTCTTGGTTTTTAAAAGCTGCGATGTTTTTCTTTTATTTTTCCTTTCTCACTCTTTGGGCGTTTCAAGACTCTGGGCACAACTGGCTTTCCTGCAGACAAACACAAGAGTGAAAAATGTTGCGATTGTGTTTCCTAAGGACTCTGAGCCCCCAGGGCAGACGGCTCCTTTGTGTCTGCAGCCTTCCTTTGCGTGACAAAGGGCAAGTTTCACATCCCCTGAAACTGTCCCCAAAAGAAGAAGATGACTCATGCTTACAGACCTACACTAAGGAGAGTGACAGGAACAGAGTCTGCTGCAGAGCCAACTCAGGTAGACCGGGGATACCTGCAAACTAGACCTGAGGAGGCCGAGTCACAACAGGAGTCGGGGCTCGCCCGTCAGACACGGGGTGTTATAGGAGGATTCTGCTCTGATGTGGCCTGGATGCACTTTTAAATATGTTCTTCACACCTAGGCAAGAAATGACCCCGAGCTGCATGTCTTTTTGCTTTGTAATCTCCTTGCCACCCTCAGCTCTTTGGGGAGCAGTGTGCACATTTGAAGCAATCCTGAGGTTTAGCCACTTCCCAGATGTGGTGAGGAAGTGGAGAGTGCGCTGGGCCATGCGGAACTGCAGGTTCCAGCCGTGGCTTTATTTGACCACAATTGGCTGTCAGAGTTCACCAGCCCCAGGGCCGCCAACGTCAAGACTAATCAAGCCTAGACCTGGGGCCTCCCCGCTGACTGGCCCTGGGGAGTGTGTCATGGCAGCGAGTGTCCAGGAAGACTCACCCCTTGACCTTCTTCCCAACTAAATAAAGCAGTTAGTATTTTGCCCTGGCATTTGGATGGACACACTGGCGTCGAGGGAGACAACACATGTTGCAGTGAGGAGCACTGGCCTGGCTTGTTTACATAGCATATCAGCCACTCACAGTTGTGCCTTACAAAGGTCGCCAGCTGGCGGGGCAGGAGTGAACTTGAACTTGAAGTTCAAGTTGCGTTTAGGCCTGGTAGCAGCCCCATCACCTGCTGAACACACACACACACACACACACACACACACACACACACACACACACGCACAAAACCCCTCCTCATGTCAGACGTCAGTGCCTACTTCATCCCCAGCTCCTTCTTACGGGATCTGTCACAGCTCTGGTCTTTGTGGAATCACCTTTATCATGTCTTTAATGATCATTCCACTGACATTTACTGAGACCTTTCCCTGTGCTCTGCTTGTATATTCAGCATTCCATTTAACCTGCAGAACAATGCTACGAGATGGAATGACTGTTATTAACCCCCTTTTACAGATGACAAAGCTGAGGCCCCAGAGAGGTCAAGTAACTTGCCTGAGGTCACACAGCTAGCAAGTGGCAGAGCGAGGTTTTGAACCTAAGTAGGTTGCCTTGAGAGTCCACACTGAATGAATCACCACTGTGTTTCCACCTTCATGGGATTTTATATGGAATTCTTCTCTCTCACTGCTTCCAAGCCTACATCAAGACAAACCTCATCTGCCCTGTTGTTTTTTGTTCTCACCTTCTTATTCAGTATGAGTGTCGTTTGGTGCTTCTAATGGTCTTCTAATGGTCCTCCTGGAACCCAAGCCCTGGCTGGAACTGATGCTGCTGTGGTGGTCAGGGTTCAGTGAGCAGGAGGAAGGACTTGGTGTTTACCCCTTGTTTACCCCTTTCCTTGGCTTCCTTCCATGCAGGCCACCCTGTGACCCCGTGGTGGCCCCCTCTGGAACCAAGAGCTGCCGACTTCCAGCAGCACACACAGGATCAGTGCTGGGGCCATCTGTGCACTGACCAAAGCCTCTGCTGGCCTCACCAGACCAAGGCCAGTGAGTGCTTCAGGGAGCCTTGGATCCTCCAGGCTGCCAACAGAAACACCGGCCCTCTCGGCAGCAGCCCCATCCTTCCACCCCTGCACTGGGTCCTGAAAAGCCCATTTTGGGGCCGTTGCTATTTAGCCAACCTGCCCTCCCTTGCTCTCCTGTGATTTCTCACTATTCCGGCTGCAGCTCGCTGGGAGAAACACTTGAGAGTCTTTTGTGCTCCACACCCATGTACTTAAAATACCAGGCCTATAGGTCATTTCAATGAGGGAATTTGGCTCATAACACGTGTGCCCCGAGGCACAGATCCTACTTCTGCAGATGCTGGCCAAGAAGGGCTGTGTCCCAGCCGCCATGGGGTGGGGCCACAGAGAGGGCAGGGCCACGTGGAGGGCAGAGCATGTGGCTCCTGTCAGGTGCGCCCGTTGCTGACTGCAGCCCAGTATCAAGGCTCTGCTGGGTCTCATTGGAAGAATACAAAGGACGTGTAAGGCAGTTTTCGTGCTGTGGAAAAATGTCACCTACACCTGTGAAGAAGTCATCACTGTGTCTGTAAGATAATAAGCAAATGTCCTTGTACCCAAAGCTGTAAACAAGAGCCCTTTGTGAGGGAGAACCACATGACTGGCCAAAACGCCCCACCTACTAGTGTGTGCTCGGTGGAAATGTCTTGTGACTGTGCTTAAAATGAAGGGCATGATTGGGAGGCCAAGGTGGGCGGATCACAATGTCAGGAGTTCGAGACCAGCATGGCTGACATAGTGAAACCCCATCTCTACTAAAAATACAAAAAATTAGCTGGGTGTGGTGGTATGCACATGTAATCCCAGCTACTCGGGAGGCTGAGGCAGGAGAATCGCTTGAACCCGGGAGGCAGAGGTTGCAGTGAGCCGAGATCACGCCATTGCACTCCA
The DNA here is from genome assembly GCF_000001405.40 of Homo sapiens. NCBI lineage: Eukaryota > Metazoa > Chordata > Mammalia > Primates > Hominidae > Homo > Homo sapiens. The sequence continues at coordinate 34,863,601 of NC_000021.9, read as the reverse complement.
GCCCAGGAGACAGTGCAAGACTCCATCTCAAAAAAAAAAAAAAAAAAAAAAGATGGGCATGAAATAATGAGAATTCAGATAATGACCATTCATTTCACAAATTATCACTTTGATTAAGTTTTACTCCTGATTATATAGGTTAGTCTGTGGTTTACCAGATGGGGTGTCATGAGTGCTCAACTGCCAGAGGCCCAAACGCAGCTCAGTAAGAAAATGCTTTTGAGCTATAACCCAGGTTGAGTACCATTGGTACATTAGAATCACAGAGTCAGATTTTACTTTTTGGGGCAGTGGTAGGTGTGGATAAAGTATCTCCAGTCCAGATTTCTTGTACTGGTGCTATTGGGTTTGCGGGTGGAGATTTATGACCTCAGGGATAATAACCGGAAGAACAGTGAGTAGAAAGCTCAGGGATATGAGTTTTGCTGTATATCAAAGCTGTGTGACTTTGGGAAAATTACTTAACCTTTCTGGGCCTTAGCTTTGCTACCTATTCATCAAGAACAATAAAATCCATCTTGTTTATTTCATGAGATTGGTGTGAGGACCAAATGAAATAGTATATGGGAAGGTGTTTAAAAAGTTGTAAGTTCTACACGACTTAAAAATGCCAGTATTATGAATGCAACCATTCTTTGTTGTCATTTGGGTAGTCGTGGATAGCGTGGTGGTAGGAGAGCCACTATCGGAGCAAGACTGTTCCAGAGGGTAAAACACACGCGTGCCTGTAGAGCAGTTGTCACTGGTAGAGCCATGATGGGAGCTCTTACTACATTGCTATTTGTACTGAGTTAAATAGTGTTCTCCAAAAAGTGTATGTCCACCTAGAACCTTAAAATATGGCTTAAGGTCTTTACAGGTGTAATCGAGATAAAGTCATACTGGACTTGGGTGGGCCATAAGTCCAATGACTGATGTCCTTCTAAGAAGAGGGAGGGGACACCCAGTAGGAAGACAGTCATGTGAAGATGGAGGCAGAGGCTAGAGTGCTGCAGCTGCAAGTCAGGAAACGCCAAGAAATGCTGGCCACCATCCGAAGCGAGAAAGAGGCAAGGATCCTCCCTAGAGCCCTCAGGGGGAGTGTGGCCCTGCTGCCACCTTGATTTGGGACTTCTGACTTCCAGAATTGTGAAAGTCTTAATTTCTATTGTTGTAAGCCACCCAGTTTGTGATAATTTATTACAGCAGCCCCAGGAAACAAATACAGTATTTTTATGAAGTCACTGAGGTGCTAGAGTTGTAGGCAACAGAAGAATCACACGTGGACCTGCCCGCCTGCACATGGCTATGGGCATCTCAGGCCAGCTGCATTCTTGGAAGATGAAATCAGAGAGTTGAAAGGGACATTGCATGCATCCCATGAACCCCCCTCATTTTGCTGATGAGGAAACTGAGATCTGGAGAGGTAAAATCGTTTGTATTGCATCCCCAAACTTGTAACTCTCTTGCTGAAAGAACCACCTCAGTCTCTCTCTCTCTCTCTCTCATACACCCACATGCACCCCTAGACCTACTCAGGACTGGGACAATGGCATTATCTATTGTTGTGTCCTCAAGGGACTTTTTTTTTTTTAATTTTAAATACCCCCTCTCTCCTAAAGCCCCTTCCCACTTGCACCCTTTCCCACCTTTCTGTGAGGGCTACATGGGTATATAGAAAAGGGTCCCCACCTTCTGGGAGACTAGGTCTACACAGCCGCAAACTGCATTCAGTATGACACCCTAAATAATCAAAGGTGAAGGATGATTTATGAGGCAGCCCAAACAGCCATAAAGCAAAATGTAGTCATCAAGGAAGGCTGCCTGGAAAACAAGTGACTGAGTGACTGCCCGTTGCCAGATGCTGAAGGGCAGGAAGACTCGGGTGAAGGGTGCAGCAAGGAGCCTTGGATTGGCGAAGTGGCTGGAGGAAGGAAGACCTCAGCATCTCAATGCCATGGCTCATGGGTAGAACTCGGAGGGTGCACACTGGGAGTCAGGTATGCGGAGGAGAGGGGGTGAGTGAGAAATTACTTGGGGCAGGGTCTTATTAGTGAGAAGATCCTAAAAGCAGGTTCTGGAGTTCAGTCTTGATGATACAGGTGATAACCTTCATGGGTTCTTGACAGAGAGGGAACAGGCTGACCATGAGGCTTGTAGGACAATCTGTTAGTCAGCTCTGGAACATGTGGATGTGGCTGCTCCCCGTCTGTGGCTGTCATTGCTCCTGGATCTGTTCTTGGAAAGCCAGAGACTGCCCAGTGAGATGGGCAGTTGCCCCCAGGACCTGCCTCCCTCTGCGGCAGCATCTTCCTCCACATCACATCACATACCCTGCTTGCTGGGCCTGGCCAAGGCCTCTTCTACCCAGTCCTCTCCTTCAGCTAGATGCCACGGTAGGAAAGCATCCAGAGTGTCGCCTGATAACATCTGAACGATGTCCTAAAACTGGCAAATCCCCAAAGGCCAACAAGACTCGTCTCTAGGTTCTGGGGACAGGCCAGTTGATGGGAAAGATGGATTTGGAGGCAGAGTCTCCTGGCATCCCTGATGCTCTGCTCCATGGAAGTCACTCCCCAGAAGCATCCTCACCTCGTTTATTGGACAGGTCAGCTGAGACTTTAGTTATAAAGGCACAATGGGCAGAGCAGCCTTCATCATCTAATTGTTACTTGCTATTGCTCTTTTTATTATAGACTTTAATACAGATAGAATCCACATCTTTGGGGAGTGTTCGGTGGAGATTTCTCACGATTAGGAATCGTGGCTTGCTGTGGCCAAAGATTATATTTTCATTGAGCATTTTTCTGTGGCCTTCCTTTGTATTAAGACACGCATGACATTTGTTTTTCTGTGGCCTTCCTTTGTATTAAGACATGTGTGACAATTGAAAATATTTTCCTTTCATCTGTCTTTGATTTACTTTATGCTACATGATTAAGAGGAGAAACTATGTTGATTAAAGAACTACTGTATTGATGTAGGAAGATTGAACATCAGACTTAATCAAATGTTAGGGTCCTATTATAGACCCGTGAGAAACAGAGAAGAGAAATAAAGCAGACAACATACACACACACACACACACACACGCACAGACACACCCTGTTGAATACCGTGTGCCAGATAACTGTTTTAACAGGGTTACTCACGGTAAATCATTTAATCTCCCCTAAAACTCTCTAAGGTAGGAAAATTTGCATGTAACCATCTTCCTGGTAAGGATACTGAGGAACATAGAGGTGTCTAGTGACTTGCCAAAGGTCAGCTAGCCAGATTTATCTTCTGAATCACTTTACCAACAAGAAATGTTTTTAGATTAGTAAATCTATGCAATGAAGATTTTCTCACCTTTTATAAATATATGTAAAATGTGTAATGGAAATTTTGTGCATTTTTTATTACTAGTACTTATTGAATCTCAGTCTGTCAGTTACATATACTTAAGTCCATTTATGAGTCATCAATTTTATTCTGACTGATCCCATGAGTACCTCTAATAACATCTGGCATTTTCAAATAATATTTAAAATCAGCCAGACTTCGTCTTTTAAAAATATAGACAGAATGATTCTAATTTAGCCTGTTTTCAAACTTAGAAATTCTATCTTTCCTGATCTTCAAAGGTACAAAGTAAGAAGAGAAAGATGGATATGGTTTCTTCTACTCTTATTTGCCCTGAATTATAAATAATTGGGAAAGATGGGAGCAGGGAAGTTGGGAACCAGAAGTGGAGAGCTGCCAATCTGACTCTATGGTTTCCGGAAATCCTGACTTAACAGAAAATAAATTCTAATCTTTCTTGATCTTGTATTGTTTATTGATGATTACATTAAAGCCATATAACTATGTGAAGTGTTACACTTAGGCAACTATCATAGGTGTGTATTCCAGAATTGAAGCAAAGCCAAAATTCCGGGAGTGTTGTCAAAACTGGTAACTTGTGCTGAAGGGCTGGACAGCATAAATTAATGATTGGTTATTCAACAGATATGTTCAGGCCACCAACCTCATTCTGTTTTGTTCTCTATCGTGTCCCCACAGGGAAAAGCTTCACTCTGACCATCACTGTCTTCACAAACCCACCGCAAGTCGCCACCTACCACAGAGCCATCAAAATCACAGTGGATGGGCCCCGAGAACCTCGAAGTAAGTGCATCCACTTGGGGCTGGTACACCCTCCAGGCTGGTACACCCTCCAGGCTGGTATACTCAGGGACCATGTCTCAGATTCCTTGGGTTCAACCTTTCCCCCAGGGGGATGTCAGGCCCCCGTAAAGCCAAAAAGTTGCATTGTCAATACTCTCGCTACTCAAAGCTTGTTTCTGTGCACTGAGCTCTTTTTGAAGCATCCTTTTAGAGGGCAAAAGGAAATTAGGCTGACTGAATCATATGTTAGAACCATTCAGGGCAGCATGAAACTAAGGACTGCTTCCTCAATATACAGTAAAGTTCAACAGGATCAGAAACAAATAGTAAATGGAAGATTGGCCAGGCACAGAGGCAGCCCAAAGAGGTCTGAGGGTCAGAGTGGACCACAAGGGAGTAATTACCGTCTATGCTGGCCTTTTATTAATTCATGAGGGCCAGAGATGAAAACTATGAAAATGACCCTTTTCTTTCTATGGCACAGATCAAAATCTTATTACAGGCATTTTTAAGATAGAGAGTGGGAGGGTAGAAGAATGTCTGGGGAAAACCAGTAAATATAGAAAGATAGTACCAAAAAATAACTCCTGTGAGGGAAGCTTTTAAAAAAATGAGTGAGGTTGTTTAGTCTGCAGAAAAGATGTCTTCACAGTGACTTAATGACTATCTTTGAGTAAACACCAGAGTAACGCTCTTTTCCAGAACCACACCCTTCCCCAGGATCTGAGGCTGGGTTACAGTTCCAGGTCTGTGGAACTGCCCAGCACCCCCGCCCAGCATCCAGATGTCTCCAAACCGTATCAGGTCCCTGGTGGAAAATTAATATACTCTCTTCTTGGAGTGAGGGATATTGAAAAACAGGGCTTCCTACTGTCCCCAAAAGCCAAGATGCAGGGAGGTCAGGTTGTAAAATGAAGTGGTTAAGAATTTGGGCTTTATGGGCAAGCCAGTGGAATTCTTAAGCCTTCAGTGAGCTACAGAGCCTTGCTGAACCTCACTTTCCTCTTCTGTAAAATGGGGATAATAATGAGAGCTTCTTTATAAGATCAAGCCAAATGATGCTGTGTGCCTGATGCAGAGAATGAAGGCAGGAAATGTTAGTGATCCCCAGTAGGGCATCCCTGCTTTCATCCCTGGCTACTGCTCCAGTCCCCTCTAGATGACCTTCCCTGCATGGTGGTTTCTAGGTGGGGTTTTAAGGTAGTTCTCTGCAGGCTATCCTGTGATCACGGCAGCTTTTATGGCAGCCTTCCCTGTGGTCCTGGCCACAACCTCATGGCATCTGGGTCACCTTCTGGAACCATTCCCCAAGCTGCATCAACTTTCCCAAAGTCCTTGAGTGGATGGAGCTCTGCAAATAATCACCATGCCCACCAGGGGCAGGCCACCAGGATATGGTGTTCCTCGTCTGCTTTTTCCCTTCCTTCCATTTGCTGTGCTCGGTGACTCCCTCCAGATCTGACTGCATTTTTCCCCAGAGGGCCCTCTCAGCTTTTTCTGATCGAGACTTTCTGGCCATGCCTAGACTTGGGAGACTGTGGGACTTGATAACAGACCCTGATTCTTCTTTATGAGTGAAAAGCAGGCCATAGACACAGACAGGACCACACAGGTCTAAGGAATGACTGTGAGCTCTTCTTAGGTTTCCAGAGTAGGAATGTCAACCTGGACATTCCTACGTTAATGTAACCCTGCATTAAACAGAACATAAACACCAAAGCAAGTTTGTTCTCCACAGAGGACCAAAGAGGAAGCAGGCTTGAATTATGGCAAGGGGCCTGGCTGGGAGGGAGGCAGTTGTTAGGTATAAGAAAATCGACTTTGAGGGTGACTAAACTTAGAGAAATGCTCCTTCAGGAGGCTGTAGAACCACTGTATTTAGAACTAGAAGCAACAGCCGTCTCTGGGACAGTTGAAATGCCGACCAGCCTGAAGAAGCCGAAGCCAGGTGACCCTGGGTATACCCTCTACTTCTCTTATTTCCTCATGCATAAAGAAGGCTGGGTTTTGCCTCACTGCCAGCATTTCCTGTAACATTCAAAGAAATAACAAAGTTATTGAGCTTCAGAAAACAAATGGTGGCGACTCTGACTTTTAAGAATTGGCAGTCAGAGGGGAAAAAAGATGTCTATGCGATTGTAACGGTCTGGCTGTATATACAGTTTACTCTGCCCCTGCTGTTTTACAACTTAAGAAAACAGTTGTTATATGGAGAAGCACCCTCTGAGCAGACAGAAGGGATTTGCGCCAAAGAAGCATCCATTTTTACACAGTCTTCCCTGCCAAATGGAATTTGGGGCCTGGGGAAAAACTAAATGCGTGGAATAAGTATAAGTATGATATATAGAGGTGCAATAGCCCCAGGTAGAAAGTCTCACATTTTACAAGGGACTTCTAGAAAAAAGCCAAGTGCATGCAGACTCCCAGGTTGACTTGGGTAATGCTGACTTTTCTATTTGCCCTGTGAAGCAAGAGGGGCCATCACTGCTAATTTTAGTATGCTGGTTTCTTATGGTTTGAACGTCTTCATTCAGGGTGGGAACTTTCTATAGTAAGCTTTGCTCACAGTTGCTTTCCAGTGTAACATAAAGAGAGGACACTGCATGTAAATCAGGATGCCCAGATGTTGCCAGATCTCTGGATGAATAAGACCTCCCGAGTCCCCTCCATGATTATGGTGCAATGAATTCTGGGAAATCCTGGCAAAATGGCCCTGGCATTGCCAAGGTCAAATTGAATCATTTTGGAAAATTCTCTAGTTTCATAAAATCAAAGACAATGAGAGCTAGGAGGGGCCTGAGAAGAGCCTTTAGGATCATCACCCCATAGGTAAGGGAAAATAGCCCCAGAAAAATGAAACGGTTTGCCTAGCTTTAAAAGAGATAGTTGATGATGAAGCGTTAACAGAATGAGGAGTTCCTGATGTCTACTTCTGTGCTGTCCTTCATTTATCTACCTGTCCATTCATCTGTTCATCTCTCTATCCATACCATACTGTCTGTACATCATCTATTTCTTTCTTATAGACTCTTTGACCTGGCCTCGGTATCCTCACATTTAAAATGAGGAGTTGGCTTATATGATTGGCTGGCATATTTGGCTCATCTCGAAGACTGTCTATTATAGAAGGGCAAATGGTAGTGCCTCATTGCAGGTGTGGAGCCTTTGACTTGAGGTATGCGTGCAAGCTTAACTAAATAAAGCAGTTATCTGGCATTTGGAGGGACAAACTGCCATTCAACCTGCCATTCCGCTGACTAAGTTAAGGACTGAGAATGAGAAGCTGTGCCACAGCTCGTCTGTTTTTCATGCCGACGGGTAAACTTGATGCATCCCTCCCCTCTTCCAGGGTTTTCAGTGGTGAAGCTGTAGCCAAAAGTATACGCCAAAGGGAATTTAAAGTGTTTTTCGTTTCAGATGGTTTCTTGCTCTTTTACAGTAATGGACCTGCCCCTTAGAAAATCAAAACTTGTTTTTCTCATATTCCATAGGATTTTAAGAAATATCTTAGAGTAATATAGAAATTATTAATTGTTGAAAAATTAACTTTATCATGGAGCAAGAGCACCATCAAAAGGTATCCTCTGCCTGGAATGGGTTCTTACCAGCACCAAGGTGGGCTCTGTTTTCGGTTAGCACGTAGAGCACTTAGTAGCTTGTTGATATACTGAGAGTGTCTCCTCCTTAAGCACAAAAGATAGAGCGAAAGGATTTTTCAAGAAAAGGATATTTGAGAGTTTTTTGTTTGTTTGTTTGTTTGTTTTTGAGACAGAGTCTCACTCTGTTGCCCAGGCTGGGGTGCAGTGGCACAATCTCGGCTCACTGCAACCTCTGCCCCACTCCCAGGTTCAAGCGATTCTCCCGCCTCAGCCTCTGGAGGAGCTGGGACTACAGATGCCCACAACCACTCCCAGCTAATTTTTGTATTTTTAGTAGAGACGGGGTTTCACCATGTTGGCCAGCCTGGTCTCGAACTCCTGACCTCAAGTGATCTGCCCACCTTGGCTTCCCAAAGTGCTGGGATTGCAGGCATGAGCTACTACGAATGGCTGAGAGTTGTTTTTTTAATGTATGTTTTATATTTCTAGGATCTAATGAAAAACTCCAGCTCTCAGCTCACAAATCTGTAATTTAGGTGTCTCTATGCTAATATTGAGATCCCAAAGCATCTTCTCTACAGAGATTTCATTAAATAATTTCAATGCAGGAATTGGTTCAATGCCATGGAGGAAGATATTTTGCCAAGGAGAGGTTGAGGAGAGTGAGCAGTGGGGACCCTAACTGACCCGTCTTGGGGGGCTGGTCCTGGTGGTATGGATTGGGCAGCCTTTACCTGTCTGGTCAGGTGTTTGTTACGTCTGGAACATTGAGAAACTAAATTAAAAATCAAAAAGGTTAATTAACGTATTGGCCATTTCTGAGATAACTTCTGTCTGTCCCCAGGTTAAAGGAGTCTTTCACGTGACTGTGTTCTGCTTGAGCTCTTGATTTTTTTGTTTGTTTGTTTAATTAAATATAGTTATTTCTATTTTAAAAGTGAAAGAGCTGGCTGTAATTTTGGAAAGGTGTAACCCAGCAGATGCCGGGAAGTACAAACCTGGAGGGAAGGACAGGCCTCTGCAGCTGCCCCCCTCCTCACAGGCAAGGATGACCATGTCTAGAGCTCACGGGATTCCTTTTGGGTGGAGGCAGCGTTGCCTCTGCTCTCTGGGCAGCCCGTCCTTGAGGACCAGGCTGTTAACGTAGAGTCTTGTGATGTGGTCTGTTTAAGGGTGGGGCTTCTAGCATCCATACATCAGGTGACATCTGGGATACTGGCTTAGAGGGCAGCTAGGGAGTAAGGTAAAATGTGCAGCTTTCTTTTTTCTTTTTTTTTTTCTTTTTTTTTTGAGGTGAAATCTCACTCTGTTGCCCATGCTGGAGTGCAGTGGTGCGATCTTGGCTCACTGCAACCTCCGCCTTCCAGGTTCTAGCGAGTCTCCTGCCTCAGCCTCCTGAGTAGTTGGGATTATAGGCATCCACCACCATGCCCGGCTAATTTTTTAATTTTTTTCATAGAGATGGTAAGGTGGAGCCATTACTTACAAACTGTAGAGTGCTTCCTGAGGCACTAGCTTTCTTTCTGTCTGATTTTTGTTTTTAGAGGGAGTTATAGTTAAAATAGGTTGATCAAAGGGCCTAATCTTCACTCAGCTACTTTTTAAAGTACTTGGTTGAGATCATGTCATATGAGTATAATTCTTCTATGACTTTGAGTGTGTATAGCAAACCTATTATATATGTGAACATGAGAAATAGGATCTTTATATATGGAGAATGTGCTTCAAGTGAAGAAGAGAAATGCATGAAAAGTACCTATGGGCCAGGCGCAGTGGCTCCCGCCTGTAATCCCAGCACTTTGGGAGGCCAATGCGGGCGGCTCACTTGAGGTCAGGAGTTGGAGACCAGCCTGGCCAACACAGGAAAACCCCATCTCTACCAGAAAATACAAAAATCGGCCTGGTGTGGTGGTACACGCCTGTAGTCCCAGCTCCTCAGGAGGCTGAGGCAGGAGAATCGGTTGAACCCAGGAGGCGGAAGTTGCAGTGAGCCGAGATGGTGCCACTGTACTCCAGCCTGGGTGACAGAGTGAGACCTTGTCTCAAAAAAAAAAAAAAATGAAGGAAGGAAGGGAAGGAAGGGAAGGAACCAACCTGTAAACTGGTGGTGATAATGGACCTAAAAATAATTGCTCTTAGGATTGAGTAACACCTAGTTCACATTGTTATTTTCTCTTAATCATAAAAATACTCGATAATAGCAATAGCTAACATTAAATAGTGTTATTTGCCCAACACTGTTCACAGTGCTTCACGCATATTAATTTATATAATCTTCAAAAGAACAGGCAGGGAAATTGAAGAAAAAATAAATCGTATACCTTGCCCAAAGTCACGCAACTAGTAAGCCAGCATGTAAACTAAGGCGTCCAGATGCTGGCACGCACCGATGCCAGGGTCTGTTTTTAAGAACTGCACTGGCCGCTTTTTGAGCTTCATGGTAATGTAATTCCTGTATTTTTTATTGGGAGAGTTTATCAGTAAAGTTCTGGGTCACATACAGTTTTCTTCAAGAAAGCAGAGCCCTGTTGCTTTGGCATTCATCATTTTTTTTGTACTGACAGGAGGGAATCAGTGTTTTCCCCGGCAGGGCTGCAGGAAGTACCCTCCCCTCCCACACCTCCCCAGAGTTCATAATACACAGCCATGGCCATGCTGGTCACAGGTGCCAGCAGTTGGTTCTGCTTCTGTCACCAGGGTCCACTTGGGGACCTGGCATGAAGGGGGACCTGACCCCGGGGTGTTGTACAACATAGACCTCTTCTTCCGGTGTTGGCCTTCACGAAAGATGGGTAAAGTGGAGTGACCTGCAGAGTAGTGGTCCAAGTCTGGGTCCCCCTTTAACAAAGGGTTTCGTGGAGGGCCCGTGTGCACAGCACGTAGCCGCCGGGGGGATGAAAAGATGTGTCACTCTTTGCTCTTGAATGATTATGAAAATGTCAGATGGTTTTATGGATCTGTGATCTCAGGATTGTAATTACCAATCCACAATCGCATTGCTCACTGGGAATTGCTTCAAGCGTATTTTCCAGGTAGTGAATGATGAGCTACTTAATTCCTCTTCCCTTGAATTCATCAGATTTGGACTTGGACTTTAGTTCTTTCTAGATGCAATCCTGATCCACACAGGAATTAGAAAGTAATTCTTCCTCCCCTCCCACCTAAAGCAGGAGCAAGGCAGAGGCTCAAAGAGGAGGAAAATGCTGTCGTGACTCACATCCCCTCCTCCCCACTTTGAAAGGCATTTCAGGCCAAGCTGAAAGTTCTGGGGGAACTTCCCCCTGGTACTTTTAATTCCTTCTGTGTTAAGCTCCTCAACTACCTGATGACTTGGCAAAGGCAGTTTTTAAAGCATTAATAATAATCGTGCCTAAATGTTTCCAGCGAATTTTAGAATGTCTTTCTGTTGAATATTTTTAGTAGTATCAAACCAGTCCAAGAAGAAGAATTTTACATGCATACAGACTTCCTTGACCCTAGAGTGGAGGTTAAGGTCTGAAAGGGCCCCTGGGGTGAATGGGAACCTAAGAGGACCGTGAAGGGAATGGGCTTCTGTCCCAGAAGCGGCAGTAACCCACCTGGTGCAGCTCTGAGTGAGCTGGCGTGGCCTGTGTATTCTTGGTAACTTTTCCTGTCTTATACAGAAACCACTGAGGTTTTTTGTGTGTGGTTGTTGTTTTGTTTTGTTTTGTTTTGTTTTGTTTTTTGAGACAGAGTCTTGCTCTTTCGCCCAGGCTGGAGTGCAGTGGCGCCATCTCAGCTCACTGCAACCTCCACCTCCTGGGTTCAAGCAATTTTCCTGCCTCAGCCTCCCGAGTAGCTGGGACTACAGGTGTGTGCCACCACGCCCGGCTAATTTTTTGTATTTTTAGTAGAGATGGGGTTTCACTGTGTTAGCCAGGATGGTCTCCATCTCCTGACCTCAGCTGATCCACCCGCCTTGGCCTCCCAAAGTGCTGGGATTAAAGGCATGAGCCACTGTGCTTGGCCACCACTGAGATTTTCTAAGATGGCATTTGTATTGCTATAGAAAGAAAACAAAATAAGAGTTCCTTCCAGGTAATGTGAAAACCCAAAGAGATGATCTAGGCACCTTCTCAATCCAATGTGGGAGCAGAGAAGAGGGAAGAAACTTACACCATTACATTGAATTTCTCTTTCCGTCTGGACCCTCGCAAAACCATATCACTAATTTGAATGCCACACCAGTGAGGTCAGGATCTAAACTAATATATTGCAGTCCTTGTTAGAATTCATTGTATGACATGCCATAAGAAAAAAAAAACCCTGTCTGCATTTAGGCTTCTGTTTCTTAAGCTTCAAACATGTAAAAAGTTTTCTGGATCCTGAATTTAGGGACCTGGGTTTTCACACTGGTGCCACCAGGCCAGTGGGTGTGAACTTGAGCAATTATCTTAAATACTTTCGTCTTCATTTTCCTCTCCTGTTGAACCAGGCAATGGGACGAGATAATCTCTAAATTAGTTCTCATGCAAAAAGGGTAACAAAATATGGTCAGCAAAATAAAGCCGTAAGTTCGTTCCCGTAAACTGGCCCCTTAGAGGCCGAGGCCTCCAGGCCTTCCCTGGGCAGTGCCATCCTAAATCACATCAGGCAAATCCACATGCACTCAGGTGGTACATGAGATAGACGTCGTTTTTTTGCTGTAAAGTTTTTAAAGGGCTTTCTAATTTGTTCTGAAATTCTCTGGCTGTAAGTGGCTGCCCTGCCTTCTCTGCCACCAACATGTAATCAAGACTAGGGGTTGAGGTCTCCATTTTGGCACTTGCTAACACTATGAGAGCCGATTCCTGGGGGAGCAGCTGGTCTGACTGAGCCTCTCCAAAACGGGGACAGTTGGTAGTACCACCGTCACATCACTGGAAGGCTGAATGCAGCAGCCTCTGTGGCTTAGAACCATGCCTGGCACACAATACATACTCAAAAGAGGACAGGTATAATTCAGATTTAGTCTTGAAATCCTTCTGGAAATGAGAAAACTTTAACCAAAAAAGATCTGTGGCTCCTAAATTTAAAAATTCATGAAGTTGCCATAATGGTACACTTTTTTTTTTACATTTAATTAAACATTTATAAATTTTGATTTATTTTTCTGGATTTCGTTTTGTGTTGAGACCCAGTAAAATTTCTTTTCTAGTATAGCATGGGCCCTGGAAACACTCTGGGCACTGTTCCTAAGTCACTAACGGGTGAAATGGCCTTGCCCCCAAATGTTGCACTTTGTGAAAAAGTCAGAAAGAAAAGTCACGTGTGGGTGACATCAAACATCAGTGCTTAAGATCTAACACATGGGTCCTGTTCAGTAGAGGCATGACACAGCTGCAGAAGTCTCCACACTGTCCTAGAAACGTGACGTGTAATGTAGCAGGTGTCTTGGGGTCGGAATTCTTGTACTAGGCAAATGCAGTGTGTCTCCCAAGCGTGCCTGGGATCTCTCCCCGCAGCCAAGCTTTGCAAGCACATAAACATGGCCGGCCACCCACTGAGTTTCCTAAATCAGTGACCAGCACTGGAGACCCTTCCATGTGTGCAAGGCAGCTCCGCCTGCTGCCTGTGTCCTTTGGGGGTCTGATGGGGCAGCCCCAGTCTGAGATGGTCAGGCCTTGTCATTGGGTGCACGTCTCCCATGGGGATGGATGGACCCACAGCTTTCAGATGGATTGCGGTTGGCAGTCACAGCATCCCAGCACATTAAAATACATCAACTCCTGTGCTTTCAGGTAGATTTAGAATTTTTCTCATACCCTAGCCACTTTCCATTTTTCATTTTGAAAAATTTCTCCTTGAGTTTTCTCAAAGGCTTCAGTTTTTTTTGTTGTTGTTGTTTTTTCCTGTAAGCCATGTAACTAGGAAAGGCATTAGTAAGAATTTGATACACTGGGTCTCATGGAACTCCACTACTACCACCAAAATAATAATAGTAATAATAATAATAATAATTCCAGTTTAGCTTAAATAAGTAAAAGCTACCCCCTTACACCATATCTGCATTTAAATTCATTTGAGCTGATAGGCAATTTCTGTGTTCTCCTGTTCATCGCATATTCTTTTCCTTTAAAGGCAACTTTTAGAGAAGGTTTGCTTTTTTTTGCTATCAAAGTATTAATTATGAAAAGTTGGCAATACAGAAAGGGTAAATTAGGTATAATCTATTACCGTACATTATGGCTATATTATCAGACATATCACAAGCCAGTGACATTTAGTTGGATGTGAAATTCCTTTTTTATAGTATGATTGACACATGGTATATTTTCATCAACTTCTATGTGTAAATTATGCCGTGTCACTGGTAAAATTTGCTGTCATGAATAGCCAAATATTCTGGATTCACATTCATAGGTGAAAGCCAAGCTAATATATATATATATAATATATATTATATATATACTATATATTATAATATATAGTATATATATAATATATATACTATATAATATATTATATATAGTATAATATATTATATATACTATGTATATAGTATATATAATATATTATATATACTATATATAATATATATAGTATATATAATATATATATAATATATATTATATATTTTATATATAATATATATTATATATATATTATATATATATATATGTACCCAAAGCAAAGTTCTTTTCTGTTTGCCTTTTCAAAAAGTAACACAATGGAATCAATCTGCCAACTCTCAAGACCCCTAGAAAGTTATTTAAAGGCAGTACATTGGTTTGGTACTTTCATGATATACATATACTTAGTTTCCATTAAAGCAATTATTGACAAAAACCCAGACTGCTATTGAAATCTTTCAGTGTACTTCCATATACTGAAATGTCGAACATTTGATACTTGTTTGATTTTGTATTTGTTTTTGTTCACCATGGCTTAAAAGTCATATTCTGATTATTTAAAATAAAGAGTAAACATTTGAAATAAGTTCCTAGATACTACATAGATTTATGGCCCTTTGAATATTTTCCTGGTACCACCTTATTTTCACTTACCTTTGAAGTGGTTGTATGATATTTCCAGTTCATTCATTTGAAAGAGCTAGGAGAAATATGCGGAGCCACGTCCCACGCGCCTCTCGGACACTACTCGCCAGGCATAGCCCAGTGTTTCAAAAGTGAACCAGGGGGCTGGGCGCGGTAGCTCACGCCTGTAATCCCAGCACTTTGGAAGCCCGAGGTGGGCCGATTACCTGAGGTCAGGAGTTCGAGACCAGCCTGGCCAACATGGTGAAACCCCGTCTCTACTAAAAATACAAAAATTAGCCGGGCATGGTGGCAGGCGCCTATAATCCCAGCTACTCGGGATGCTGAGGCAGGAGAATCACTTGAACTCGAGAGGCAGAGGTTGCTGTGAGCCGAGATTGCTCCACTGCACTCCAGCCTGGGTGACAGAGTGAGACTCTGTCTCAAAAAATAAAGTGAACCAGGGTGCTCAGGTAGCCTCGGTGAGCGAGAAAGGAGTTTGGAGCTTCAAGTCTAAAACTGCGTTTCACAGTTTTCCCATCTGTAGAATGGACTGCATGATACCTCTCTTGCTAGGGGATGTGAGGATTAAAAGAGATAGCCTGAAAGGCGAGCTGGAGCAGTGGCTGATGGCGAAGCTCCAGAGCTGGCTTCCTGATTCAGCCTGGCCTCCCCTTCGGGATCAGATTAACCTCCCCACCCTCAGCCTCCTTGGGTATAAAACCAGGAGTATGATATCCCTCTGTTGGGGATTATTGTGCGGATTGAATAAAATAATTCATGTTAGGGCATAGCACCGTGCTGGGCACAGAAGTGTTCCTTAAATATTAGCTGCTATTATTAAAGCACATGCTCTAGACGGGTAGGCCCCTTGACCATGTCCCAAAGACCTTATGAGAGGAAACAAATGGAATTCTGTTCAAGTGGGGGCCAAATATTTACCATTGCCAAGTACTTAAAAAAAAAGAAGAAAAAAAAAAGCTTGGCAGATTTGGCCCTCACAATACAGTACAATAAGGGCTTTTTCTCTTTTCCTTCCATACTACCTATTATTAATTCCAATTACTGCATCACTGAACTGGCTTCAACAAATGTATTCCTCATTGAAACATAACCCTGTCAACCATGTTGCCCTACTTCCTTGAGGGAGAGGTGATCTTTTTCCAATTAAAGGTTTTATCAAAATGCAGTTCTGCTTCTTAACATGAAGCACCTATGCTGTTGTGTGACCTGCAAAGCTCTGAGCATCTAGAAGCTTCCCCTGGGTCATCTATAAGATGGGAATAATACTATGAGTTCTGCCTACTGCACAGGGTTCTTGAGGACACATTGAGATAATATATATCAATGTGCTTTTTAAGTAGTCTGTCAATTAGATAATATAAATATAATTAGATAATTAAAAAATAGAAAATCTATTATTGTTTTGCATGTACTATATTAAAATCTTAGGGATTTTAAATAAAATTAATTGATTTATTGAAAGTAGATATTATCTCGTCGTGTCTTTCAGGATTGGTGAGAAGAAATTAAAGAGAAAAAATTTAAACATTTAAATCAGACCCCACTGTGAATCCATACTTTTAGAAATTTTACCTTTTTCCATTCACATATCTTAATGTTTTCTCTACCTACAACTAGATACCCTTTTTAAATGTTGGAAACAAAAGAAGTAACCTTGGCAAATAGTTGAGAACTGAGTTTTATATGAATATACTTTTCTCTTGCAAGACCAAATACAGTTTTTCTTCTAAAACTCTGTTATTCCATTTTCTTTCAATGAAATGCTCACAGAACCAGAAGGCTTGGGAAGAGGCTCAGAGCACCTAAGAGTTGCTGAGTCCGTATTCCTTTTTTCCCCTGTGGCTTTTTATATATGCTGCTCGCCTGAGATTTCTGGATTTGATTTCAGGGAGGTGAAATGTTACACCCCTGAGTCTCAGTGCCAGTTTCCCAGGACGAGTCAAAAACTGCAGCTGCTTGGAGGTGAGAATCTTCCAAGGCTCCAGAGGCCAGCTCGCTGTCCTGTTCATTTGCTGACATGCTGCCGGGAGCAGCTTCAGAGAAACCCGTTCTATTCTTCGGGTGATTCAGCCAGTCTCAAAATAAATAGGTAGCTGAGTGCAGGGAGAAAGAACTGGAAACCACTGAAATTTGAGTCTTGAGGGCTGGTCTGTTCTCGGGAGCTGCTCTGTTGAACTCTAAAAGGAATCTTGAGCCCTGGGCGAGGGAGTGGCCTGACCTGGTGGAAAGACTGCGGGCCTGCCCGTGGAGTCTATGTCTGGCCCTGCTAGCTCAGTCAATCTCAGCAGCTCATGTCTCCTCTTAGACCCTCAGATTCCTCATCTACAGAAGGAGAAAGAAGAGGAGATTGAATGATTTTTAAGGTCTTTATCAGCTTCTAAAAGTTTGATTTGATGGTTGTAGGAGCAATTGTTCTTTCAAAGCACCATCTTCTAACCTCAGGAAGGAAAGCCCAGGGGCCCCTGGGATGTCCTGCCAAACTGGGAAGACAAAGATTGTGACTGAGAAGGTGGGGGCAGGGCAGGAGAAGGGGGAAGAAGGGAGAATGGATCAACCCCAGGCCGGGGAAAGAGATGAATGAAGGTCCACGCCAGAGTGACATGCTCTAAGTAGGGGAAATCTTCCTAACTAGAGTTCCCATGACTTTGGCAACATTTGAAAAAAAAAAAAAAAAAAAAAGACATCCTTAAACCCACAAAGTACTCAATTGTCCAAGCCCCATTATGGCCAACTTCCCAAAGCTGGCTGGTCAGAGACCTTGGTGTTAATTCCTCAGCCAACTAAAAAAAGATGGTGTGAGTTCTGTTGACTTAATTGTTGGAGTGTTTCTGAGTGGGGCCGCCTCCCTCCTCTGCCTCCTCACAGTATTATGGGCTATTCTGCATTACCTGCCCTACCTATCTTCATAATCTAGCCGCAAACAGCTTTGGTTGACCACACCACTTCCCTATTGAAAGTTAATACTGTTTGACTCATTCTGTGTTACTAACCTGAAGCCAAAGAAAACAAGGCAGAGAATAACTGGCTTGTGTGGAGTTTGGAAAGCTCTTGGAGGCCCTGCTTTCAAAATCCTATACAGTAGCTTTACTATATCTCTCCGCTGCAGCTGCTGAGAAAATGAAGGAAGCAGAAGTGGTTAAAAAAAAAAGTTGGGGGTGGGGAAGAGACTGGGAAGGGAGTGGGGCGGGGTCCCCCTCCGGCTGGGAAAAGACAGGGTAATCTGCGGCAGTTTATGAGGGCTGTCTCCCTGAGCTGAGGTCTTGCTTTCACACACCAGAGTGTTCACACAGAAGAGGGACTGTTGAAGGAGTTAAAAGGAGAGGAAAGTTCAAAACAGTTGTTGAAAAGGCAGCTCTCCTATTGCCTGCGTAACACAGAGGAGCTGGGAGGCTGGTCTCACCAGGCCAGGCAGCCATAGGCAGAGACTCAAGGTAGACAGGCCAGGGGGAAGTTGTGTACCTTTCGAATCGGGAAAGGATTGAGGAGGGGGAATGTTGCCGGACAGAAGGCTGTCCTGGGCGTCCATCCTTGCCCTCCATCCCTGTCTCCATCCCTGGCAAGGATGGAACCTTCCCTTCCTTCATTTCCTAACTGGCTCAAATGTGGTCACCAAGGTGAATAGGAGGCACTAGTGTCTTGGAATAAACAGAACTTTCCCTCCCAATGTTACCTGGCAGACAGTGGGACCAGCATCTTCATCACCATGCTGTGCTCTGTGGGAGTCTAGGCAAACAGCCACTTGCCCATTCAGGTAACTTTAGAAGAGGTCTCCCTCCTCACAGATGCCCTTCTCAGCAGGTGGCTGCTTCTGGCACGTGGACAACAGTGCATAGAAGTGAGCCTGATGCCTGAATGAGGCTGTCATGACACAAACAACCGGAAGCCTTATTTGTGAGGGAGGGTCAACGTTCTGTTCAAAACAACTTGCTGCGGTTGGCTTTTGTACTAGTGAGTACTCAGGAGCTGTGAGTGGCCAGGGTACCCTGTCCTTCTGTACCAGCCAGGACCTGCTCAGCCATCTGTCCAAGGGCTTTGCAAGGCCAGCCTAGAACCTCAGTTGGCGTCTGTGACAGGAGAGAGCGTCAGAGTCAGATGCTGTTCCCCTGCTGTTGGGAAAGTCCCCGAGGCCCAGGGGGCAGGGCTTTTAGAAATAGGAGGGAATTTCCTTCCCTCTTTTTAGAAGTACAGAGGAGGAGAGATCATCCTCCACACTGCTGGATGAGCATTCCAGAATAAATCTAGTCCAGGAAAGGGGCTCACTCATTCATTCATTCACTCACTCACTCATTCATTTATTTGTCCAGCATTTATGGAGGCATCACCCAACCTTGGAAGGGCCCTGCCTTTACCTCGGTCCTGTCCAAACATGCTCAGTGTCTCTGCCCATTATGTATGAGATCTGCTGCTGCGGGAGGGGAACTGAGATTCCTGCAGGGAGGTTAGGAGGCCAGTGTGGAGAGCCTCAGTGCTGGTAACATGCTCACGCAAGCAGTGTGTGTGCGCCTCCTGGATCTTCTTCTCCTGGCCCCCAGGTCTTGCCTGTCTACCCCAGGACTAGCCCTGCTGATGCCTGAACTCCAAAGCCATGTCAGAAGCTCCAGGCAGCGTTCTGTGAGTCAGTGCTCATATCTCCATAGTGCGCCACCCGCCACCAATACTTTCTTTCTCTTCTGCAAGTCGCCTTCTCTTTAGAGTCTGTCCCTGGGCAGGAGCTACTCTGATCAACAAATCCATGTCACTGGTGGTTACCACTCTCTGGTTACTTTTCAGTTACGCTGTAACTGGGGGTTTCCTTGAGATAAGACCTTAACCTAGGGAGGGTTGCTAATATTTGGGATTATAGGCTGGTAGAAGAAGAAAAACCTTGAATTTGGGAGCTGTCTGCACCCTTCTTAAGAAACTGCCTCCACTTCCCCCACAGAGGGCTACCTCTGGTCAAGAGCAAAAGCCAGCAGGTGGCTTCTCTGCCCTGAGCTCAAGTTACCTCCTTAGTCACCAGACAGAAATGGACAGTGAGCCCTGGCGACCGGGGATGGCAGATTTAGATTTTGAGTGCTCTGCTTTTAGGAGAGGCCCGAGTCTCATGTGAGTGGGCGAAAAACTCCACTGCTCGTGGCAATGAGCCCTGGACTCAGGGAGCAGAGTTTTGTTTGGGTTTTTGTCCCGTGAGTCTTGGGCGCATGGTGCAGGGGGGCTGGGGAGGGGCAGGCCTGTGTGCGTCTCTGGCTTGAAGTTGTATTGGTTGTTGATCTTGCCTTGGCGTTGGCCAGCCTTTCCTGTCCATTGACTGTTGCTTGCTACACTTGTCTTGGCCCATGTCCTGAGGGCGATCACAGAACGGTGTGTGTGTGTGAGTGGATGTATGGATGTGTGATGGATGTATATGTATGTATGTGTATATGTGTGTATGTCAGTATGTGTGTATGTTTGTATATATGTGTCCCCATGTCTGTATATCTGCCTGTGTGTATATGCATGTGTGTCCCTGTGTGATATATGTATATGTGTGTGTGCGTCTGTATATATGTGTCTGTCCTGGTTTGTGTCTGTATGTGTATGTGTGTCTGTGCATGTCTTAATATATGTGTCTGTGTGACGTATGTACATGTGTCTGTGTGTATTTATATGTGTGTATCCCCATGTGTGTTTTATATCTGTGTGTGTGTCCAGGTGTCTGTGTATGTGTGTGTCTGTATGTGTTTACATGCATGCCTGTGTTTGTGTGTATATGTCCATGTGTGTCTGTATGTGTGTTTATACATGTGTGTCCATGTGTATCTATATTTTGTTTTGTTTTGTTTTTTGAGACAGAGTCTCGCTCTGTCGCTCAGGCTGGAGTGCACTGGCATGATCTTGGCTCATTGCAACTTCTGCCTCCTGGGTTCTAGCAATTCTTCTGCCTCAGCCACTTACTTGTAACTGGGACTACAGGCACGTGCCACCATGCCCGGCTACTTTTTGCATTTTTTAGTAGAGATGGGGTTTCACCATACTGGCTAGGCTGCTCTCGAACTCCTGACCTCATGATCTGTCCGCCTCAGCCTCCCAAAGTGCTGGGATTACAGGCATGAGCCACCGCGCCCAGCTGCATCTGTATGTTTTTATGTGTATGGCTGTGTCCGTGTGTATGTTTGTCCATGCATGTCTGTATGTGTGTATGTGTGTGCATGTGTGCCATCTGTGTTTTTGTATGTCTCTCTGTGTGTGCGTGTGAGAGGGTACTCACTACAAAGAAACAGGAGAAGCTGGTGGACTTTGCTTATGTCAGAGTGCCACTCTCAACTCAGCAAAAGAGCCTTTGACCTATTCTTTTTGATTTTTCACTATGAAAATAAATGAGTTTTCCTGATTGATTTAATTTTTTTTTTTTTTTTTTTTTTTGGAGAGGTCTCCCTCTGTCACCCAGTCTGGAGTGCAGTGGAGCGATCTTGGCTTACTACAGCCTCTACCTCCTGGGTTCAAGAGATTCTCCTGCCTCAGTCTCCCAAGTAGCTGGGACTACAGGTGCGCGCCACCATGCTTGGCTAATTTTTTTATATTTT
Organism: Homo sapiens; assembly: GCF_000001405.40. Taxonomy (NCBI): domain Eukaryota; kingdom Metazoa; phylum Chordata; class Mammalia; order Primates; family Hominidae; genus Homo; species Homo sapiens. Next base: position 34,842,331 of record NC_000021.9, on the reverse strand, counting down.
TAGTGGAGATGGGGTTTCACAATGTTGGCCAGGCTGGTCTTGAACTCCTGACCTCAAGTGACCCGCCTGTGTCGGCCTCCCAGAGTGCTGGGATGAGCCATCAGGCCCGGACTGATTCAACTTCTAATGAGACAATTCTCATGAAACTGCTCAGTTATGATATTGTATTTTTTCTCAACAAGAAGTTTTTCTGTAGTTACATTTCAGCTGAAAACTTTAATTACAACTTCCTTCACCTGAAATGATTTCTGCTTTCCCACAACCTAGTGGAGGGTGATTGGACAGCACCAATCATGAAGGACCTGAGTACTCATTCATTCATTCAGCCAACATTAGTGAGCCTCCTAGGCTCCAGTTGGTTTTATAGGTGCTGGAGACATGGCTGTGCAGAAAAAATACAAAATCCCTGTCTTTGTAGACTTTACAGTCCCATGGGTGCAGACAGACCCTGGATAACATTAACATGTGCTATGGAGAAAACCTAAGCCAAAGGGCTAGGGACTGGCTGGATGTGGGATAGTCTGCAACTTAAAAGGGGATCTCCAGGAACTCCTCAGGGAGAAGATGACATTTCAGCAAATACTTGAAGGGTGGGAGGGATCAGGTCCACAGGGATCTCAGGGAAGAGCTTCCTGAGCAGAGGAAACAGTAAGTGCAAAGGCCCCAGGGCAGTGACACAGGGGCAAGAGCAAGGTGGCCACTGCTGCCGGAGCAAAGAGGGGAGCTCAACCTATCTGCCTTCTAGTTTCAAGTAGGAGGCATTTGCCTTAGAAAACAGGCTTAAGAAAATGCCACCTGACCTCAGGTGACATGACCTGTACTTCATGTCACCTGAGAGGCCACTGTAGGACCATGGTTCGGGAAGGCCCAGAGTAGGAAAGCCCCATACACAGGTGGACCCAGTGAGTGCTTGCTTTCCTGTTACCACCCACAAGAGTACAAAAGCTCTTTCCGACCAAAGGCTCTGCTATTCCTGCTGGTGATTCTCTGGGGCTAAAGCATCACCCCTCTAGAAATCGCTGAGTGGGTAAAAGGGATTCCTAGGAAGTGGAGGTATCCTAGGGGACTTGCCAGGATTCATCCACCTCTAAGAGGCTTAGGGGCATGAGCTAGAGGAACAGGGGCCTGCACAGGGAGTGTGGGCGGGGTGGGTGACAGGTACTCACCTAAGACTTATGTGCCTACTGCCACTGATGGAAAAGGTGGGCATTCAGGGCAGATGTCTCATTGTTTTCCAACCCAGACAAGAAGCTGGGAAATGAGAGCCTGGATGAGTGTTCCGCAGAGTGGCTTTCTTCCCAGGTGCAGCCTCTGACAACTTCCTAGCAAATTTTAAGGTGTGTTTAATGTCCCACTCCCTCTGGACTCAGCCTTGGGATGGTAGAGGGGGAGGGGTGAAAGCAGAATGGAATGTCCCAGTCAGTAGGGTAGCACGAAAGGCTCTGTGAAGGCTTAAGGGAGAGAGGAGGGCACCTTTGAATACTGAAGTCCAAGGTCACTCATAACTAACTGTCCAAAGGGTCACTGATGAAACAGCTGGAGGCAGAGGGAGAGTGAATTCTTAGGACACCTCGTGCAAAGCTGCTGACCCCCAGCACACAGAAAGATAGAGCAGGCCAGGTGGGATCGCAGGCTGGGCGACCTGGTGGGGATCAAGACAGAGCTCTGAGACCAACCTGACAGCTAGACTTGGCAGTGGCTCCCGCAGCCAGGTGTCTGCCTGAAAAAAGACAAAAGGGAAAACTTTGAAAGTCGTAACCTCATTAGAAGTTGTTCAAGAAAGACCGTGCTTAGAACCAGTTGAGTAGATAATGGCAGCAGATGTAATTGTTGTGGATGCTTTTAGAGTCCCTTGGAGTAATCCTTCTTAGTCTCTTAATTCCAGGCTTCCAGATACGGAGCCTCAGTGATGAAGAGACTTGTTCTTGTCCACAGCAAAGGTTGGTAGAAAAGCAGATTTAGAATGGAGAATTCTTAACGCCTACTCTAGCATTCACGTTTCCCTGGGACCATGTTGTTTCTCTAGAGGGGAGGAGGATTGTGGCATCTGCATTAACACCCGGTCCTGTGGGCACTCAGAGAACTTAACTGCTGCATTTGTGGAACGGAATAAAGGTTCCATGTAACCCTTCCCTGCCATTCCCCAAAGTCTTTCTATAGATGGCACAGCAGAAATTACTTCCTACTTGAGAATCTGGGGTTCACCTTAGCAATCAGACTGATTATCATGACAGTGACTCTGACAGAATGTGCCCAGTTATTGTAGGAGACAGAGACGGTCACACACCGGCCTATCTGCAGGGCAGAGTTTGGGCATTTTCAGCTGCTCTGTGTGTATTGAAGAGTTAAAAAAATGAAAAGACGGCCAAATAGTTATCACCAAAAGGAGGCCGTCAGTCATTGCTCATGAACACAGTCTAAACACAGTTCAGGCATATTTAGTTCGCGTGTTTCTCCCCAGCACACAGCAAATCAGAAGCAGGCAGGAGAAGGGAAGTAGTAATGCACATTGGAAGCTTGAGTATCAGGAGGAGCTCTCCCTCTCATGCAGATATTCCCAGCGTGCTCCCTGTATCGGCAGCCTCAGCATCACCTGGGACCTTATTAGAACTCCAAATTCTCAGGCCCTTCACCCTAGACCAACCTACCAAACTAGAATGCCCAGGTAATTCCATTGCCCACTCAAGCAGGTGAAACACAGCCTCACAGCCTGCAGGTCACAGTGTGGCTGGGGCTGTCTTCTGATTCTACACACACACTGGGAGCAGAAGTGAGATGGTTGAGGCAGAATGCAAAAGTTCAAGTGCTTTCGTGTCTCTGAGATCTAAAACTATGAAGCATTGTGCACTTCTCCACCCTGTTCGCTTTGAGTTCACAGAAATGTGTATTTCTAGGTGCACTGAGTGTACATCCCGAGTGTGTGTGTCGGTGGGTGTTGAATTTCTAGGCACACTGAGTGTACATCCCGAGTGTGTGTGTCGGTGAGTGTTGAATTTCTAGGTGCACTGAGTGTACATATCTGAGTGTGTGTGTCCGTGGGTGTTGAATTTCTAGGTGCACTGAGTGTACATTCCGAGTGTGTGTGTCGGTGGGTGTTGAGAGTGTGTGTGTTTTCAGACCTGCCCTCTTCCTGTAACTGGCCGTGTGAGATTGGGCAAATGACATAACCTCTCTGAACCTCACTTCCCACACATTAGTTAAAAACCAAGGCTGATTTCTGTGGCCATTCTCCAGTTCTGAAGTACTCCAACCTTGTGGTGTTGTCTTAGCTTAACGATATGAGAAGAAATTGGGGTGGGGGAAAGTGAGGCTACCCATAGTTACGTAGCACTGGACAATATATAAGCATGCATATATAATATGAATTAGAATGTATACTGACATACTATATACCATTATATAGTTTATATTATATAGTATATATAATATACATGTGGTATGGTAAATAATATTGAAGAATATTTCCCAACATTAAATTAGCCAGCATATGGTTAGGTTTGCAATTAGGGAGATTTATTTTACCATCTGCAAGGGGCTTCAGGAAGAGTCACATTCAGTACTGTCACTTTGAAATCCTAATGACCCTGCAACCTAAAGGTTAGACTGTGATACCAGGAAAAGTAAGCTGTTCTCTACACACATTGATTTCTTTTCCATTGTCATAAAACAGTAGCAAATCAAAGGAAGAAAACCCCATATTTTTATATCCAGATTCATGTAGTGAGTATCCAATTGACTGGCCAACATCTTCTGAAATACAGATATCCTTTTAAAATTGACTATATAAAATTCTTATATGCTTTTAGAAGAACCACAATTTTATACATGTATATACAGAGAGAAATATATCTTTTTGGTATTATGCTTTTGCATAGATTTGGCTCAACGGCTCATCATGACAGTCTTCTGAGTATATACCTTCCTCATTTTTCTGCTAAGAATCTATCAAGAAAACTAGTAAACCCATATCGGAAACATAGACTAATATGTTGTTGACTGCCAGAAAATTCTTTATTCTATCTAACCAAAATTTTCCAAGAAACGGTGGCAATTTAACCTTATCTGGTTTCTTTAATGGAAGATCATATATTACATTTATGTTACTTACAGCCACAGATCACAATGGTGTCTTGAAAAAGGCAGCTCGGTTATCAACGAGATATGCATACCTGCTCAGTTTATTTTGTATGGCAGAAAAGTGAAAGCTGGTCTCACTATCCGTCACAAAATATCATAACATTTAAGGATGGCCTAATGAGCAGCCAACCCCGAAAACAATAGGAATGCCTTTGGAATGAAGTAAAATTTTGCAAACGGCATTGACTTATTTTTATTATATACAATTTTTTCCCCTTTTTTGGATTTTTATGACTCTGCATACATAATAAAATTCCAAGCAAGTACTTTCATTTTTTTCAAAAATGAGAAAATGGTACTAGAAGAATTTAGGACCTTTTTCAACTCTGCTTAAGATTAAGATGTCCCAGGGTGAAATCTTGATGTGCCCACTACTTTAAAGCACCGCCCTGTAAACATTCACAGTTGATTCCAAACATGCTGAAGAAGCCAAGCTGCCAGCATGCAGGTGTTCAGAGCTGCATCCTGGTTCTACCCAAGGGCTTGACCCAGGGTCGAATTCCCTGTTGCCCTCTAAAGCCCGGTACTCAGTGAGAAAGAAGAAAAGTGAATTGGATAGTAGACATTTTCCATACTCCTCTATTTAACATTCGGGGGGCAAATGAGCCTTTTAACTGAACACAGATACAGGAAACTGAAGACATAAAGTATTCATTTTCCCCAGCTTGAAAGTTTATATCGGAAGTTCCTATATTTCATGCAAAATATTGCTATTTGGCACATGAGGTCTGATGGTTTCAGAAAGTAAGAATTAGATGTTCCTTCGATCTAGCTTGTAAGTGCATCCAAACCACACCCTGAATATGATAATGCTTCTCATTTCCCCTGTGCCTTGGTGTCACAGCTCTCCAGCACCATTGTGAGCCTGAGGGTCAAGACCCCTACCAAGGCAATAACGTTCCTACTGACTCCCAGGAACACACGTGGGGAGAGTGGAATGGGCTCTTCCCCAATCCTCCAGCATTAAACTCAGCCCTGAGACTCCCAGGGCTTAGAAAACAGCTTAGAGTGAAGAATTGTTTTCTCTGAGAGTTATGCCTGAACACTTCTGCTAAAGCAGACAGTCATCAGTTAATCTCTATAAATGACTACAATTTTGGCAGGTATCAGCTGGTATAGAAATTGCTCACAAGTTAAAGCTCTCATTTCTAAGTATATAGTAATGAGGGGGACTAATTAAAATAAAAAACAAAGAAACAAACAAACAAAAAATACCTCACGTTGTGCCTGACCACAGGACTGGCTTACCTGGAATGATGATTCCTGTTGGGTGTCTCCGTGGCACAGGTCCCCACGCTTGCTGGCTAAGAGAGACACAACTGCCAAGAGCTGTTTTTCCAAGCTGTGGCTGTAGACTCTACCACGTCAAGTGCTGTGTATTCAGAATGACCTCGCTCACATCACTCTCCTGGGTCACCCACTGTCCTTGACACAGTGTTCTTCAAAAATGCCACTAAGTGCCTGAGGAATGTGAAGTTTTGAAATGAGCACAAAACCTGCCGGCAGCCTTTGCCGACTGGCATTATTTCTGAGGCAGATAGAGCTCTCCACAATCATTGTTCCTGCCTTCTTCTTTACCCCAACTCGTAATGCCAGGCATTAGACTGTGGTAGGAGGTTAAAGGGCTGAGTTATTATGTTTTGAATGGTTGTTCCATTGGAATTGTTTGTTTTTCTGCAAGAAAACTGCAGATTTTTCAGTTTGATCATCAGGAAGCCAAGGATCTATGGCAGAGATAAGAGGAGGGAGGAGCTAAGGAAGGCTTCATCCAGAGGCACTGAGTCACACCATGGCTGACCAACACAGAGCGCTCTAGAAAAAAGACATTTTCATACTTCTGAGGGAAAGGGATGATGGGGGTTGCTGCAAGACCTGGCCCCATGGCCTTTCATCCACAAAGCCGGTGCTTAAAATACGCAGCCAAGAACAGGCCTCCCACATGCATGCTGAGCCTGCGTGACTCAGGCTGTTTGCGTTCAAGTCTCCTGTTGTGGGCTGGAGCGCTGAATCAGAGTCCAGATTTGCCTTGGTGACACATGACAAGAGGGGCCATTGCATTTGAACTACATAAATATTATGCTTAAGTGTTTTTCCTCATTTTGGAGCCAAACAGGTCTCGTTAATGATAAAATCACTGCAATATAGTGGGCCCTTTTTTTCTGGTCTGGAATTTGAGACAATGTCAACTGTGCCAAGGGGCCTGGCAGCAGGAAGAAATGGCCAGCCATGGAGATTTGCAGCCATCATGCAAGTTATACCATTTAATTTTATAATTGTAGCCATTGGGAGCTGGACTACAGTGCACTTCTCGTGGTCTGCTCTTACCCCAGGCTGCGGGAGTGGAATCAAGGGGGCCTCTTTCTAGTCTAGGATTGGGTCAGGGCATGTGAAATAGCACTTTATGGGGGCAGCGGGCAGGCTGTTTCTCAGTCTGGCTTTGGGGACATTTGGCAATAGGGAACAGAGGTTGTGCAATCGATCAAGGACTCTTTATTGGAACCATAAGGCTGAGGAAGCAGCAGGAGGCCATTGTCTTTAAAAGAGAAATGAATGGCCCAGGCCTCCTGTGGCTACCTCCCTACCTTGGAGCCTCAGCTTTGCACGACAGGACTGGCTCTGGTTTAAGGACATTTTGAGAAAACCGTAGGCCCCAGTCCCCCATGAGTGGCCTCTGCTTGCTGCTTCCTGGTGACGGTTGTTTTGGTGAAGAGCATGATGAGGACACTTGCTATCTATATAGACACTGAGGGGCCCACCATCCCACCCTATATAGACACTGAGGGGCCCATCATCCCATCCCACCAGTCCTGAGCCCCCTGGGGAAGCTCACCAGATAGGCTGTAGCTACCTCTGGGCTCCAGTGGGCCTATTCTGCTGGGAATATTGGACAAGACACAGGCGAGGCCTTCCTGTCAACTCCTCCTTAGGGGTACATGGGGGAGTCGGCTTCAGGGAAGAAGGAATGCTTGTGAAAAGCCTGTGAGGAGAGGGAGAGGGAGAGGGGCTGAGGGGCTGAGGATGCCCTGCGTGTACCTGGAAATGGGACCTCCCCAGAGGCTGTGGGTTTGCAGCCACGCCTCATTTCCTCTTGGAAGGGGCCCTACCACTAAGCTGCGGGGCCCACTTTGCCGCCTCTAAAACGTGCCAGTGGCTGGGTTTGCAGTAAGGAACAGCCGTTCTGATGCCCCTGGGAGGCCACCTTTCCTGGCTGCCACAGCATAGCCCCTGGCATGTGGCCATGTGCCAACAATTAATGCGCCTCTTTCCCTCCCGGCATCACCACCACCGCCAAGTTCTGTATCTCAGTGAGTTGTGCCCATTGGAAGTGGGTGTAGAGGGTTGGGGAGGGTGCCAAGGCCCAGACTGGGGGAGCACTCTGTGGCCGAGGCGGTGAAAGGGGGCCCATTCTGCTGAGAGGACAGTGGCCCCAAATTCAGCTGGCATATCTCTAGCGAGTCTATGTTGGGGTGAGGGGAGAGAGAGGGGAAAGACAAGAAAAGCCCCAGTTTTAGGAAATCCACAATACTTTTTCTGATCTCTTCCCTCCCTCCTTCCCTCCCCCCATCCCCTCCCCTCCCTGCTCCCCACAATAGGACATCGGCAGAAACTAGATGATCAGACCAAGCCCGGGAGCTTGTCCTTTTCCGAGCGGCTCAGTGAACTGGAGCAGCTGCGGCGCACAGCCATGAGGGTCAGCCCACACCACCCAGCCCCCACGCCCAACCCTCGTGCCTCCCTGAACCACTCCACTGCCTTTAACCCTCAGCCTCAGAGTCAGATGCAGGGTAAGTACCAGATGGAGCCCACTGCCCGCCTCTCCTGCACCTGGGCCACCACCCACAACTGGCCCCCATGTGCACACACCTTCCCAGACCAACTGGGGTTTCCCCTTGATGCTCAGAGAAAGGCCTCGAACCAACAGCACCACCTGGGAGCTGTTGGAAATGCAGAGTCTTGGGCCCCACCCACCCCAGACCCACCGAGTCAGATCTGCATTGTAACCAGATCCCCACAAGGAAAAGCACTGCTACAGAGGATACGAGGAGCTCTGGGTATGGATATCCATATTGGATAGATAGCTCTCTTGAATTTTTTAAGAGTTAGCTTTGGCTATGCTATTTTTTTACCTACCCATTAGGCTTGAAGACACACACGCAGACACACACACACACACACGTCAAGCAAAGTGAAGATGGGATGTTTCAAGTTCTCGCTATTGCCAGATTATTTGTGGGTTTTGTATCTAGTGTTTTTTTATTATTAAGAAATAGTTGAAATGTATGGATGTCATCACATCAAGGGTGTTATTTGCAAATCAATAGAGAATGCAGGTCCCCCCAGCCCATGGGGCTAGCTGGCAATTACTAAAGCGCTGTAAGATGCAATAATTGCCTAAGGCCCACTGTGCCAAATTAGATAATACAAGAAGTTCATTTACACTGTAGACCAGTGACGTCAATGACTGTTTGCTCTGTGATACCGTTTCAAAAATCCAAAATGCAGACTTTTCTCTGTGCCATGCAGGATGCAGCTGTGTGTGATATGGTTTACAGTAATATTTCTTTCTCAAAGTAGCAGGCTTGTTAAGGAAAAGATAAGCAACACATCTGGGGAAAAGGGCAGGTGGCCAGCAATCGATGTGGTAGCTCTTTGCCCCTCTCGGACAGCAGGAATTAGCTTCCCCAGGCATTTTCTGTATGTGAGTTGTATTGTGGGATGTACAAATATCATCTGTTCCTTTGGGTTTCCAGGCCAGTAGCTCTCTATTTTGGGTTCAAACATGGGTTCTCAGGCCGGGCGCGGTGGCTCACACGTGTAATCCCAGCACTTTGGGAGGCCAAGGCGGGCGGATCACGAGGTCAGGAGATGGAGACCATCCTGGCTAACATGGTGAAACCCCAACTCTACTAAAAATACAAAAAATTAGGCAGGCATGGTGGCGGGTGCCTGTAGTCCCAGCTACTCAGGAGGCTGAGGCAGGAGAATGGTGTGAACCCGGGAGGTTGGAGGTTGCAGTAAGCCGAGATTGCACCACTGCACTCCAGCCTGGGCAACAGAGCGAGACTCCATCTCAAAAAACAAACAAACAAACAAACAAAAACATGGGTTCTCAAAAGGCATGCCCACTGTCTCCCATGGAGCTTGACAGCCCATGCCATTAGCTCTCACTGTTAGGTTTCTGGGGAAGGTTCTTCTACTTGATTGGAAAATTTCCAAATAAATCTTTCCAGAAGATACTATGCACACAGCTAAGTGGCCTGTCTGTGGAGTAACCCTTTTGTAAACAAACAGAAACCTAAAGCTTGATGTTTTGGGGGGCTGCCTGTCATCTATAGGTTCATTTAGGTGTATTTAGGAAGAGGATCCATGAAACCACTGGTTTCCTGTTACATAATAATCATTAATAATGATTTAAAATGTGTACATTGATTTTTTTTAAATTCCAAAATACAAGCGTATATGGTAAATTAAGTCAAATGGTATGTTCAGTGAGCGAGATGGGCTTGGGGCAAAACAATACTTTGCTTCCAAAGAGGATACAACTCTCAAGGAGATTCTTTCATCTTGCCTTTAAGGTCATTTAAACTAATTCACATAATCTTCAGAAAACTAATTCACATCATCTATTCATGTGTAAAATCAAAAGGAAGACTGTTTTCTTAGTCTCTCGTTGCCTAACTGGCCATTTATACTACTAGGTTGATTAAGGGATTTGCCTTTTTCTGCTGATATGGGAACAAAAAGTCTTAAGCATTTTTAAAGGCAATGGAAAATTCAGCCACATGGGGGAAAATTGATATTGTCACCATTGAGTTGCTCTGTTTCTTGGTGAAGAGTGAATCTAATCTGATTTCCTTCTTCATCAGATATGCCTCTTTAACAACAAAAACAAAAAAATGGGGGGAAGTTGCACATTGAGTTCTCATCCTCTGAAGCTCCTGGGCAAAAGCATTATTGTGGACCGTGTGATGGGCATTCGTCAGCTCTTTGGAGACCTATATGCTTAGTAGAGTATCAGGTTTAACACTAAGCATCGCCCCTTTTTTGTTCCTCTTGAAAACTTTTACTTCTGCAACATTTAAGAAATCATAACTCGCTTTTAGAGTTCCTACGGGCTTGGTTGCTACTCTAAAGAATGTGTGAACTATATTGCTGGTGTTCTTTCTTTCCAAAATATGAATTTGATATTCAGTACTTCACTTGTAAAATTTTAGGAACAACTTTTAAAAAATAAGTATCCAGAATATTTTCATGTGAAACAACTTTTCCTTTTCCTTTTGTTCTTTCTTTCCTATAAGAAAACGCTGTTTTACGCTAATCATGTTTTGAGTAGACCCTTGGGCTTTTTCTCTTGAAATTGGAAAGTTAACAGGTATAATATGCAAGTCTTGTTCAGCCAAGACCTTCAGTTTGTTCTTGACAGTAGGAAAATGCTTATTTTCCAGGCTCAGCCCTGAAATTTCTATGTTATATTTACGAAGATACTTTAAGAAATACAGCATGTGTTTCTGGCTTTCTTTGAAATGGCAGTGGTAGTTTTCAGAAAAATATCCAATTTGTCAGAGTAGTTCCACAGTGGTGCTGTCCAGATGCATGAATGTTTTTCAGCTTTACAGAAATGTCAGTAACCGGGGGTTTGGCGAGCTTGCCGGGATTTATAGAAAGGCTCAGGAACCCTACCTTGCTAGGACTTTGTCAGAAGGGTTATGCCAGCTCCTCTGACTCTGTCAGCAAGAAAATACTGATATAGAATAGCACCAATACTTACCTAGAATCACATGTGCTGGAGGGTCACTCAAAATAGACATCTCAAATTATCTGAAGCACGGTACAGATTGAGAGGGGGCAAGTTGTCATGCCACTAAACCACTGTTTATTTGTTGGGGTCTTAACTATTAAAGGGCTGAGGTTTATTTCAACTTCCTATTTTACCAGGTCTTAAACTGGTAAAGCCATTTTGTCATGAAATAGAATAGAAAGCCATTTTGTCATGAGTAGACCCTTGGGCTACACGTTTCTCCCAGTCAGGACACCATCATTAACTTCTACGATCGAGTCTTAGAATTCTTTTTTAATTTATTTCAAAAGATAGAACAGGGCAGATTCTAGAGCTAGTGGTACCGATGCCTGTTCAGTCACAACTCCCACCTAGAGATGGGTTTGGGCAACCCGAGTGAGTGATTTTAAAATTTCACCCCTGATTGACCAAATATGATGTATCACATTTAAGGTGTCGTAATTTCCTCCTTTCTGGGAATATGAGGATGGAGTAATAGATGCTGGTACAGAAAACTGAAACCTAGATAAACTAGGAAGCCCATTTTGTTGTTCTTCTGCATGCTGGTTGTCATAAGCATGTAGGAAGAAGATTTAACTCTTTAACTGGACCAGTTGTGAGCTATTTTGACGTGGGTCAGACATTTGTACATATTATTCCATTCCCTCAACAATCCTGTGGTATCATTTATAGACAGAGAAATCGAAATTCAGAGGTTAAAAATTGCCCAGTATCTCAAAGATTGTAAGTGATGAACTTGGACGCAAACCCAGACCTTCCTTGCTACAAAGCCAGTGCAAGTGGGATGGCCGTTCCCTGGGCGTGCACTCTTGGGTCAAGGATCGATTTACTACAGGGCTGACCAGTGTCGAGAAGAATCCCAATCACCAAAGGAGGGATGGAAAAAGTGTTGGGCTATCCACTCACTTGGCATTCTTGTATTGAACATGTTCTATTATAATTAGATGTTGATAATAAGAAGAATTTTGGGGCCAGGCTGTGTGGTGGGCACCTTAATAAACTGTCTCCTTTGGTACATGTGCATTTGTTTATAAAGTTTGGGAGAAAAGAAAACTCAGAATAATGAATCTCTAAATAAGAGTGAAAGAGGGGGTATATGAGCAGGGAGAAGGCTTACCAGCCACTCTGTTTACTTTATTGGGGCCATTGCCTTCCTACTTTTGAAGTTCATTGGGACCAAGTGCTTATCATCCAAACCCAGTCAACATCTAATCCACTTTTATGAGTATGCGTGCCTCACTTTGAGTGTTCCATATGGCCAAGAGGGGTCCCTGACCTCTCAAATCATCTCTTGATTTTTAGTATTCCAAGTAACTTCTGTCTTGCTAATTATTTTCCCCCAAAATTAAAGTTACTTAGGAAGGACTATATTCTGGTGCTGCTGTCTGCAAAACTCTGAGATACTGAAATGACCCTGTTTCTCAGTTGTATAGAGTTATTTAAGTCCGTCTGATTCTCTCTTTATCATCTGGATAGACAAAAGGAAGAAAACCTTTCCACCTTCCTGTAGGAGAAGGAGATAAATCCTCTTTCCAGCCTTGGAGGTAAAATATCCAACTGCATTGCATTGCTTTCCTTTCTCTCTCCCTCTCCTTCCCTCTCTTCCTTACTCTTCTAGCAATTTGAAGTTTGAAAACAAAGGGAGTAGGGACTATTTGATTACCTTGAAAGTGGAGGCTACAATCAAACACCAGAAATCCTCATATGTGAATCTATAAATGGTCATTTAATGGTTACACAAAGTAACATATTCAGAATGTGAGAAATTAATTTATATAATAGGCTATAAACATGACAGGTGAATGATTTCATTTAAAAATAGCTTTTAACAAGGTGTAGTAGGGTATGAGAGCCTTTCCAGGTCTATAGCATTATAATCTTACCCCGACAACAAGCCTGAATCAGGTGTTCACAGGAATAAATAAAAATAATTAAAGGAAAGAAGGGAGAGAGAGAGAAGAAATGAAAACCAGTGGGATGACTGCAGAGATTCACTGCAGGGCTTGATCTTAGTGATGAAATATTTCTTCTGTAGACTGCATATGTTCTGAACTTTCCCCTTATGCTTGTAAATATGTAGGCCAGCACACCCATGCACTAAAAGGTTTCATTTGGAAGATTAATAGTTTCAGCAAAGTTGTAGTTGGAGCATGTATTTGATATTGATGGCTACATATCAGAAGGCTTGAGCTGGGAATCTAATAGCCAAGAAAGATAGCAGATCATAGTGGCTAAGAAAGAATGAGGGCTCAACAGGCAGACTACCTTAGTTTCTACCACATTCACTATAGGACTTTTGGCAAGTTACTTAACCTTTTAAAGCCTTAGTTTTCTTATCTGCAAAAGACGAGTAATAATTATACTAGCAGATCCTAGGACCACTGTGAAACATAAAGCAGTGGACATTAGAGCCAGCCCATGGTTAACACTCAAAAACTGTTAGCTGTTATGATCAACATCAATAATATCAAGTTGTCGTAGTCTTATATATTATAGACTGGGTAATATATAAAGAAAAGTTTATTCGGCTCATGGCTATGGAGGCTGGGAAGTCCAAGAGCAAGGTGCCATCATCTGCTGAGAGTCATCCCATGGCAGATAGGTGGAAGGGCAGAGAGCATCTGTCAGAGAGCTCACTTTTATGACAAAGCCACCTCCATGATAACTAACTTACTCCCTCAATGGTAGCATGAATTCATTTGTGAGGATGGAGCCCTTATGACTCAATCACCTCCCAAAGGCCCCACCTCTCAACATTGCCATGATGGCAACCAGGTTTCCAACATATGAACTTTTGAGAAGACACATTCAAACCATAGCATTCCACCTCTGACCTCCCCAAATTCATGTGATTCTCATTTTAAAAATACATTTATTCCATCCCAGTGGTCCCCAAAGTCTTAACTCTTTCCAGCATTAACTCAAAAGTCGAAAGTCCAAAGTCTTGTCTAAACCAGATATGGGTGAGATGCAAGGAAACATTTAAAGCAAATTCCATTAGCTTTGTGAAATCAAAAACAAGTCTACTATAATACTTCCAAAATATAATGGTGGGACAGACACAAGGTAGAAATTCCTACTCCAAAAGAGAAAAACAGGCAAGAAAATAGGGGTAACTGGTCCCATATAAGTTCAAAATCCAACAGGGTAAACAATATTAAGTCTTAAAACTGGAGAATAATCTCCTTTGACTCCATGTTCTGCCTTCTGGATACAATGGGGCTAAGACTAGGCCCCCAAGGCCTTGGGCAGCCCTGCCCCTACAGTTTTGCTGGGCTCAGCCCAAACTTCACCTCTCTCACGTTGAAGTCTTGTGTCTGCAGCATTACCAGGCTAGAGTTGCACACTGGTGGCTCTGCAGTTCTGGGTTCTCAGGGATAGCCCCAATTCTGTGTCTCCATTAGGCACAGCCTTAGTGGGGACTCTTTGTGGCAGCTTCAACCTCACATTTCTGTTCAACATTGCCCTGCTAGGTACTGTCTGCAGTGGTATTCCCCTGTGGTAGGTCTTGGCCTGAGCTTCTAGGCAGTCTGTGGCATCCTTCGTAATCTAGGTGGAGGAAGCCATGCTTCCACAGCATGTATTCTGCATGCCTACGGAATTAGCACCACATAGAGACCATCAAGGCATACTGCTTGTGCCCTTCAGAATGGCAGCCTAGGTATACCTAGGCCCACTGAAGCCACAGCTGGGGTGGCCAAGGTGTGCTGCACCAGGATGCAGGAAGCAGAGACTAGAGGCAGCCCTGGGCAGTGAGCCCATGAAGGGTGCCCCAGGCCTGTCCCCTAAAATCATTCTACCCTCCTAGAGCTCTGGGCCTATGATGGGAGGAGCAACTTGAAGATCTCTGAAATGCTTTTCGGGGTCTTTCTCCCATTGTTTTGATGAACAGAATCTGGCTTCCTCGCATTCATACTAATCTCTTTGGCAAATGGTTGCTTGGCCACACCCTTAGTACTCTCTTCCAAATACACTTTCACTCTTTACATGGCCAGGCTGCGAATTTTCCAAATCTTTCCACTCTGCTTCTCTTTTAATTGCAAATTTCATCTTTAAGTCATTCTTTTGCTATCACATCTCACTATATGTAGTTAAAAGTAGCCACACAGCAGCCTCAATGCTTTGCTGCTTAAGTATTTCTTCCACAAATATCCTAGTTCATCCCTCTTAAGTTCTGCATTCCATTAAGTCCTAGGACACAGACACAATTTCACCCAGCTCTTTGCAACCTTATATTTTATAAATATGGCCTTTACTCCAGTTTCCAATACCTTGTTCCTCATTTCTATCTGCAGCCTCATCAGAATGGCCTTTACCAGCATTCTACCAGCACTCTGGTCACATACACTTAAGTAATCACTTAAGTAATCTCTACGAAGATTTAGACTTCCCCTAGTTCTAAGGTCTTCTTTCAGAGCCCTCACCAGAATTGCCCCTAATGGCAGAACCGTTCTTGGCAATGCAGGCTTTTTTCTAGCCTGCTCCTCCAAACTTGTTCAGCCTTCACGGTTATACAGTTCCAAAGCCACTTACACACTTTCAGGTATTTGTTGTAGTAACAACCCCACATCTTGGTACCAACTTTCTGTCTTAGTTCTTTTGTTAAATGCCTGAGACTGGGTAATTTATAAAGAAAATAAATTTAATTCACAGCTGGGCACAGTGGCTCATGCCTGTAATCCCACCACTTTGGGAGGCCAAGGCAGGCAGATCACTTGAGGTCGGGAGTTCGAGAGCAGGCTGGCCAACATGGTGAAACCCCCATCTCTACTAAAAATACAAAAAAAAAAAATTAGCTGGGCATGGTGGCACACACCTGAGTCCTAGTTACCCGGGAGGCTGAGGCAGGAGAATCGCTTGAGCCGGGGAGGTGGAGGTTGCAGTGAGCTGAGATCATGTTACTGCACTCCAGCCTGGGTGACAGAGTGAGATTCTGTCTCAAAAAAAAAAAAAAAAAAAAAGAAAGAAAGAAAACAAAAGAAATTTATTTCATATGGTTCTGGAGGCAGGGAAGTCCAAGAGCATGGTGCTGGCATCTGGTGGGGTCCTTGCTGCATTAACCCAAGGCAGAAAGCAAGGGGCACAAGAAAGCATGTGCAAGAGAGCTTGCTTTTATAACAAAGGCACTTCACCAATAACCCACTCACATGATTATGGCATTAATCCATTTATGAGGGCAGAATCCTCATGACCCGTTTGCTCCCTGCAAAGGCCTCATCAACACCACCACAGTGGGATCTAAGTTTCCAACATGTGAACTTTTGAGGGACATAATCAAACCACAGCACAAGTATATTAGTTTCCTGTGGCTGTTTTAACAAATAACCACAAACTTGGTGGCTTAAAACAACAGAAATGTATTCTCTCTTAGTTCTGGAGGCCAGAAGTCCAAAATCAAAGTGTTGGCAAGACCATACATTCTCTGAAGCCTCTAGGGGAGGATACTTCCTTATCTCTTCCAGCCACTGGTGGCATTCCTTGGCTTGTGACTGTATCAGACTGTATCATTCCAACTTCTTCTTCCCTCTTTATATGGCCTCCTTTGTGTCATCTCTTTTGTCTAAGGATACATGTTACTATATTTAGACCCACCCAGGTAATTCATGATGAACTCAAAATCCTTCACTTAATTATAGCTTCAAAGGCCCTTTTCCAAATAAGGTCACATTCACAGTTCTGGGGGTGAGGAAATGGTTCTGGAGCCACCGTTCAAACTGCTGTATCTTTGTACAAAAGACAGGGGACATCAGACCATTGACCAGGCACAGCAGGTGAGTCCAGAGATAACTCTCCCAAGTCCATCCCCCAGAACAAACATGGTAGACAGGTAAATGTGAACTGAACATCTCATGCACAAATGCCCCAATCGTGTTACTATAACCTCAGTCCATCATTTGTTTGAACGCAACATCATAGTATTTTTATTTCCCAGCCAGAAAAATGTATGATTTTTTTTAGATGAGATCAGATATTTCCTTAATATTTTCTAGAGCACCTATACCGATGGAATCAGAGGTCCTGACAGTGATAGAGAAAGAGCTCTCTTCCCTGTGTCCCGGGAGCAGTGCCAGATGGGGAAACAGGAGGCCCAGGTGCCTCTTGTCCTAGCCTCCAAAAGCTCATGACAGCTTAGATGGTAGGAACAGAAAAATGGGAACAAAAGATGACATGATGACCAAAGCCAGACAGTTGGGATGGACTCAAGAATTTGACCTCCCAAAGCCAGGCATGTCACTGTTGTTTTGAAGCAAGCTGCCTTTTAAAAAAGTGACTTGATTGCCAGGCATTGTTGACTACACACCCATTTCTAAAGGATGGTGATTTACAAATCGCCTGAAGATAGTCTTTCAAATTTGGACATTTAAAAAAGAAACTTTTACTGTAGTCATGAAGTAGTATCAAAGTTTACCACAAGTTTGTATTGAGAGAAGAACAAACAATATATGCTAATATGAAAAACAGCTCTACTTAGAAAGCTACTGCTTGGGTTTTCTTATTAGGCATAGTTCTCCAGACTGAGTTGGTTTTACTCATCTACATGATTTTTCCTTGCCTTATGGAACAGAAATTCAGGCCCACTCGAATTCAGTTATTTTAGGGCTCTTTAAAATCCAGTATTTGTGATTTAAATGATGCGGAGGGACTTTCATTACCTGTGTCTTTGCTTATTTCTCTCTGGCCCTCAGAACACCCCACCCTGACCTTTAGGGGAAATTGACAGAGGCAGAGGGTTTCACCTGCCTCAATTGTCACCAGCCCTGTTACATTCTTCCTTCCAAGCCTTAGCCTCACAGGGACCTTCTCATTATTGAACAATTGCCTTCAAAGCAGTAGAATAGCCCAATTGTTATGGAGATTAAAGATACCGATTGCAAAACTCCTGTAAATAAAATCTTCACTGACAAACCCAGTTTCTTTTCATAGGCTTTTCTTCTGTAATCTCTTTCTGGCAGAACATCTCATGTTTTGATGTTAGAGATTCAGTTACCAACCACAGTAAATAAAGCAAAATAATAATAGAAAAATAGTATAGAACTCACCCTAAAAACAAACATTGGCCAACCATGTTTATTTTTTGTCTCTCTTTGCACTCCTGAGAATTGATAGGGGAAGAATGTACCACCTCTAATTCAGGTGATTTCTGATTAGCAAGCTATGGAAAGTCTTCAGGTTGAGTTTTAGCCAGTTCACGCTCCCCTAAATGGCATGGAATAGACTATTTTCTGTTTTAAGAAAAAATAGAACAATGGCACTAAATGCTTGACTGAATGTTTGACTAAATGTTGACTGAATCATGGATAGGAAAGATTGGGCAGAAAAGACAGCCACTGCCTCCAGACACAGGATGCCACAATCCTGGGCACCATCATTATTCCATACAACCTTAGGGTCATTTTTAGGGTTTAGAACTTTCTCAATAGGGTTTCAAGATTTTGAAAAGTGTCTTCCAATTCTGATCTCCGTAGATCCTGTTATGGGAATTAACCTTTTTGGAAGGGGATTCTTGTTCTTAAAGATGAAATTCCCTACTTTCTTTCCTGGAGGGAATCAGTATGGGCAGAGGGAAGAGGAG
The DNA here is from genome assembly GCF_000001405.40 of Homo sapiens. Classification (NCBI taxonomy): domain Eukaryota; kingdom Metazoa; phylum Chordata; class Mammalia; order Primates; family Hominidae; genus Homo; species Homo sapiens. Next base: position 34,823,822 of record NC_000021.9, on the reverse strand, counting down.
ATGGCGATTCTGACCTGTGTGTCTCATGTCACCTAACACCTATGGGGTGGCATGAAACTTGAGCTTTAAAACACACCAGGGGCCAGGCACAGTGGCTCATGCTGGTAATCCCAGCACTTTGGGAGACCGAGGTGGGTGGATCACCTGAGGTCAGGAGTTCGAGACCAGCCTGCCAACATGGCAAAACCCCGTCTCTACTAAAAATACAAAAATCAGCTGGGTGTGGTGGCGGGCACCTGTAATCCCAGCTACTTGGGAGGCTGAGGCAGGAGAATCGCTTGAACCTGGGAGGCAGAGGTTGCAGTGAGCCGAGATCAGGCCATTGTACTCTAGCCTGGGTGACAAGAGTGAAACTCCATCTGAAAAAAAAAAAAAAAAAAAAAAAAAAAAAACCCACCAGGAATGGAAATGGTGCTTAATTCCTCTACCGTCTTGGTTCTTCCACACAATCTGAACTGGGTCACTGAATCTTAGCCTCCGTAAGTCAACATCATCAGTTCCGTTTAATAAGACTTGGGCCACTATAATGTCCAGCTCAATCCTCCTGGAAGTATGGAGGACACTGCAGGATCCTTCAGTTGATGTCATAAAAGCAAAGCATCCCTAGGGAAGATCTGTGAGTCAAGCCTCAAGGCCCTCGCTGAGTCAGCGCTAACTTGAGTATCAGGAGCTCACCCGTCTGGGACGGTTAAGTCTCCCAGCCCTGTAAATTGCCAGTTCCTGCTATGGATGATGTCCTCTTTACCTTACGGCTTTATGTGTTCAACCTGAGTCATTCTAAAGCCAGATCCAAGACCCAGAGAGCTTATGCTGTGCCAGTTCCTCTTTATATCACTGGAAGGACTACATATGTCCAGTTGCTTTGGGATTTTTTTAAAGAACATCTCAAGATAAAAAGGGAGGAAGAAATAATGTGACTAGGGATTGCACTTCCTGGAGTTGCAGGTCACATGAGGGACACGAACATGGTGGTTTGATTAAGTCTCGCGGGATTATAACACTGTTGTGGCCACTCTCACTCCATTAGTGCATCTCTCCGCACATATCAGATAGCAAATTATATAATGATAAAGTTATTAAAATATCTGTAAAAGTCAGCACAAGCTCAAGGGCTCGACTTGGCCTTTCTGCCCACTAAGTGGTTTATTTAGCTCTCTCATCTCAAGGCCGGTTAATCTTCATCTATACTTTGTTGTAAATCACCCGCTATGTGGAACAGCCATAACTGCCTGAGTTTTAAGATGCGCTTCTGTTGGTCGTCCAACAAGGCTGGTATCTTAAAGATGAATGCAGAAGCTTTTGAAGCATGAGACTCACCCACTTCCCCGTTTTAAAATGATAGCCTTTGTTTGTGATTGTGTCTATACCTGGGTTATCACAGAGCAGTTATGACAGCAAGATTATGACAAGGACATTGCCTGGTTCACATGTTTACTGAAGGGAGTAATAAAATAATGATAGCTCGTATTTATAGAACAGACCAATGTTGCTGGTTCATTGAATCCCCACCACCAGTCACCTGTAGGTGCATGACATGGTTAGGGGGAAGCATTGCCCGGAAGGTCCTGCCTGTGGTGTCTGGTTTGTTTTCACGTGACCCAGCACTGTTTCCTTTACCACCAAGTCCCAGTCCCTCATCTATCATGTAAGTGATTAACCAGGTTGTCTTCAACACTAACATTCTGTCATTCTGGATACTGCAGTTCCCGTGAATTAATGGTCACCCCTAACTAACATTCTCAGGAAAACCAGTAGGGTTGCCCCAGAGCCCCTCACTCTGCTGCTTATTTGGAAGGAGCCTTTATAGTTCTGCTGTGTGAGAGGCTCTGAGCCACCATATGTTCCTAAATGAGAGAAGCCGTTGCCCAGACATGGATCTGTTTAATTTAATATGATTTACCACAAATTACGAAGCATGACTTCAAAATTGAATTTGTGCAAAATTACTGATGGCCAATTCAGTGGAAGGGAAGGGAAATCTTGTTATTCCTATTCCAGAATCTCTTCCTGATTTCCTCATTTGATTCTTTCACGCCTTGGGGTAGGGGAGGGGAATGCATTCGCGGCTCTATAAAGAATTGTCCTTATTTTCGAACTTTCTCCCTGGTCACACATGGCTCCCTCAGAGGAAGACACAGCACCCTGGAGATGTTAAGGCAGAAGTCAGTTCTTCTGTCCATCCCTCTCCCCAGCCAGGATAGAGCTATCTTTTCCATCTCATCCTCAGAAGAGACTCAGAAGAAAGATGACAGCCCTCAGAATGCACGTTATGAGGAAGGCAGAATGTGGGTCTGTAATTCCTCCGTGTCCCTTCTCCCCCTCTGCAAACCGTCGTAACAATAATAGTTCCTAACACATGGGACAATTGTGAGGATTAAATGAGTTAGCCTGCAGAAATCACTTGATGCACAGCACATGGGAAGCATTGTGTGTATTTATTAATCCTTCACAAAGTCTTTGAGATATATTTTTATCAAATATTTAGCATGGATCCCGGTACACTTTCAATACTTAATAAATGGTCAATGTTATTCTTTTTCACTATTATTGCTATTTATGTGCTCTTATTGGCGGCATTGTTGTATCACCAGTTAGTTGTACCCATCGGTCCTCTCCAAGTCACACAGCTACTCTGCGATAATTCCCCCGGTGTCTCCTTATTCCTCGGGAGCCCCAGAGTGGATAAAGGTATTGGTGGTTTTAGTGGTATTTTCATTTGAGTTTTGTTTCCTTGGATAAACCCAAACAGGAGACCTTCCCATAACCACTGTTCCACAAGACCAAATGGTAAACTGTTAAAGTTGAAAGGACCTTAAACTTCTTTGCTCAAAGCCCTATATTTTACTCATGAGACACTCGAGGCCCAGGGAGTTTCAGTGATTTTCCGAACTAGAGGCAGACCTAACATCCAGGTTTTCTGGCTCCTGGCCCAGTGCTCTTCCCATTGGCTGGTTCGGGTCTGCCTCAGAGGTAGCCTCAGAACAGTCTCTAGGGTTGGTGTGGATCATTCACTTGGGCACTGAACCATGCTGTACGTCACACTGCCTTTTTCTGGAAATACACCATCTCAGGGAGATGCTAGGTCCCATGGTTGGGTTCAGTATCATGTGCTGCTTCTGAGTCTCCATTTTTAAAAGGTTGAATTCGTGCTAAGGAGGAGTGATGCTTTTTTTTTTTTGAGACGGTGTTTCACTCTTGTCACCCAGGCTCACTGCAACCTCTACCTCCCGGGTTCAGGGGATTCTCCTGCCTCAGCCTCCCGAGTAGCCGGGATTACAGAGTCGGGATTACAGAGTCTGCCACCACCCCCAGCTAATATATATATTTGTATTTTTAGTACAGATGGGGTTTCAGCATGTTGGCCAGGCTCGTCTCGAACTCCTGACCACAGGTGATCCGCCCGCCTCGGCCTCCCAAAGTGCTGAGATTACAGGCATGAGCCACCATGCCTGGCTGGAGGAGGGATTCTTAAAGCATGCAAGGAAGGGAAGTCCTCCTCAAAGCCACACCTACCCTCCTCAGCCCCACTCAGCAAGGAAGGGAAATCCTCCTCAAAGCCACGCCCATTCTACTCAGCCCCACCCAGCAAGGAAGGGATATCCTCCTCAAAGCCATGCCCACCCTCCGCAGCCCCAGCCGGCACCCCAGCCCTGCTCCCTGTTGGGGACAACCAGCTACAGGAGACCGACAGGTCACTTCCTGAGCACAAAGCCCACGTGGGTAGCAGGCAAGGGTGAACCCTGACCTGTCCCATTACTTGCATGAATTGGATGCATTCAACAAATGTGAATGGTCAGCCTCTTTGGTGTTTTTAATGAAGCAGCTACAAAAGGATTTCTTTTAACCAAGTTTCACCGTCCTGTGTGATTTTGAGTAAATACCATCCTGTGCCGATTCCTCCCACAAGCCCGGCCCTTTAAGCCTGCTTGGGGGCTGTGGCTTGGGCTGGCGGGCCAGAAGCAGGATGGCAAACAGGTGTGCGAGTGTGACAGGGCAGAGGCTGGAGCCACAGCTGTGGGAATACGAGGCTTTGGCAGGCCGAGGCCAGGAGGGGCGGGAGGCTGGTGCTGACTGATGGTCCTGTCATCCCGGTTCAGGATGCCACTGCCAAACTTCATGCCAATTGCTCCCAACAGAGTACACGGCTATGAGAGGGAGAGAGCTGGGACCAGATGAAGGCATCCCTGTGACGGCCACGTCCTTGTCCATGAATTCAGGGTCAGGGTGACGAATGGCAGGGCCAAAAGCTACCCTGGAATGTCACAGGAATTTGCAGAGACCAAATGCCCTTCTTTCAGAGGCACCAGAGTGGGGGCTCCCGCATTGACGGGTGGCTTCTGGGCCCCCTCCCTTCACTAAGACTTGGTGACTTGGTAATCCTCCCTCCTCAATGAAACTTATCTAAGAATTGATTAGGAAGAGGGACTGGAGCATGGCAGTAACTAGCAGTGCAGACCTGTCATCTCCATCTTCCCCTCCCATAGCGTGTGGCTCTTGCCATGTCATGACCACACTCCCGGGGGCTCGAGCTCTGGGCTTGCCTCAGCAGTCTGAGAACCACAAGTTTCTAAAGAACAGGTATGAGGAGGAGAGACTTTTCTTGCTCAAAGACATGGATCCACTCAGAAACAGCATTCAATGGTGCTGTGAGTTTCCTCCCAAGTGTAATGACCTCCTCTGACTTGGGCACTTCTTACAGTGACTTTGAACTTCTGAGCATTAGAGATGAGTGAATCGCAGAAAACTAGACCCCTTGTTAGATGGATGAGCCCAGAGAGGTTAAGAGACTTGCCCAGGGTCACACAGATACCACCCATATCAGAGCGCTCAGCTTTCCTTTCCCCTCCTCCCCAGCTTGGACACATTCCTAGGATTTGGATGTAGCAATGTGAACCGTCCTGAGCAGTCCCTTCAAAACAGCACTTAGGCGAAAGAGGGGCTGTTGGAACAAGACAGGACAAACACCCGTGTGCCTCTGCACGCTGCTCCACCCAGTTTCTCATCTTTATATTACAGAAAAAGAGTCTCAAATAACCCAAACAGGCAGGGTATGATCTGCAGACAGTCTGCAGGCATCTGCCCAAGAAGCTGCCGGTCGGCTGGTCCATCCTCCTCTGATTTATGTTGTGTGTGTTAAGCCTTAAATTGTTGAGTCTCTGGCTGGCTGCAGTGGTATTACTGGAGGGCTGGTGCATGTTTTCGGCTCACAGAGCTGGCTCCGGTACTGGAGGTGTTGGCCCCGAATCAAGTCCAATCTCACACCTGTCTGAGACAATGAGGGCCTTGTTAGACACATCTCCAGTCGAGGAGGTGCAGGCTGCTTATTTTTCACATTCAGAACCAGAAGGAGGGGGGTCTGGGACAAGGGGGATGGGAGAAGCCAAGGGGAGACGGGAAATGCTGGGGTCAGCTGCCTCTCGGGCCCTTTCCCTCTCCTTCTCCCTCCTCCCTTCCCCCGCTCTTATTTAATAAACTTCTCCTTACTTTTGGAAATTAAAAAACAAACAAACAATACTAACAGTTGCCCTCTTATGAAGGATAATTTCCTACTGCAGAACAAGGAGCTCGTGGCCTGTTGTAGGATAAATTCCCAGTCATCATGGGAGTGGAGCAGCCCAGGGGAGGAGTGGGGTGAATAGGCAGGGGCGCAGCCCCCACCCCACCCCAGCACTGAAACTTGAGCTCTTTGCACACTGAGGGCGCCTGTCAGTGAGAGGTTTTCTCTTCTGGTTTTCCCTCCACTGCTGACATTTCAGTGACAGCCGCAGAAAGTAGAGGGGACTTTGTCCCCAGCTCCATATTATTCATTGATGAAACCGCAAACTGTTCTGTCCTGGTTCAGCCTTCCTGTCCCCTGTGATCAGAGCAGACAGAGCAGGCCACCAGGACTTACGTCTGCAGACACTTTGCAAATCCAGTTCTCAAGAGGCCCTGACATGAGGCGGCCCCGGGCAGGAGTCCTTCTGGGTACAGGCTGGCACCCCTCAAGGGTGATGATCGCTCTGAAGGATCATTACTTAGTCAAAGCCACCCTGAAATGACTTTCTATTGCAGGACCACACGACGTGGAGGCCCATAGTGTAGGAGTCAGGAAAAGAGCTTCCCAGAGTTATCAAAAACCACTCTTTACTGCGAGAGCCAACAGTAAGGAGCCTGTGTAGAAGAGCTAAGAAAATCTCACACATGTAGTGGCCATGTCTTGGGGGCTTGAGTAACTCGACAAATCTCCCAGCTCTGTTTGTGATCAGGTAGGCTCTTACCTGAGCCGGGAGGCATTTAGGTGCCAGCAGTCACTCAAACAAGGAATGGGCAGCCCTATCCTTCTCATCCATACACAACTTATTTAAGCACTAAGCCCCATTGCTGACTCCTAATTTGGCCTCAGCGACACAACAGGGAAAATCCATATGCTGTTTATTTCATTTGAGACTGAGGACTTACCAGAGATGAGGTTGCGCCAGTCTGTTTCTTGTAGTATAAATCATTTGTAGCTCAGCCACCCTTGTATCTCTGTATGTACATCAGTTGACAATCCCAGAGAAACAAAAGGACAACTTTTCAGAGGCAGCAGAGTGACAGACGGTGAATAGCAATGAGCATAGGCAACCTGGACTTCTGGCTACACTCCAGCCTGAGTTTGAATCCCCTCTATGTGACCTTGAGTGACGTGTGAAGACCCAATGTGCTCACTGTTGATACTTTGGCCTTCAGAGAGTCCAGGGACTGCACTGCATAGGTTCCCTTAGCCCTGCACTCCTGGTAGAACCTGTCTGAATATGTCACCTTTGGAGGAAAGTGGCCGAAGAAGCAGGTGTTGCTATTTCAGGTCAGCTGATGCCAGGGAGGCCTGATACCTATGGAGACCATGGAACCACCAGTTTCCTGTCTCCTTCTCTAGCCATGCCTCCCTGCCTTGTTCTGGGCCACAAGGTGCTCCATTCTTCCGAAGCTCATTCTTGCTCTGAAATGACCAAAAAGTCAAGCCAACGAACAGGAGGGAGGCTGGACACTGAGGTGGGTGAATGCTGCAGATCTTCCTGCTTGATCTCTGAACACCCATGACCAGTCCTGCCCACAAGCTTTGGTCCATGCTGGATGCCTACCCAGAAAGTTCCTTCCTCTCCTCCCCACCACATCCCCGAATCCTGCCATTCTTCAGGGCACCTCACCTGCCCCATCTCCTCCAGAACATCTTTGTCCTCACTGAGGCCCAGACTGACTCCCTTCCCGACTCCTGACTGATCTGTTGGTCTCTGTCACTTTGGCATTTCCCCACACATTGCCTTCTGCTGTTACCAGATAGGCTGCATGTTTGAGTGACGCTTCACCAACTGTCATGGCTATGATTTTCCACCATCTGTGCTGTAAGACAGTAAAAACTCAACCACCACCACCGAGATGCCATCCAGGCAGGCAACCCTGAGCGTGCCCCCACCCGCTACACACTCTTCTCCCCAGAGCACATCAGGGTTCTGAGATCAACAAGTTGGAAGGAGACTTCCAGGTGGGCAGGAACGCTCTCTCCTTCCCAGGACCCCCACGAACCTAGCCCAGAGCTGCAGAGAAAGGGGTGCATGAGTCGTTGAGGAAGGATTTTTCCTTGCTCCTGGGACAGCAAGTCAAAACTGTTTGTTTTAGGTTTTAAGTTAATTTCAGAATATCCTGCCCTAAACAATTTCTTTCCTTACATAGCACCAACTCTCTGCTGGGGCCCTTTGGCTGTTTCCTTTCTCCATTCTTTCCTTCTCCTTTCCCAGATCCCAGCTGGGAACCTGGGGGGAGAGCCTGGCTGGCACCACCTGCCCTTTCTTGGGCCATTTCCCTTCTTGTTTGTGATGAGGAGGAGCCTAGGAAGTCTCCATGCTTCTTGGCTTTCTGGCCCTCATCACTTTCACAGCCTTCTGCTAACTAAGCTAGTGAGCCCCCCTGCCCTTTCCCATTCCCTCTCTGAGGCCAAACTCTCTCATCCCAGCTTCTTTCTTTTCATCTTCCTTCCTCTAAAGACTGCTCAGCCTCATCGGAGGCTGCCTTCTGAATCCTGACCCTGCTTTCCACATTTTGTAAGACATCTCGGCCCCAGAGTAAGAGTGCATGATTTACCTACCACTTCCTTGGATCCCAACCCCTACTCACTGCTAGCTCCTGGCAGTGGCGTTCTTCCTCCTTCCTTGGTGTGCAGATGTGCCCCTGTGTGGCCTCCTTCTCTAAAAGCATTCTAGATTGTTCTTGGTTCCAGCACTTCTGAAACCCATCCTTCCAAGTTTACTCTTTTTCTTGCTATCCCTCGTATTTTCCCACTCCTCATGGAAGCTTCTTTCCCACACCCACCCTGTGCCCTATGGCGGGGGCTTCAGGACCCCCAACCCCAGCCCTGGAGCGTTTCAGTGCTGCCATCCTGCTGGCTTCACTTGGTGCTTCCTCCACAGCAACTACAAAAGCCAAGGAACCTTCCCCAGTCCCTCCCCTCCCCAGCATTCTCCTAGCAGAATTACATTTTAATTTTCAGCTGAATGGATGAAGAACCATTCCAACACCTCTGTGTCACCCACAGTTGTCTAAAACACACAAACAAAAAAAAGTCTGGGTCAGCAGAGGGGAGACCATGGTCACTCTCCTTGTCAACCTTCCCTTTGCCCATTCTTTGTTTTCTCTTCCCTCCACCTCTGTTCCTCTGAAACCTCTTTTGTTCAAATCAAGGGGAAGGTAATTCAGAGGTGCTGTTGAGACTGGTTTGCTTTTTAATTTTTTTTTTCAAAGAAGACGGGAAGTTCCTGTTTTTTGGAAAGGTTGTTCATTTCCAAAGAAGTTACACAGCCAGTCAGCTATAGGATGATTCCTGGCTGCATTTTTTCGGGGTAGTACACAATACAAAAAAATAAGTCAATGAGAGAGAGAGAGTCAGTCAGTGAACACAAAGGGAGATGTTATAATAGGCTTTTGTTGGTACTTGCATTTTCTTGTTGAAAAACAGAGCAAAGACCCCGAGGTGCTGAGGTGTGGACAGAAGCCTGATGTTATCAGGCCCCCAGAAATCCTGCCTGCAGTCCAGTGGCAGGCAGGATCCAGAACTGGAAAAGACGGAGGCAACTGGTCCTGCTCAGCACAAACGGTGCTTTTAGTCTTTCGTAAACAGCCTGTGCCCCAGGGCTCAAATCCTTCAAAAGTTTGCCTGGGTAATTGCATTTCATTGCTGTCTGGCATGTGCTCATCAGTCTAATCTGGAGGTTCAGACAGCCAGGCCAAAGCTTGCGAGACTGGAGGAGAGCGAGCCTGTGAATTTAATCCACTTGAAAGACAGAATAATACAAGTGCATCTAACTCATTATTTTAAGTGATGCTAGTCGAAAAGGGGATGGTGCTTTCCATAAAAGCATTTAAAATCAGCACGCTGCAGTTGCAGCCACTTGGCAGTTTAAGGCCATTAGAAGAAAAGGCGCACACAGGTGACAGTGTGATCCCTGTCGCCGTCTGCTTGTCCCTGAAAGCCTTCCTCCTCCCCACGACCACCTCAAAACACAGAAGGCAAAAGGAATGGTAACTTCCATCCCTAATTTTGACTTTGGGTTATTTGTACATTTACAGCAACAGACACCAACTTTTATTTGAGATTTGGGGTCATTTTGGCATCGTTTCAGGGTGGAGAGAAGACATAAATGAAGTTAGGACTTCCCAGTCCATCTCACCAAGCTCAGGATCTCACAGAGCTATAAGCAGGCAAAGGTGTTCCCCACCAGAACCATCTGGACAATGTGCTTTCCAGTGACTTCTTTTTTTTTGAGGTTTAGCTAGGTCTTTTTGTTCTGTCAGTACATGGTAACTAGATTGATGGGAGGGTTATAGTTTCTAACTATCATGTAGTTAAAGCAGTAGTCTACAAAGAGCCAGAAGGTCTGTCCCTGCTCTGTTGCTATCTGCTGTGGAGAATAGGGGGAGTCCCTTCACCATTCCGCACTGCAGCTTTCTCTGAGATGGGGCTGGCATGGTTGTCTCTGCTGTCTCGGAGGTTGCTTTCTGCTCTATCATTCCATAAGACATTAGAATGAAACCTTAAGTAATGTTGACGGTGATTTGCGTCATTATCTAGTTACATGTGACTCATGCCCAGGAAGCCCAGGAGAGGCAAGTGCTAGCCTGTACCCTCCCAGATGGCAAAGCCGACGGTCAGCTCAGGAGCAGTCTTGTTGGTAGTTCACACCTGCAGCTCACCCAGGGCTCAACATGCCAGCTCTAAGTCTGGGTGCCAGGCCATGAGACTGAGAGAGCAGTCGCCTTAAACCTTACATGGGGATGGAGTTTCCCCCTGGGTGCATCATGACTGCAGCCACCCAGGATTCTCACAAGGGCTCCAGAAAGTGCTCACCACACACCTCATCTCCTCATACCCCTCAGTTCATTTGTACTGTGCCCAGGGGACAATGCTGTGTTAGCTTTCCCCGATCCTGAAGAGCACCTCTAGAAGTCACATCTTCCGTCTTGTCATCATGGTAGCTGAAACCATTGTGGCAGTGTGTGCTTTCCCTGAGCAAGGTTTTCTTTGACACTTTAGGGCACGCTTGATCTTGTGGGCAGGATCATTCTCTGTTGTAGGGGCCATCCTGTGCATTGTAGGATGTTGAGCAGCATTCCTGGCCTCCACGTACTAGATGACAGTAGCACTCCCCCTTCCTCAGTTGTGGCAACCAAAAATGTCTCCAGACATTGCCAGAAATCCCCTGGAGGAGAAATCACCCGTTTGATGATCGCTATTTAAGAGTAATTGGGAAATTCACAAGGATCTTCTAGTCAATATACACAGGATCTCAATGCCTGAAAAAAATGTGAGTTACTTAGCTATCTAAACTTGGTAGTAAGTCAATTTTGACCCTTCAGTTCTGTAGGTCCTAGCATTCCTGTCTTCCATAGGTCATCCCTCTTGTTGAGCAAGAGTTTCATAGTTGTCTGCTATCTCAACCTCTACATTTAATTTTTTTAAAAAAAATTACTCCATTTTAGCCCAAGTATATGGCTTCTATGAGAAAGCCTTCCTTGGCCTTGTAAATCAAAGCAGTTCTCTGGAGGGAGGTTTCCCACTGCTGGGCTGAGTATCATCTTTCTCAGGGTGACCTCATCTATTGAAGTATGAAGGTTGTATTTGAAATGCCATTTACTTTCTCTAAGTCAATAAACGAAGCTGTGGATCTGTAGATCATCAGAGGTCTGCTTATTACCAAGCGGTTTTGTGTGTGTCATTTTTTAAATCGAGATCTGTGTTGGAGTTTAAAAGAATTCTGGCAGATTTCCATTTGCCTTTCTGAATCAGAGTTTGGGGTGAGCGAGTGTAGATTGCCCCTAGATGAATCTGACTTTATTAGTTTGTGTCCTTTGTTCAGAGCACCAGGGATGAGCTTATGAAAGCACAAATGGCTCTTATCTTCAAGTGTTTCCTTTATGCTGCAAATTCCACCTCACCAACCTGTGTTATTAACCCACTGCAATCCCAATTAGTTCACATCAAGGTCAACTCTTTGGGGTGTGCAAAATGGCTGCAAACTTAAGTGAACAAATTCCCCTTGTGTAGCTCTCACATGAAGGTGGGGGAGAAGACTGCAGCAGGGGAACTTAGAAGAAAGAGGGAGTTTTCTGATACCATAGAAGAAAGTGATAGTGATTCCCCTTGGCTCACAAGCCAAAGAAATCCAATTATTCCAAATAATTCAAAACTTGCATAGGAACTTGTCACCAAATGAGGGAACATTTTAGCCTCTTATTCACTCTGTTGCTTGGTGGCAAATATTTAAGAAATTTCAAAAAATAGAGAGGTGCAAGAGAGCTATTTCTCAGGGGCATGGAGGTTTCTTGGGGGCATTTCTCGGGGGTATAGAGGGCTGTTTCTTGGAGGCTATTTCTGTGCATGGAGAAGCCTTGAGTTTCAGAGGTATAATAAACACTACTCCTCCAGAAATATGTCTGTGAAAAATAAGCTGGAGCGGGTGGGTCTGCAGGACACTGTGTTTAGGAATGAAGGCTGCCTGTCCTGCCATCTCTCAGGAGCTCCCATCAGAACAGACAGTAAAGACAGGAATGGCATGTCTCCAGTTGTGGGGCAAGGCCCCTCCTAGTGTGAAGAAAATATACTTCCTGGATCTATCATTATCTCTAGCATATCAGAGGGGGGAATAAAAACAACTGGGGTGGCAAGGCCCTGCTGAAAGAGAAACTCATTGTTCTGCACATTCAGAGACTTCCTAGTTGTAAAGCCGTTCAGAGCTCTTGGAGGTGAAGGGGCAGCCAGGGAATCACATAGAGTGAAAGACCTGTGTGCAGCGGCCAGGTCAGAGGGCGTGTAGAAGACGACATGAAGCATTCCCACAGGGCAGTTCCCTGAGGTTCTGTCCTCCAGCTCTTGCTGCAAGGAATTCTAGAAGCCTTGGCCTGATGTGTGGGAAAGGAAAACAAGGTGAAGAGGATGCAGGTAGGAAAAGAAGAGCTGTGACAAGGTAGTCAGATGGGAGGACTGCATGAGAAAAACAGAGGAAGAGAGCACAGAAGCAGCCCTTTGATTTCACTCGCGTTTATTGAAGGGGACGAGGCACTTCCACTTGGGGAATTCTACTTCCCTTTGTCAGGATATCCTTCAAATTGGGAGCATGGAATGGAAGCTCTTAAAGAAAGAACGGTTGCCATTCATTGTGGGTCACACTTCACAAGACAAAGAGCAGTGAATCCTCGATTTGTAAAATGCAGCTTTCAGAATCTGTGTTGTGGCTGGCACGGTGCAACACTGCTGTGAGGCCCTGACGCAGCTGTGTTCTGCAGGGTGGCTATGGTGCTCCTTGTGAAGGAGGAGGCTGCTGCTCTGCAGGAGGAAGGGCTTATGTTGCATCCTAGCGGTGCATGCTACCCCGCTGGAATAGTGCACCTTGGAACTCTGGCTGCCTAAGGAAGGTCTCATTTCTGGTGGCTTTGTGAGACCAAGCCTCTCCCTCTTCTGTTACCTGGAGCAACAACCAGCTAAGCCAACAGTACTCTCCAGACACTGTTATCCTTTCCTGGAAGGGCAGGGGAGAGAAGACTGTTTCCTGCCTTCAAGGTGCCAGCTACTGCATTGACAATATCGGGCAGAGGGGCACATTTCACCCTCCCAGGAATCTAAGGGACAGATGCAATAACATCTCCTTATGGGGGGAAACTGAGTCTCCAAGGCATTAAGTTACTTGCTTCAGCACACTGTGAGTGAGGGGCCAAGCTAGGGTCTCTGTCCTTACCTCTCAGACTGCAGAACTATGCCCTTATTGTATCCTTACTGAAGCCCTTTTGGCTTTTAGAGAGACAGCTCTGGGATGAGGTTCCCAAATCCTGAAAATGTTTGGGGCCAGAACAAACAAAAGCATCTTTATGTTAAGCCATATTTCATGTTTATTGTTTTGAATTCTCCTTTTCCCCCATTCATATGAGTTTTTCTTCTGATTTTATTAGAATGCCATGCCTCAGAGTTTGCTGCTTAAAACCAGAATCCCTGGCATAAAATCCAATAAGCCTGCCTTAGGGCCCATGTCATATGGAAGCAGAAGACAACAGAGACTGCTTGCTGGGCTTCAAGCCACTCTAGAATTTTTCAAACAGTTCTAACATTTTACAACATCAAAAAAGTGCCAAAGTAAAAACTAAGGCTGCAGCTAGGAGAATGCCCACTGAGAAACCCGTGGTTGGGTTTGTGTAGAGAGGAAGGCTTTTGAGATCACTGCTCCATGCCCCCTCGGCCTCTCCCACCAGAGGTCTGGCTCAGGGACAGCACTTGGGCACAGAGAGCTGGGGCAGTGGCAGAGATGGATGGGGTAGTCACCAGAGGAAGCCCAGGCTGCAAACTGGCATGACACACACCTGTGTGGAACAGATCTCCATCTGAGCTGGGCTCAAAAGCATCGTATTCTCCAATATCGACAACTCATAGGTTAGGGGGTTCATCATTTTGTAGCCTCTGCAGTCCCAGACGTAAAGTCACTTCTTTTTTTTTCTTGCGTGCTGACACCCTAAGGCATTACATGGACCCTGGCAAATCTCAGCCATGTTACTTAACATGATCTGCCCCAGCGACAGCTCTTAACTGTATCTGTTTAGCCAGAGATATCACAGGTGCCTCTCTAGGAAATCCCACCGGCCCCTCATCAGCACAGTGGAGATTGGCTGTAAAGCACGGCCTTCCATGCCCAGCCTGGACTGCAGGTTGGAGATGACAGTCTCCCAACCCAGGCCTTCCAAGCATAGACTATCAAGCGTGCACAATCCTCTTGATATCAGGTGCCACCTCAATGGAGTGTTCTTCAGAAAATTCTGTTTCTTTAGCTGTGTGCAGTCCTGGGAGATGCTGTGCCTCTTCTGCTTGAAGCTTCCCAGCTCCCACTTGAGGTGTCAGTGATTTGTTTTACTGGAGTGAGTATCCTCATTCTCCACCAAGGGTCCAGTCTCAGGATGGAGGCTGCTTGAGATATCCCAGCCCTCAACACAATATTTCTGGCTCATGTTTTTCAAGGAACTAAGCGGGGCAAAGGTGCCAGAGGAGTAGAAGGGAGCAGAAAGTTGTCTTTACCCTCCTGGAGAAGAAGGACATGGAGGAGTGGAAGGAAATAAATAGGGTGGCCATAGAAGAATCTAAACATCCATGATGTGCTGGTGTTGCAGGAATGTACCCAACCTGTCTGTAGAGCTCCTTCAGGCCTGGAAAGTTGTATACGGGGGGCAGAGGTGCAGAAAGTGCACAGTGCAGAAGATCCTTATGGAAAAGATGTCTGCAACAAATGTTTATTTAACAAAGTACAGAGAAAGAATCTGTCTGCAAGGGAGGAGGCAGCAGAAACCAGAAGGTGCCTTCTGTTCCCTCTGAACTATGGTCCCTCCAGCTGTGTGCACTGAAGGCCACTCTCCCTCTGCCTCAGGGACACGATGCCAACTGAGAATGAGACATGTTCTAAAAACACCCATCTTTTCTGGAAGCTAGTGACCTATCCTTGAACCCTCCCTCCAAAAGCACTCTGCCTAAATACGTAGCCCTTTCCCAGACGTGTCTCAGACTCATCTGGCTGAGGGTAGCAGCCTCGTGGTGCAGGGTGAACTGTTTCCCCTGGGAACCGTCTGACAGTGCTAATGAGGAATTGCATTTTGCGTTTATAGAGCACCTTTCATCTGTGGATCTCAAAGCTGCCCCACAAACATTAATTAACTCTCACACCTGTGAGGCAAGTGAGCCTGGTTACCCCCATTTTTAGAGGTGAGGAAACAGAGGTTTGAAAAGAAAAGGACTCCAGGGTGAACCAGCAGGGTTGGGGGCGGCCTGATGTGAGGAACCAGCATTCTTGATTCACAGGGCCCTGACCACAAAGCCACAAAGCTTCCCCGGCGAGGTGATGAATACGGGTCCCGGAAGCAGGGAGTGGTGGAGAGGCGGACACAGGGCTCCCTTCTTCCTTCCCGCAGGCAGCCTGCCACCTCCCAGGCTGGCAGGTCGGCAGTGAGGATGGGATCCCTCAAAACCTGAGGCCTTTAAAACAGCATACCCAGGCAGGGTTCTGCCCCGGCTTGGTCTGTCTGCTTCTCTTCAAAGTAATTGCTGGAACAACGAATGCATCTGAGCTACACATGACTAACCAAGATGTCTGCAGCCGGCCAGAGACGAACGGTTGGCAAATCCTGGAGCTGTTTCACAACCTCCCTTTTTTCCAGGATCCAGAGCTGGTGCTGACTGACTCATGTTATCATGGGATTTCAATGATATAGCAACAGTGTGCTGAGCCGGTGTCTGCTACCTGGGGGTACCTGTAGTAGGAATAGGTGACTGCTCTTCTTACTTGTGCTGTGCCGGAGCTTTGCTCCCTGCTGCAGAGGCCAGAGGAAACACTGCTTCTCAAAGACAGTGGAACTTTCAGGGAAATGTCCCTTTCAGAGCAGAGTCACCCACCCCCAGGGACTCTGAAAGGCCCCTGACATCACACACCTCTGACAGATGTGATGCTGGGAAGCATCTGGGGTCACCCCCTTTGTCTGCAAGGGGAGCCTAGGCCTTTCTTCCCAGGGGTCCCAGACAGTGAGATGCAAACCACCACTGGGGCTCGCCCTAACACATCACCCTGGAAACTGACTCACATCTCTGAGTCCTGAGTCACATCCTGTTGTGTGTTCTGAGGTCTCCAAGAGGGCATTACACCAGCTCCCCATGACTGAGGTGAATCTGGAGGGAACCCTGGGAACGTCCCTACCTTCCTCCAGGATGAAGGAGGGAAAAAATTCCTCCAGGGAAATAACCAGGGCTGCCCCTAGGGTTTATATGTTCACCAAGCTGATTTGCCTTTTTCAAAAATAGATGGTAGAACCCTGTGGTCTATGTGACTTTTATTTTTAAATAGCTCTGAGAGATGACTGAAAGACCTGGCGTTTTAAAGATGTCAGCCACACAATCAAGGAAGGGGCTTTCTAACTATAACCTTCTCCAAGCCCAGGATGAAGGGTGCCACCGCTCAAGGGGTGCTGTTGGAAACCCAGCTTCTGAGGGTGGGTGTTTAAAAGACCCTAGAGTGGACAGTCAGAGGAGGGCCGGGAGGGGTCTCTATCCATCTTCTCCCAGCGCCTGTGGGGAGCACGAGGACAAAGAGGGATGTTTTGAACTTTTCAAAGAACAAGATATTTTGTTCTATTGATTTTGTCTATTATTTTCCTGTACTTAATTTCACTGGTTCCTAGTCTAATTTTTATTATTTCTTCTCTTCTGCTTGCTTGAGGTCTGTATTGCTATTTTCTCCAGTCTCCTGAGGTGGAAGCTTCAGTGACTGATTCTGGATCTTTCTTTTCTAATATATGTATTCAATGCTATAAATTTCCCTCTAAGTACTGTTCTATCTGCATCCAAAAATTGTAATAAGTTGTATTTTCATTTAGTTCAAAACATTTTTTAATTTCTCTTGAGACTTTTTATTTGACTCATGTCTAATGTAGAAGTATGTTGTTTAATCTCCAAATATTTGGAGATTTTCCAGTTATCTATTATTGGCTTTTTAATTTAAATCCATGTGGTCTGAGAAAATACTTTGTATGCTTTCTATACTTTTAAGGATCTTAAAGTGTGTTTTGTGGCCCAGAATATGGCTTATCTTGGTGAATCTTCCATGTGAGCTGAAGAATGTGTATTCTGCTGTTGTTAGAGTATTCCATAAATGTTAATTAGATCAAGTTGACTGGTAGTGCCGTTTAGGTCAACTGTGTCTTAATTTTCTGCCTGCTTGATGTATCAATTACTGAAAGAGGGTTGTTGAAGTCTCCAATTGTAATAGCGTATTTACCTATTTCTCCGTGTAGTTCTATCAGTTTTTGCCTCATGTTTTTTGACACTCAGTTTTTAGGTGGACATATATTAAAGATGCTGTCTTCTTAGAGAATTCACCCACATTATCATCATGTAATTCCCTTCTTTATCCCTGAAAATTGTCCTTCCTCTGAAGTCAGCTTTGTATAAAATTAACATCGCTGCTCTGGCTTTCTTTCAATCAGTGTTAGCATGGTGTACCTTTTTCCATCCCTTTACTTGTAATCTGTATAAATATTTTTATTTAAAATAGGTCCCTTGTAGACAATATGTAGTTGGGTCTTGTCTTTAATCCACACTGCCAATCTCTGTCTTTAAATTGGTGCATTTAGAGTATTCATATTTAACCTAAGTATTAATATAACTGCAGTAGTATCAATCATATTTATAACTTTTATATTTGTTGCACCTGATTCTTCCCCCCACACCTCTTTTTCTACCTTTTATAGGTTTAACTGAACATTTTATATGATTCCATTTTATCTCCTCTGTTAGCATATTAATCATTCTTTTTAAAAATGTTTTTAGTTACTGCCCTAAAGTTTGAAAAGTACATGTATAACTAATCTACATCTAGCATCAAATAACTACCACTTCTTCCTTCCTGTTTATATCATTACTGCCTTTTATTTCATTTATCCACATGCTATAATCACTCAATACTTTGTTACTATTATTGTAAACAGTTATCTTTCAGATCAGTTAAGAAAAATAAAACTTAATTTTACCTTAATATAGTACTTTTCTAATGCTCTTCCTTTTTTATGCAGTTCTTTTTGACATTTCTCATAGGGCAGGTCAGCTGGCAATGAATTATTCCAGTTTTGTTTGTCAGAAAATATCCTTATTTCTTTGAATTTGAAGGATAATTTTGCTGAATGCAGAATAATAGTTTGGTAGCTTTTTTGTTGCAACACTTCATGTATTCTCCTTTCTTTGTGTTTGCATGGTTTCTGAAGAGAAAGATAATGTAATTCTTATCCTTTTTCCTCTATGGATAAGGTGTTGGCTTTTCCCCCTCTCTAGCTTCTTTCAAGATTTTCTCTTCTCTTTGGTTTTTTGCAGTTTAAATATGATATGCCTGGGTGTAGATTTGGTATTTATTATGCTTGGTGTTCTCTGAGCTTTCTGGATCTGTGGTTTGGTATCTGTCATTAATTTTGGAAAATTCATAGCCATTAATACTTCAAGTATTTCTTCCACTGTTTTCTTTTTCTTCTCCATCTGGTATTCCAATTACACATTACATCTTTTGAAACTTTCTCACAGTTCTTGGATGTTCTTTCTTTTTCCTCTTTATCTTTTTGTTTGGTAAGTTTCTGTATCTTCAAGTTCATTGGTTCTTTGCTTTGTCATGTTCTGTCTACTAAGTAAGCCATTCCTCATTTCTGTTAGGGTGCTTTTGGTTTTTAGAATTTGCTTTTGAGTGTTAAGAGTTTCAGGCTGGGCACGGTGGCTCATGCCTGTAATCCCAGCACTTTGGAAGGCCGAAGTGGGTGGATCACCTGGGGTCAGGAGTTCGAGACCAACCTAGCCAACATGGTGAAACCCTGTCTCTACCAAAAATTACAAAAAAAAAGAAAAAATAGCTGGGCGTGGTGGCAGGTGCCTGTAATCCCAGCTACTCGGGAGGCTGAGGAGGAGAATCACTTGAACCCAGGAGGCGGAGGTTGCAGTAAGCCAAGATTGCGCCACTGCACTCCAGTGTGGGCGACAGAGCGAGACACTGTCTCAAAAAAAAAAAAAAAAAAGTTTCCATCTCCCTGCCTACATCATCCATCTCTTCTTGCACCTTGTCTTCTTTTTCCACTAGAGCCATTAACATGTTAATCATTGTTAAATTCCCTGTCTTGTAATTCCAAAATCTGTGTCACATCTGGGTCTGGTTCTGATGCTTGCTTTATCTCTTCAGACTGTGTTTTTTTCTTGCCTTTCTTGTAATTTTTTATTGAAAGTTTAACATGATTTATCAGGCAATAGGAACTTAGTAGGCCTTTAGCGTGAGTTATTATTCTCATGTACCCAAGAGTTGGGCTGTATTTAATGTTTTCAGAAGGTACCAGAGACTTCAAATTCCTCTAGCGTCCTTGTTTTTGTCTCCCATGTCATCTGTGAGCTTCTCTATGAACTCCTCCTTAGTCAGTATGTTGAAGCTCTTTCAGCCATAACCCACTGTTATAATAATATATTGGATCCTGTGAGAATCTGGTGGAGTTCCTGAATGAAAAACCCACAACAGTGCACTTCCTCCTGAAACTGTAGCCCCTAGGAGTGTCTTATTCGCACACTAGTCTGTACTGAGCCTCTAGCAATCTGTCAAAATCACCATTAAGTGTTCTCATCAGTTTATGAATTCAGAAATTCTGCTCCCAGCAAGCAGACCTCACTATGATTCTCTATATTTGCCTGCTTCTCAAAATTTGGGGTTGCAGTTTGCCCTGCAACTTCAGCTTTCCATTGGACTTAAGAAAAGTCATGGATTTTCAGTTTGTTCAGCATTTTTTCTTATAAAAACAAGAGTGATGACTCTCAAGCTCTTTAAATTTTGGAACTGAAACTAGAAGCAACAGGACATTCTGACATGAATTATTTAAAAGGGTCATTGTTGACTCTAGAGACATTTTAATATTGCTGCATCAAAAGATAAAAGCATTCTCCTTTCTTCTTGTGTGATATATGCCGTGTACACCTCTGAGCTCACCACTAACCTCAACTCTACCTTATCCCTAACTTCCCATTTCAAATGGAAGGGAATGGGGATCAAGGAGTAGAAGGCCTGTTTTACCCATTATTGATGATTAAAAAGCTGAAAATAACCCATCACAAAATGGCCTCAGTAAAGTGGCTGCATCAGACATCATTTAGCCTGGAAAACCAGTATGCATAAAGGCTCAAATTTAAATTTTTGAATCCAGTGTTTTTTATTTATTATTATTTTTTTTTTTCTGAGACGGAGTCTGGCTCTGTCACCTAGGCTGGAGTGCAGTGGCACGATCTTGGCTCACTGCAAGCTCCACCTCCTGGGTTCATGCCATTCTCCTGCCTCAGCCTCCCGAGTAGCTGGGACTACAGGCGCCCGCCACCATGCCCGGCTAATTTTTTGTATTTTTAGTAGAGACAGGGTTTCACCGTGTTAGCGAGGATGGTCTCGATCTCCTAACCTCATGATCCACCCGCCTCGGCCTCCCAAAGTGCTGGGATTACAGGTATGAGCCACTGCGCCCGGCCCTGAATCCAGTATTTTTTAATAGAAACATGAGTTGGTTGAGATACTGAGTTCCTGCCTTCTCCATCCTAATCCCAAATTTCCAATCTTTGGAAATTTGCCCCTTTACCATTTAATCTCCTGAGCCCAGCTCCTCTCCAGCCTGAAGAGTGTGTCTGTCAAGACTGTAGCTGTGAACAAAACACTATTACTTGAGCCTTATCCTGGAGCAAATGTGTGTGGTCTCACCAATGAACATCAGATAAGTCCCTTGGCATGGATTTCTTTTCCTTTTTAGTAATACAATCATAAAGGTTATTCAGACTTATTGAGCATTTACTATGGCCAGAAATTGTGATACTTGCTTTCCATATAGTTTATCTCACTTACTCCTATTACCCTTTGAAGTCAGAATTCTAACTATGAATCAGAGAAAATAAGTGACCTGCCTAAGGTCATCCAGTTGGTTTATGGTGAAGGCAGGATGCAAACTGAAATTTGTCTGTGATTTGAGTTCGGTGCTTTCCCTAGTCTCCTCCTCTCAGAGGCAGAACATAAGCATGTAATAGATACCACTAGGGTTCTTGTTTCTACCTTGGGAACAGCTGTTTGCAAGTCCAAATTAGGCAGCTAATCTAGCAGTTAGCCCAGATACAGCCCTTGGGCACCCTAGTAGCTGTAACTTCCAGAAGGCAGGAACCTTCCATTCACTAGTGAGTCCCCAAAACAGTGGCCCAAGTGAAGCAAAAATGTTTGTTGGAAATATGAGTGAATGAAAAAGTAATTTCATGAACACATGAATGAATAAATGAATGAAGCAACACCCAGTATGATGATTAATGCCACAGGAAGATGCCTTTCCAAGCATCACAAGATCCTGGGATCTTCACTGACTGTAAGTGCCTGTGGGGCAGGGACCATGTTGGTCTTATTCATCACTCTCCTGCCAGGTAAATTAGCACATTCCTGGCACACTGTAAATGTTCAATAAGCTTTTGTTCTTTTAGATGGATTGACTTATCAGAGGCAACTCTTTCAAGAACAAGTAGCCCTGTGCTCTGGAGAATGATTTACAGTGGTTCTCTTCCTCAGCCTGGGGCCTTTTCTGGATAACTCCCATCGTACTCTCCTCTACTTCCTCTTCCTAGAATACACAAATTTATTATTACAGGCACCACTCTTCACCCCACATCTGATTCTTCCCTGACTCTGCTTAATGTACAAGTAAAGCAAAGAAATACTGTGTAGGACCTATTGGAATTAGAATCCTGCTCTGTCACCATTGGAAAGGATTTAGGGATCACCTCCTTCGGAGGTGAGAATAAGAAAGTGTCAGTGAGTAATCCAATGTCACCCAGTTGCTCACCAGACAGAAAGACCAAGAGTTCACCTCTCCTGCCTATTAGTCCAGTGCTCGGGTGGCCCATGAGTTCATGTTGGCCCTGTCAGACCAAAGACAGTAATGAATATTAAACCCAGAATGCACCATATTATCAGGCCTTTTTTGTTTTTGTTTTCTATTAGTAACACAGGTAGAAGAGGAAACAACTAAAACCCCAACATTAGAGGCTCACCATCCCCACCTTCTGGCCCACCACTGGCAATGAACCCAAGCACAGGTCACTGTGGTCTCATGAAAGAAAACTGATGTGGGGGTTGGGTGGGCTTCAGGGTGTTGACTGCCATCTTCCCCTCCAGCACCTGAAAAGCTAAGTTATGGTGTGAAGTCAGAAAATGTGGAATCTGCAAGCCTGTCTTTAAAAAACAAAAAAACTCATAGAACTTGGACTTTAATCATAAAGATCATTTTACCAAAGCATATTTTTTAAAGGCTGTGAAATATTATGCAACGTTTGCATGGTTTAATTATGAGTTTAGAAAAGCCTAGCACGACTTTTTCACTACAGTAAAACATGACGGAGCATGAATCATGGCATAGTACTTTATGCTTAGTGTGGCTTTAGACATGGGGTTAGAGGTGTGAGGCTGTCTACACAACAAGGCGTGAATTACTGTACTGCAGTTCACACCCCGGGGGGCTTTATGACAGTTCTGAAACCTCTTTTGTTTGCTTTTAAAATGATTAAAGTATTGGAGTACTATATATTCACTTAGTAAATGTGTGTATCTAGTATATACGCATGTCTTATACAAAATATCTAAGTATATGATTTTTTTTTCACTTGGAGCAAAATACTTGCAGTAGCATGGGGATATTGAACCGTCTGCTATTTCTGTTTGCCTTTAGTCATTGGAAACACTGTTAGCTGTAAGATTACACAGGAGCTTCAGCCAAGGTTGAACATTTATTTTCTGCTGAGTTTAAAATGGACCAGCTCCTTTTGTTCCTTGCCAGCTCTTTAAATCCTCTAAAATTTGGAATAAAATGAAGACCTTTCTTTAATATTAGATTTCAAAGATTCCAAGTTAAACTATTTGCCTGGGAACTACCAGGTTTTTTAAACTTAAAAAATCAGTTATTTTCACTCACACACAAAAAAGAAAGAAATGAATCAGTATGAGGGAGGGAGGGAGGCTGTCAGGAGAATACTGGGGAGGAAGACTTGGGTCTCCAAATGTCTGATTCTGTTATCCACTGTGGCAGCTTCAAAGAGATAAACAGAAAGGCAAACTTGAACTGCTGGAAATGAAAAGCCCCTGGAGGAAGCAGATCTGAATATTTTATAATGAGCAGAAATAGCTCATTTCTTTATGTCCTGACCTATACAAAACTTATACCCAGTATTTTCCTAAAGAAGTCTGCTCTTCCTACACTGCTACCTGCAGGATCATGAAGCTCTGGCTATGAAGACCCTTGGGAGTTACGGTAGTTCACTGTTATCTTTGTCCACAAAGTTGGGACATAAAGAGAAAATTAATGTTTAACTCCAAAGAAATGTAAAACTGTCTTCTAGTGGGACAGTGTCCAATTTAAGTTTCCTTACACATTTGCCTAAGAATAGCGTTGGTTTTCCTCCCCTTTTCATCTGCAAACAGTATGATGCTTTTGAAAATTAAGACTCCTTTGAACGCTGGAGTCAAATTGACAAAATCCACTTTGTCTAAATCTTTTGAAGTCAGACTTTTGTCTCTTCTCTATCCCAGGCCTCTTATAATGGCAATCTATAAAATACCTGCTAAAAACTCTGACTTTTAAAAGTTGCAAACTCGAAGTCCTGAAAAGGAACAGAAGGCTTGGGTTGATAGGGCCAGTTCTACTGCTGGGTTTGTGAACTAGTCATTAGACCTCATTGCCGGTTTCCCAGCCAGACCTTCTTTCCTGTCATCCTTGGGAGAGAATTCGCCTTACTATAAAACATTTACCAGCCCATGGAATACTTTTTGCCAAAGGTAAAGGTATAAAAAAAAAGCCCAAAACTCTACGTTCTTACCGAACACAGACAGGTGATCCCCTGAGTTTATAAAATGTTTCTGATGATGATAATTGTAATTATTGGCAAAGCTGAAATCATGTCAGCAGTCATATGATACTTGAAGTTCTCAAGTGCTGCAGTTCAACAGTCTGGACATTAATACTTCTACCTTGAAAGTGTAATCCATTCCTCTCATCATTGTTAGCATGATTAAATAAAACCTTTGGAAGGAATAGTTATCAGGTGAAAATCTCCAAGAATCAGTCTCTTTTGGGGGAAAATAATCCAACAGAGGCAGATACTTGGACTTGAGTAGGCTTATTAAACCCTGGTACATAGGCCACATACATGTATGTGACATATTTGAACAAGGGCCACTCATTTCTTATTAAAAGACATTTTTTAAATCCCACCCCACTTTACATATAATTGACCTTTCTGATTCTCTTCAGATACAAGGCAGATCCAACCATCCCCACCGTGGTCCTACGATCAGTCCTACCAATACCTGGGATCCATTGCCTCTCCTTCTGTGCACCCAGCAACGCCCATTTCACCTGGACGTGCCAGCGGCATGACAACCCTCTCTGCAGAACTTTCCAGTCGACTCTCAAGTAAGCCACTTGAAAACACATTCTTTGCAGCTGAGCTGGGGTGGAAGGTCCAGGAGACTAGAGGTGCATGAAGGAGTTGGCAGAACATTATTGAGTAAAACATGGTTTAAAGGTGACCTATCTCTACTCTGAGTCCCATGCCCATGCACTGATTTTCTTGGATACATAAGAGGCAGAGATTGTGGATGTGAAGGCAGAAGTGGCTTGGAGAAGTAGGTTCCTTAGACATCTAAAGTTGTTCACATTTGGCAAGAAAGGATGGTGACTGAAGGGTTAAGAACAATATAAAAAGCCAAAGTTTTCAACTTTTAGGACTCATTATTCCAAATGAATTCTGGACTAATGGGACTGGTCCATGCGGTGGTGGTAAATTTTCACAGATCACATGGACAGCACACGGGAGTACATGTGGAATGGGAAATAAATACAGCCGCCCCTTGGTATCCATGGAGGACTGGTTCCAGGACCCCCCATGGATACCAAAACCCATGGATGCTCAAGTCCCTCATATAAAATGGTATATTTATATATAACATATATATCCTCCCATGTATTTAAATCATCCCTAGATTACTCGTAATACCTAATAAAATGTAAATGCTATGTAAATACTTGTTATACTGCATTGTTTAGGGAATGACAAGAAGAAAAGTCTGTATATGTCTAATACAGACACAACCATCCTTTTTTTTAATAATATTTTTGATCTACAGTTGGTTAAACAGGTGCAGAACCCACGGATATAGAGAACCGACTGTATACCCCAAATTAGACATTCCAACTAAGCGCTGTTCATACAGAGGCCAGAGGAACAGCGTGAAAAACTCAGGTGTCATGGTTAGCATAATTGTTGTTAATATGAGCTCATTAAGTATTAGTCATTTAACCTATGAGCCCTTTGGGCTTGGCACTCACCTTTGCTCGTGGGCAGGGAAATCAGAGTTACAGAGAAAAATTCCTTTGTTGAAGGCAAAAGAAGAAACTTAGTGTTTGGGGCTTTGAAATTGGAGCTGCACCAAACTGTGAAAATACTTCAGAGAACTTCAGTGTTATGATGCCTGCAAACACACTCGCATGTGTGTTGGGGGAACGGGGCGGGTCTTGCTTTTCAGCTCTTGGGATCAAATTATAGCAGATTAGGGGGCAGGCACAGGGGCAGTGGAGTCATGTCTGCCATTTTAAATGTTGTGTAATGTTGTGTTTTCCAGACAGTTGTGATTACTTCAGGTTTCACCAGATGCCTTAGCTGCTGTTCAGAGCTTCACAGAATGCCTTCTAAGAGCTTCACAACGGCAGTACTATTGACATTTGGGGCCAAATAATTCTTTGTTGGGGGGGGTCTGTCCTGAGCATCGGAGAATATTTAGCAGCATCCTTGGCCTCTAGATGCCAATAGCATCCCCCTCACCCCAGTTAGGACAATAAAAAATGTTTCCAGACATTGCCAAATTTCCCAAGGGGCAAAACTGTCCCCAGGTGAGAACCACTGCCTTCCAGTGTTCTTGGGTGGTACAGTAAAATAGGAAAACCAACTTAAGTGCTTGGTTTTCACATTACTTTTGGCCATTAATGCCAATATTTTCATGGTACATTCTGCTCCAAGGCATTGAGAGTAGCACAGGTATCTTGGCATCTTGTTTAGCTTGTGGTTTCTAGAAGCTTATCCCTCAAGAACAAAGGCACTTGTCAGCTTTTACTGATTGTTCTCAGGGCACCCCTCTGCACACCGGCTACGGTCTTCACCTGAAATAATGCCTGTTCTCCTTCAAATGTTCCTGCTATGGGTCTATCCTTTGGAATTTATTACATAAGTCTTTTGACTTGGTCATCACCCAAGATCAGCACCTTATAGTCCAAGAACCCTAGGGGCCAACTCCTCCAGCTGACTGGTGTTCAGATGGTAGGGTGACTTTTTAAATAAAAGGAATGAGTAACATGTGCACTCCAAAGTCCCATATCACAGTTACATTTGTGAATATCCTGGACTTCAATCACCCAAGGAGTAAGAGAGAACATTTTATGGCATGGGAGTGTGAAGTAGATAAAAACCATGCCTCATTTCAGAACCCAAGAATGATTCTTTTCTTTTTGGAGGGAGGACAGAATTCCAGATGAGCTTTCACAGTGGCATAGAACAGTATGGGAGACTGCTCTTCAATTTGGCAGAACTCCCTCTGAGAAATCAAGCCTGGAGCACAGGCCTGAAAAGTGTTGTCATAAACCTGGAGGCAGGAGGGGGGTGGAATACATAAAAGGAAAGTGGCTGCCTGGCCGACAGCTTTGAGAACCTGACACTGCTCTGTGGCTGCTTTGCCTTTTAATCCAGCCCGACAGCTTTGTGCTCTGCCCCTCTTCCCGGCCCCAGCCCCACCTGGGCTTCCTTCTGCGCTGGGGACTTGGACTCTGTCTGTCTCTCTCTCTCTATCCTTTGCAGACAGACTCCACACCTTGTCTGAAAAGAGTTGTCATCTAGAGGTTTACTTTTTTTTTTCTTTTTCAAAAAAAATTAATGTTTAGCTGCCAACCTGGGCGACAGACAGCATGCATTAATCTGAGTCATGCAAAAGCTCCTTTTAAGGCAGCCATTACCTGCTCAGGTTGTTTAATCCTCTGGGGGCAGTAGGAGGGGCCCTGTAGCGAGGCTGCTTTCATCCATGTCAAGCTGGAGAGCGAAGACTTGAGCTGTCATGGCAAATATTTAGCCCCATCAATGGGAAAACACTTCCAACCAAAATACCTGGACCTCCTAAGCCCCAGATTTCCTACTCTTAAAAACTCTCTGTGAATATCAGGGGATCCCAACTCCCCCCACACTTCTGCTGAATCAGGGGACACCAGGCCAGCCAAAAGGACAGAAGAGCTACAGCTGGATGGGTGAACTGCGCAGACTGATGGGTTTGAATAAGGGATCTGAGACAAGACACAAAGATGAAAACCAACATTTGAATATAGCATTTGAATCTGAGCATATCTAGAAGGCCTAAGATATTGTATTATCAAAATGTGTGTAAAAAAGATAGTTTGACCAAATGGATGGTCTTTTGTAGTATGACGTTGCTCATGTGTACATAGAAGAAGGATCACAGGCAGCATTGCAGCTCTTTCTTTTGGATGTTCTCCTCACAAGTGAAAGAACTATTTTCCCCCAACAGCTGAGACCATAACATCATTCCAGTACTTATGTCCATGACAAATCACGGACTCACTCTGGATTCCAGTAACTTGGTACCATCACCACATTACCATGTAGTAGTTGGAACCTACTGGCAGAGCATGTCCAGACATTGCTGTAAAACAGGGTGACCTTTCGTTCATTTTCCAGTGGATTCACCTTTTTGTCTCAGGGCAAATGAAGCAAGAGGAATAATGGGCAGAGTCATTTATTTGTGTCCAGAGTATTGCATCAGATGACAACAAACTGACTGTATTTGCCTAATGCTTTTCCTCCTGTCCCAGCTTCTCCGTAGACTCTATAAATCTAAATGGAAAAATGGAGTAAAGCTTCCTGTTAACTCTCAAACATGTCACAGCTCTCCATGTCAGCAAAAACAAGTGACACAGGGCTTGCTCACAGATGGCCCCAAAGAGCGGGCAGGGATGAACCCTGTGGAATGAGGTGTGGCCTGGCTCGAGAATGACTAGAGTGTGGCCAAGGAAGGGCAGCCTCAGAACCACTGTCCGTTTACAACGTTTTCCCTGCCCACATGTCTGCCTGGCTTTGAAAAGATTAACAGGAGTGTTTGTTTGAAAGTCAGACTCCTGGTTTCCTCATTAGTGAAGGGATCTGCTACAGACTTGGGCTGTTTCTATAAACTTTAATTACCTCTGATGAGGAGTGTATCCCCTCATCACATTCACCCCAAAGGTACAGAGGAGTTCATTTTTAAAAATGTGTTAGAGCAATAAAAGGCCATTAGAGGGAGGGAGGATGGGGTGTGGAAGAGACGAGAGAGCGAGCGAGAGAGAGAGAAAACACACTAGCTCTCCCTGCTGGAATAATAGGCTTGAAATATGAGGAAGTTGATCAACTGCCGCTGCCTTCCAAAAACAGATTAATCCACCTTGGTAGCTTTCCTTTCAGAGCAAGCTTTTGGCTCTGTCGACTTTCTCTATCAGCCTGAACTCAAAAGGACACAGGCCACATGCCATCTGAGCTTAAGAGTTATTTTGTGTGTTGATCTGAGAACTTCACATTTTAAAACAATGAATTCATGTTTCTACTGTTTGTTGCTGTCTGTGGATTTGCTGATATAAAGAGGAGAGTCCTAGCCTGGTCATTTAATGAATAATTCTAAGGAACCTGAACTTCTCCAGGGTGCCCTTCTACATCTGCAGTGGTGGTTCTCAGCTGGGGTGACTTTGCTTCCGTCACCCCACCCGCAGGATATCTGGCAATGTCTGGAGACATTCTGAGTTGTCACAAGAGGGGCGGGCGATGCTACTAACACCTAATGGGTAAAGCAGAGATGCTGCCACACATCCTACGATGAACGAGACAGCCCCCTCCACCCCAGCAAATCATGATCTGGCCCAAAATGTCAACAGTGTCAACAGTTGAGAAACTCTGATCTACAGATATAGGGAACCCTGCCTAATACACAAATCCTCCGTAGTTCCCAAGGGCGGCCTGTAGGTAAGAAAAATGCAGAGAGAGCCAGTGAACCACAGGACAGCCCTAAAGCCAGTTGGTGAAACTGTAAATCCATAATCCTAACAAAATAATGTACAGTCGTAACAAAGTGAGTTTTAGAGACAAAGCTTTACAATTTCTGGTAAAATTTCCACATGTGCAAAAAACAGAGTAGATAAATCAAGGTCCTACATCTACTTGTGTTAACAAACTAGTGAAGTGCATAATAGAGAATACCAGGTGAACTCAAGGCAGTACTGTTTCTAAAATTGTGGAACTAGTATGAAAGTAGATATGGAGAGGAGGAGTGGTAATGGTATTCCCTGACATTCGCTCAGCAGTTGCTACTGAGCCATGCATTCGCTTAAATACTAGGAAATTATCAATTTTTCAACTGTCGAAGGCCTATAAAAATGGCAATTTTCTATCATTCAACCTAAATACTATGTGTAATGTATTATTATATATTAATATTGTTAGGATATATATTATGTATAACATATTGTGTTAGTAGTAACATATTTGTGCATCCTTTACATTAGTGTCAAATTATCATCTGCTATATTAATATCACAGATTAATTTATATTATTGGTATATTAATATATTGATCAAATAGAGGGTCAGCAAACTTTTTTCTGTAAGGGGCCAGAGAATAAATATTTTAGGGCTGGGCACGGTGGTTCATGCCTGTAATCCCAGCACTTTGGGAGGCTGAGGCAGGTGGATCACTTGAGGTCAGGAATTCGAGACCTGCCTAGCCAACGTGGTGAAATCTCATCTCCACTAAAAATACAAAAATTGGCCAGGCCTGGTGGCGGGCGCCTGTAATCCCAGCTACTCGGGAGGCTGAGGCAGTAGAATTGCTTGAGCCCAGGAGGTGGTGGGTGCAGTGAGCCGAGATCACACCACTGCACTCCAGCCTTGGTGACAGAGCGAGACTTTGTCTCCAAAAAAAAAAAAAAGAATAAATATTTGCTCTGTGGCTCCTGCAGTCCCTATACTGACCACCTGACTTTACAGTAGTGGCTCTAAAGCAACCACAGGCAGTACATGAAAGAATGAGTGAGGATGTGTTCCGAAGTATGGATGGACACTGAAGT
This sequence comes from Homo sapiens, assembly GCF_000001405.40. Lineage (NCBI taxonomy): Eukaryota > Metazoa > Chordata > Mammalia > Primates > Hominidae > Homo > Homo sapiens. The sequence continues at coordinate 34,793,568 of NC_000021.9, read as the reverse complement.
TTGAATTTCCTGTCATTTTAACAGGTCAGGAAGTATTCTTTTTTGGATTTTTTTTTCAACCATTTAAAAAATGTAAAATGCATTCTTACCTCCTGGGACATGCAAAAATGCCAGATTTGGCTGGCAGGCTGCAGTTTGCCAACCCTAGGATTATATCAACATTTTATATACGTTATACATATTATAGTATATACTATTGCACATTATATCTATACTATACATATTATGCTATACTACATCATTTCATATATCATGTCATATTACATTACATGATATTCTATATTACCGTATTATATTACTGTATATTATACCATCCTCCTGGGCAGTAGCAGCCTCCTGATCCCCGTCCTCCTGGGCATAGCATCCTGGGTGACCTCATCTTTTTGGGTGGCAGATTCTGGGTAGAAACCCTCTCCCTAGGCAGCAGCATCCTCAGTAGCCCCCATCCTCCCAGGTGGTAGCAATCCTGTGTGGTTCCAATCTTCCTGGGCGGTAAATTCTGATAGAAACCCATCTCCCTGGACAGTAGCATCCTGGGTGTCCCCCGTCCTCCTAGGCGGTAGCATCCTGGGTGGTCTCCATCCTCCCAGGTGGTGTCATCCTGGGTGGTCTCCGTCCTCTCAGGAGGTGGCATCCTGAGTGGTCCCCGACCTCCTGGGCATAGCATCATGGGTAGTCCCCATCCTCTTGGGAGGTGACATGCTGGGTGATCCTCGTCATCTCAGGAGGTGGCATCCTGGGTGGTCCCTGTCCCCCTGGGTATAGCATCCTGGGTAATCCTCGTCCTCTTGGGAGTAGCATCCCGGGTGGTCCCCGTCCTCCCCAGCAGTAGCATCCTGGGTGGCTTCCCATCCTCCTAGGCGGTATCATCCTGGGTAGCCCCCTGGGGCAGAGGGAAGAGCTGTGGCCTCCGCAACCTCCTACTCACTTCCGCTCCGTTCTCTTGCCCGCCCTGCAGCGGCACCCGACCTGACAGCGTTCAGCGACCCGCGCCAGTTCCCCGCGCTGCCCTCCATCTCCGACCCCCGCATGCACTATCCAGGCGCCTTCACCTACTCCCCGACGCCGGTCACCTCGGGCATCGGCATCGGCATGTCGGCCATGGGCTCGGCCACGCGCTACCACACCTACCTGCCGCCGCCCTACCCCGGCTCGTCGCAAGCGCAGGGAGGCCCGTTCCAAGCCAGCTCGCCCTCCTACCACCTGTACTACGGCGCCTCGGCCGGCTCCTACCAGTTCTCCATGGTGGGCGGCGAGCGCTCGCCGCCGCGCATCCTGCCGCCCTGCACCAACGCCTCCACCGGCTCCGCGCTGCTCAACCCCAGCCTCCCGAACCAGAGCGACGTGGTGGAGGCCGAGGGCAGCCACAGCAACTCCCCCACCAACATGGCGCCCTCCGCGCGCCTGGAGGAGGCCGTGTGGAGGCCCTACTGAGGCGCCAGGCCTGGCCCGGCTGGGCCCCGCGGGCCGCCGCCTTCGCCTCCGGGCGCGCGGGCCTCCTGTTCGCGACAAGCCCGCCGGGATCCCGGGCCCTGGGCCCGGCCACCGTCCTGGGGCCGAGGGCGCCCGACGGCCAGGATCTCGCTGTAGGTCAGGCCCGCGCAGCCTCCTGCGCCCAGAAGCCCACGCCGCCGCCGTCTGCTGGCGCCCCGGCCCTCGCGGAGGTGTCCGAGGCGACGCACCTCGAGGGTGTCCGCCGGCCCCAGCACCCAGGGGACGCGCTGGAAAGCAAACAGGAAGATTCCCGGAGGGAAACTGTGAATGCTTCTGATTTAGCAATGCTGTGAATAAAAAGAAAGATTTTATACCCTTGACTTAACTTTTTAACCAAGTTGTTTATTCCAAAGAGTGTGGAATTTTGGTTGGGGTGGGGGGAGAGGAGGGATGCAACTCGCCCTGTTTGGCATCTAATTCTTATTTTTAATTTTTCCGCACCTTATCAATTGCAAAATGCGTATTTGCATTTGGGTGGTTTTTATTTTTATATACGTTTATATAAATATATATAAATTGAGCTTGCTTCTTTCTTGCTTTGACCATGGAAAGAAATATGATTCCCTTTTCTTTAAGTTTTATTTAACTTTTCTTTTGGACTTTTGGGTAGTTGTTTTTTTTTGTTTTGTTTTGTTTTTTTGAGAAACAGCTACAGCTTTGGGTCATTTTTAACTACTGTATTCCCACAAGGAATCCCCAGATATTTATGTATCTTGATGTTCAGACATTTATGTGTTGATAATTTTTTAATTATTTAAATGTACTTATATTAAGAAAAATATCAAGTACTACATTTTCTTTTGTTCTTGATAGTAGCCAAAGTTAAATGTATCACATTGAAGAAGGCTAGAAAAAAAGAATGAGTAATGTGATCGCTTGGTTATCCAGAAGTATTGTTTACATTAAACTCCCTTTCATGTTAATCAAACAAGTGAGTAGCTCACGCAGCAACGTTTTTAATAGGATTTTTAGACACTGAGGGTCACTCCAAGGATCAGAAGTATGGAATTTTCTGCCAGGCTCAACAAGGGTCTCATATCTAACTTCCTCCTTAAAACAGAGAAGGTCAATCTAGTTCCAGAGGGTTGAGGCAGGTGCCAATAATTACATCTTTGGAGAGGATTTGATTTCTGCCCAGGGATTTGCTCACCCCAAGGTCATCTGATAATTTCACAGATGCTGTGTAACAGAACACAGCCAAAGTAAACTGTGTAGGGGAGCCACATTTACATAGGAACCAAATCAATGAATTTAGGGGTTACGATTATAGCAATTTAAGGGCCCACCAGAAGCAGGCCTCGAGGAGTCAATTTGCCTCTGTGTGCCTCAGTGGAGACAAGTGGGAAAACATGGTCCCACCTGTGCGAGACCCCCTGTCCTGTGCTGCTCACTCAACAACATCTTTGTGTTGCTTTCACCAGGCTGAGACCCTACCCTATGGGGTATATGGGCTTTTACCTGTGCACCAGTGTGACAGGAAAGATTCATGTCACTACTGTCCGTGGCTACAATTCAAAGGTATCCAATGTCGCTGTAAATTTTATGGCACTATTTTTATTGGAGGATTTGGTCAGAATGCAGTTGTTGTACAACTCATAAATACTAACTGCTGATTTTGACACATGTGTGCTCCAAATGATCTGGTGGTTATTTAACGTACCTCTTAAAATTCGTTGAAACGATTTCAGGTCAACTCTGAAGAGTATTTGAAAGCAGGACTTCAGAACAGTGTTTGATTTTTATTTTATAAATTTAAGCATTCAAATTAGGCAAATCTTTGGCTGCAGGCAGCAAAAACAGCTGGACTTATTTAAAACAACTTGTTTTTGAGTTTTCTTATATATATATTGATTATTTGTTTTACACACATGCAGTAGCACTTTGGTAAGAGTTAAAGAGTAAAGCAGCTTATGTTGTCAGGTCGTTCTTATCTAGAGAAGAGCTATAGCAGATCTCGGACAAACTCAGAATATATTCACTTTCATTTTTGACAGGATTCCCTCCACAACTCAGTTTCATATATTATTCCGTATTACATTTTTGCAGCTAAATTACCATAAAATGTCAGCAAATGTAAAAATTTAATTTCTGAAAAGCACCATTAGCCCATTTCCCCCAAATTAAACGTAAATGTTTTTTTTCAGCACATGTTACCATGTCTGACCTGCAAAAATGCTGGAGAAAAATGAAGGAAAAAATTATGTTTTTCAGTTTAATTCTGTTAACTGAAGATATTCCAACTCAAAACCAGCCTCATGCTCTGATTAGATAATCTTTTACATTGAACCTTTACTCTCAAAGCCATGTGTGGAGGGGGCTTGTCACTATTGTAGGCTCACTGGATTGGTCATTTAGAGTTTCACAGACTCTTACCAGCATATATAGTATTTAATTGTTTCAAAAAAAATCAAACTGTAGTTGTTTTGGCGATAGGTCTCACGCAACACATTTTTGTATGTGTGTGTGTGTGCGTGTGTGTGTGTGTGTGTGAAAAATTGCATTCATTGACTTCAGGTAGATTAAGGTATCTTTTTATTCATTGCCCTCAGGAAAGTTAAGGTATCAATGAGACCCTTAAGCCAATCATGTAATAACTGCATGTGTCTGGTCCAGGAGAAGTATTGAATAAGCCATTTCTACTGCTTACTCATGTCCCTATTTATGATTTCAACATGGATACATATTTCAGTTCTTTCTTTTTCTCACTATCTGAAAATACATTTCCCTCCCTCTCTTCCCCCCAATATCTCCCTTTTTTTCTCTCTTCCTCTATCTTCCAAACCCCACTTTCTCCCTCCTCCTTTTCCTGTGTTCTCTTAAGCAGATAGCACATACCCCCACCCAGTACCAAATTTCAGAACACAAGAAGGTCCAGTTCTTCCCCCTTCACATAAAGGAACATGGTTTGTCAGCCTTTCTCCTGTTTATGGGTTTCTTCCAGCAGAACAGAGACATTGCCAACCATATTGGATCTGCTTGCTGTCCAAACCAGCAAACTTTCCTGGGCAAATCACAATCAGTGAGTAAATAGACAGCCTTTCTGCTGCCTTGGGTTTCTGTGCAGATAAACAGAAATGCTCTGATTAGAAAGGAAATGAATGGTTCCACTCAAATGTCCTGCAATTTAGGATTGCAGATTTCTGCCTTGAAATACCTGTTTCTTTGGGACATTCCGTCCTGATGATTTTTATTTTTGTTGGTTTTTATTTTTGGGGGGAATGACATGTTTGGGTCTTTTATACATGAAAATTTGTTTGACAATAATCTCACAAAACATATTTTACATCTGAACAAAATGCCTTTTTGTTTACCGTAGCGTATACATTTGTTTTGGGATTTTTGTGTGTTTGTTGGGAATTTTGTTTTTAGCCAGGTCAGTATTGATGAGGCTGATCATTTGGCTCTTTTTTTCCTTCCAGAAGAGTTGCATCAACAAAGTTAATTGTATTTATGTATGTAAATAGATTTTAAGCTTCATTATAAAATATTGTTAATGCCTATAACTTTTTTTCAATTTTTTTGTGTGTGTTTCTAAGGACTTTTTCTTAGGTTTGCTAAATACTGTAGGGAAAAAAATGCTTCTTTCTACTTTGTTTATTTTAGACTTTAAAATGAGCTACTTCTTATTCACTTTTGTAAACAGCTAATAGCATGGTTCCAATTTTTTTTAAGTTCACTTTTTTTGTTCTAGGGGAAATGAATGTGCAAAAAAAGAAAAAGAACTGTTGGTTATTTGTGTTATTCTGGATGTATAAAAATCAATGGAAAAAAATAAACTTTCAAATTGAAATGACGGTATAACACATCTACTGAAAAAGCAACGGGAAATGTGGTCCTATTTAAGCCAGCCCCCACCTAGGGTCTATTTGTGTGGCAGTTATTGGGTTTGGTCACAAAACATCCTGAAAATTCGTGCGTGGGCTTCTTTCTCCCTGGTACAAACGTATGGAATGCTTCTTAAAGGGGAACTGTCAAGCTGGTGTCTTCAGCCAGATGACATGAGAGAATATCCCAGAACCCTCTCTCCAAGGTGTTTCTAGATAGCACAGGAGAGCAGGCACTGCACTGTCCACAGTCCACGGTACACAGTCGGGTGGGCCGCCTCCCCTCTCCTGGGAGCATTCGTCGTGCCCAGCCTGAGCAGGGCAGCTGGACTGCTGCTGTTCAGGAGCCACCAGAGCCTTCCTCTCTTTGTACCACAGTTTCTTCTGTAAATCCAGTGTTACAATCAGTGTGAATGGCAAATAAACAGTTTGACAAGTACATACACCATATCCAATTGGTTTTGTCTTTCTCTGAGATGGAGGGTTGGGAAACTGAGTAAGGCCCACTGCACACACTAGGAAGATACCTCCAGTGAACAGCTTCAGGCTGAAGCTATGTCCTCACCCCCGGTGCTCCTAGCACACTCTGGCTTCTGAAGGCATGAGGGCCTGGAAAAGGCGCAGGCTCCCAGGGTTGCTTCTTTGCATATGAAAGAGCACTGAAGCATGTTTTAATGCTTGTTTTAAAAAATAATAATAGGCCGGCGCGGTGGCTCACGCCTGTAATCCCAGCACGTTGGGAGGCCGAGGCGGGCGGATCATGAGGTCAGGAGATCGCGACCATCCTGGCTAACACGGTGAAACTCTGTCTCTACTAAAAATATAAAAAATTAGCCTGGCGTGGTGGCGGCTGTAGTCCCAACTACTCAGGAGGCTGAGGCAGAAGAATGGCGTGAACCCGGGAGGCGGAAGTTGCAGTGAGCCGAGATCGCGCCACTGCACTCTAGCCTGGGCGACAGAGCGAGACTCCATCTCAAAAATAATAATAATAATAAAGAAACTAAAAAGAGTTACATGACACTAGCCAACCCAAAGTGGAAAGGGCTGTATGTTCAACCTAAGGCCAGGAAGCTTCATCTGCCTTCATTGCTGTACATTGCAGGAATCAGGCTTGGGTAGTGGTTGGGAGTTTTTTAAAAGAAATACTTCTCTCACCACCACCCCAGTGCAAAGTATCTTTAGTATTTTAGTTTCAAGACTCTGGGTTCAACTCAAGGTATCTTCCCACCAAGAATTACTGTCTAAAGTATCTTCCAGTTCTGTCACTGCTGTCTCATGGGACCTCATGACTGATGCTAGAAGAAAATCTTCAGCCGAATCAAGTTTAAAGGAGTTTAACTGAGCAATGAACAATTTGTGAATCGGGCAGCCCCCAGGAACACAGCAGATTCACGGAGACTCCAGGGGTGCCTCGTGGTCAGAACAAATTTATAGACCAAACAGGTAGAGTGATGTACAAGAATCGGAAGTGAGGTACAGATACAGTGAGATTGGTTACAGCTTGGCGTTTGCCTTATTTGAACGCAGTTTGAACATTCAGGAGTCTATGAGTGGTTGAATTATGACCACTGGGATTGGCCAACCCTTAGCTATTGTTACAGGTGCATACTATTAAGTTAGGTTTTTAATTTTGTCTGACCATTAAGCTAGGTTACAGTTCATCCACAGGACTCAAATATAGAAATATGGAGTCCTTCTCAGGCCATATTTAGTTTGCTTTAACATTGATCTTAAATGGTCTGCAGGAGGACCACAAAAAATGTCAGGAACCAAAGTGGGGTCAGCAAGAAAGGATGTGACCTAGAAGTCACCGCTCCTGAGCACAGGTAGGAAACAGGGGTAGGATCAGGCAGTACATGGACATGGCCATGCACAAAGAAGAAGAAAACAGAAGCTTGTCAGTGAGATGCTTGATTACCACGTCTCTAGCCAGTCGTTAAACTAAACTTTAGTGTCAGAGAGATTTTGTACCTTCTGAAGAGCTCAAGTTATTTCAGAGGAGAAACCTAGGCCTGAAGAAGAAAACAACAAACATTTGTGCCTTGATGTTGACCTTGATCGCCTGGCTGAAGTAGCGTTTGTTATATCTCTCTTCCAGAATGTTACCCTTTTATCTCCCCCGACTTTTCACTGTCCCCTTTGGAAGGAAGTCACGATGCACAGCCCCACTTAGGGAATGTGGAGCTATGCTCTCGTTTCCTTCAGGAGGCAGGAGTCCTTGGCTGAGGACACCAGGACACCCCCCACCCAGTGGCCTCATGCCTCATGGGAAACAGAGCCCAGGTGTCCTCCGTGTGAAGGCTCTCTCTGCTCCAGAGAGGACAGGTAGCTCCTCCCCCTGCTAAGGTGCACCAATGCCTACCCCCACCCCTCCAGCCTAGAGGATCCAAAAGTTCAGAATGTTCAGGGTTCTAGAAGCAGCTCCACATTGCCCACTTTGGGCTGTCTTTGTATAAGGCCAAGCTTTCCCACCCACACTCCACCCACCCTCCAATAATGTAGACAAAGTCCCCACCAGAGTTTCCCAATGTGGCTCAGGATTCTAAGAAGTCACCACCATTTCTTGGGGGTCGGGGGAAAGAACTGGCTGGGGTTTATCTTATAACCTCACAGAATTCCCCACATCTTTATTCAAAATGAGCCCACCCTGTGGTCATGACGATGCTTACCTGGGTTCCCAGAATCCTAAATCCCAGAATCTAAAGGGAACTCACAGATGAATAAATGCAATCCTCCCTCAGATGTATAAATACCTCTCCCCACCCCTTGGGGTTTCTCCACAGATAGTTTTGCCTCCTTCCTGACTGATATAATAGAACTAAGTTCTCATGTTCATGTTTTTTTCAGAGGGAGAGAAGATGGCATGGAATGTGTTTCCTGGCCCAGTGGGAGGAGTGTGAGTTGTGTGGCAAATTTTAATATTGGTAATTAAATTTTGCATACCTCAAATTCTCCTTCTAGTTTCAATTTCATTGATGCTGTTGTAAGAATTAATTAATGTTTTGAAAGTGTTTTGAACATGAAAAGTCTTACACGCATACAAAGTATGATTATTTGTTATTACGAATAATTGCATGCAGACACTTTTTTTCCTCTCACCGCAGTGATTCTGTGAGGCTTTCTGCGGACAATTAAAAGCAGCAATGTCTTGCTTACAAAATGGCTGCCTTTCATCAAAAGCTTATTCTTACAGTCATTCACATATTGATTCATTTATTCATCTAACATTTGTTGAATGATGGGCACTGGGGAACTGAGGATAGTCACAATCCATGAACCAGGCAGACAGACAAAGCCAAGTTTATGGACCACACTCTTACAAGGACCCCACACTTCCTATATGGTTCTGCTATCTCCATCTTAATTTTTTTTTTTTTTTTTGAGATGGAGTCTCATTCCATTTCCCAGGCTGAAGTGCAACCGTGCGATCTTGGCTCACTGCAACCTCCACCTCCCAGGTTCAAGTGATTCTCCTGCCTCAGCCTCCTGAGTAGCTGGAATTACAGGCAGACACCACCACGCCCAGCTCATTTTTGTATTTTTAGTAGAGACAGGGTTTCGCCATGTTGGCCAGGCTGGTCTCGAACTCCTGACCTCGTGATCTGCCCGCCTCAGCCTCCCAAAGTGTTGGGATTACAGGCGTGAGCCACCGCGCCTGACCCATCTTGAAATTCTTAATAGTTTCTTGTAACAAGAGTCCCTGAATTCTTATTTTGTACAAGGCCCATGAATTATGCAGACAGTCTTACAGACAGGTAAACAGACATCCAAAGTATAACATATGGGGCTATAACATAGGTATAAAATACTCCAGAAAGGTACTAGTGAAACTCAACCTGAACAAGTTGGGGAGGACTTTAATAAATAAGTGACATGTGCTTTCAAAAGACAGATGGAGGTTTTCATGCCAAAAAAGGAGAATTGTAATCTGTACAGAAGGAGGGCATGAACCAATTACACACATTTTTTCCTAGAAATCATGGTAAGATGACCAGGTTGACATTGAATTCCGTTGAAGCTCCTTGCCTATGCACTTCGGGAGAAATGTATGAAAGTGTTAGGAGATGCAAAGTAAGAAACACTGCAACTAAGCAAGCTGAGAATAATTTTATCTGAAGGGTGATAAAGGGACAGTTCTCAGAGATATTTCTGTGTCCAACATTATGTGTATGCACTTATATATGCACATAACATACACATGTGCATACACGCATGCACACACTGTTAGGTCAGCTGCTTAGAGCACCAGGCTGATAAGGCCAGGGTCATCTGAGCCATTAAATGTACTGGATTAAAGTGCCATGGGGATGAAATTCTGGGTTCAAATTCCTGAGAAAACTTACTAGCTTTGCTCTAAGTCATGGCCCCAAAGTGCTTCCTAGCCTCAGGCTGCTGTCTGTCAACAGTAATCCAAAACAGTACTAGAAGTCCCCCTACCACACACACACAGACAGTAGCCACCTAGAAATATCCCTGCATAGGGTCATTATTGTGTCAAAAGAGAGAGAGGGACAAAGTTACTATTATGGGTTGGACTGTGTCCTCTTAAAATTCATATGTTAAAGTCCTAACCCCCAGGACCTCAGAATGTGACCTAATTTGGAAATAGGTTTGTTGCAGATATAACTAGTTAAGATAAGGTCATCAAGGAGTAGGGTAGACCTCCAACATGACTGGTATCCTTATAAAAAGGAAAAATGTGGACACAGAAACACGCACACAGGGAGAATGCCACATGCGGATGAAGGCAGAAATTGGGGTATTGCTTCTATAAGCCAAGGAATGCCAAATATGGCCAGTGACCCCCAGAAGTTCAGGGAGAGGCCTGGAACAGATTCTCCTGCACAGTCCTCAGAAGGAACCAGCTGTGCTGACACCTTGATCTCAGACTGCCGGCCTCCAGAACTGAGAATAAATTCCTGTTATGTAAGCTGCCCATGTGTGGTGCTTTATTTGGGCAGCCTTAGCAAATTAATAGAGACACAGCCATGGAGAAGGCCCAGATTTTCTCCTAAGAGGCATGGGCTGTGGTGCATCCTGCATCCCCTTCCTGTGCCTGGCGCTGACTCAGGCCTCGCCTCTGCATTACTCCCCTGCACCAGATGAGCTCAGCCTGCACCCTAGAGTCAATGTGAGTGTTCAAGCGTGGTGTTTGTCACCGATTTTATTTCCCAGAAAAATGTCCCATGGGAAGGGGTGTGATCTCAACACTCCCCTCTCAAGTGTTCAAAGTGGATTATCCACCTGGTGAGACAGCAGGCTTTAATCCTGTTTGGCTTGCCTGGGTCACCCAACATCTCTTCCCCATCAGTCAGTGTGTGCTGAAGGAATGCAAATGACATACCATGATCACAAAGCAAAATATAATTAGTAGGGTAAATGTGCTGAGTGAAGACATTTATAAAATGCATTGAATAGAGAAAGCAGAATTTTTCCAGAATTGGGCTTAATTGTCCTGCTCAGTACAAATGGCATCTACCAGCCACTGAGAATGCTCCCTCCGGGTTGCTGTTGTAAGTCCTTGAATGAAACCTTATCATCTGTGAGACGGTGAAGCATAAGAGAATGCTGCCTGAGAATGCTCCCTGAGGCACAGTTGTAACTCCAACACGGGCTCGCTGGGGTTCTGTGGGCACGTTGCAAAATACCTCTGCACCTCACTTTCCCAGTCTGTAAAATTAAAATAATAGGTTTATTGTGAGGTTGACATGCATTGAAGCACGCCAAGCTCTTTGAACAGTGCCTGCTACCTTATGAATGCTCTAAAAAATATAAGCTATTATTACCCAGTAATTCGTTCAACAGCTCTCTGTCCTGTGCTTTCTCTCTGCCTATTACTGGGGATTCCAAATTGAATAAGACCCAGATCATGCCCTAGGATAACTCACACTCTCCCTGTGTCCTAGTTCCAGAGAAAAGAACCACATCTCTGGTGGGAAGAACTGCATAAGATCGGTGAGTTTCTAGATACCAGTCTGTATTAGTCTGTTTTCATGCTGCTGACAAAGACATCCCCGAGACTGGGTAATTTATAAAGAAAAAGAGGTTGAATGGACTCACAGTTGCACATGGCTGGGGAGGCCTCACAATCATGGCAGAAGGCTAAAGGCACTTCCTACATGGCGGCTGCAAGAGAGAAAATGAGAGCCAAGTGAAAGGGGGAACCCCTTATAAAACCGTCAGATCTTGTGAGACTTATTCACTACCACAAGGACAGTATGGGGGAAACCGTCCCCCATGATTCAATTATCTCCCACCAGGTTCCTCCCACAACATGTAGGAATTATGGGAGCTACAATTCGAGATGACAGTTGGGTGGGATTACAGCCAAACCATATCACAGTCTCAGGTATCTAGCAGCCTGGGCAGGCACTAGGTTCAGACGTCCACATGAGATGCGTTTCGCCACCTGTGTGCAGCTCCTCTGTCACTGAAGAGTCAGTCACCCGCTGCAGGTGGGAGTGGCGGAGGATGCATCAGAAATGGCCACAGGAGGTGCTGGGAGACCCACATACCAGGTTCAGCTGAGTGAACTTTTATTCATTTTTCCAGGAAGTATTTGTGGCATCTACTCTGTGCCAGGCCCCATGCCAGCCACAGGAGACGTGGCAATAAACACAGACAGAATCCTCTCCCTCCTAATGGGGAGGCAGACCCTAAGCAAATTAATAAGTAACATATTGTATGGTGGACGGGGTAATTGTTTCCTCTAGGGCTAATATAACAAAGAACCACAAACTTGGTGGCTTAAAACAACAGAAATGTATTGTCTCACAGTTACGGTGGCCAGAAGTCTAAGATCAAGGTGTCAGCAGGGTGGATTCCTTCTGAAGGATCTGAGGGAGAATTTGTTCCAGGTCTTTCTCCTTCTCCATTTCTGGTGGATTCTGCAATCCTTTGTGCTCCTTGCTGCTACAGTTTAAATGTGTCCCCCAAAATTCCTATGTTGAAACGTAATCACCAACCTGGCAGTAGTCACAGAAGTGGGGCCTTTAGGAGGTGGTTCCGTCATGAGGTTGGAGCCCTCATGAATGGGATTAGTGTCTTACAAAGGGCTGGAGGGAACCAGCCAGGCCCATTTTTACCCTTTTGCCCCTTCCACCACGTAAGACACAGCATCCATCCTCTCTGGTAGCAACGAGGCATCATCTTGGAAACAAAGACCGAGCTCCTGTTAGACACCAAACCCACAAGTGCCTTGGACATCCCAGCCTCCAGATCTGTGAGAAAATACATTTCTATTGTTTATAAATTGCCCATTCTCAGGTATTTTATCAACACAAATGGACTAGGATGCTTGCCTCGATGCATCACTCCCATTGCCGCCTCCTTCCTCAAGACCTTCTCCCCTGGGGGTCTCTATGTCCAAATTTCTCTGTTCTTACCAGGATGCCAGTCCTTGGATTAGGCCCACCTGAATCCATCTTGATTCATCTTGATTGTATGACCTCATCTTGATTCTATCTGGAAACACCTTATTTCCAAACAAGGTCACATCCACAGGTCTTAGGCGTTAAGTCTTGAATATAACTTTTAGGGGACACAATTTTAGGCACAGTAGATGAGGATGTGGCTATGGAGGGCCAAAGAGATGGACACACCAGGGTTGGGGTGCTACAATCCAGGGAAGGGCCCCCTGTGAAGAAACTGGAAGGATGTGGGAAAGTTAGCCAATTTAGGTAAAAGGAATAGTGAGTGTAAAGGCGGAGCTCGCCGGAGGCCAGTGTGGCTGAAGGACATGGCATCACAGAGGTACCTGGGCCAAGTTCCATAGTGCTGCCATTGTGAGATTTTGGCGTTTCTTCTGAGTGAGAGGGTTTTGAGCAGAGAGGTAACACGAACTACTGGGAAGTTGCTAGATGCCTGTAGAGGGCATCTTGGTATATATAGAAAAGGGTGCCCCTTCTTCCAGGTGGGTGCAGCCTTGGAGAAAGGTACACAGCTCAGCCAGTGGAGCAGGGTTGGGTTTCAGTTCCCATTCACCCACTGGGACCTCCATGTAAGAGATTATTGCAGTGGCAGAGGTAAGAAGTTGTTGGATTCTGAATCTATTCTGAAAGTAGATCCAACAGGATGTGCTGTTGGATTAGATATGGTGTATTAGTTCATTCTCACATTGCTGTAAAGAACTACCTAAGCCTGGGTAATTTATAAAGAAAAGAGGTTTAATTGACTCACAGTTCTGCAGGCTACACAGGAAGCATGGCTAGGGAGACCTCAGAAAACTTACAGTTGTGCTGGAAGGTGAAGAGGAAGTAGGCACGTCTTACATGCTGGGAGGAGGGGGAAGGGGAAAAGGAGGAGGTGCTACACACTTTTAAACAACCAGATCTCAGTCTGGCAACATGGCAAAACTCATCTCTACGAAAAAAAAAAAAAAAAAAAAAAAGATGCAAAAATAAGTTAGCCAGGCATGGTGGCAGATGCCTGCGGTCCCAGCTACTTGGGAGGCTGAGGTGGGAGGATCACTTGAGCCAAGGAGGTTGAGGTTGCAATGAGCTATCACACCACACTGCACTTCAGCCTGGATGACAGAGTGAGACCTTGTCTCAAAACAAAACAAAACAAAACAAACAACAACAACAACAAAAAAACAGATCTCATGAGAACTCGCTATCACGAGAACAGCAAGGGGGACGTCCGCCCCCATGATCCAAGTCACCTTCTACCAGGCCCCTCCTCCAACACTGGTGATTATGATATGACATAAGATTTGGGCAGGGACACAAATCCAAACCATATCATATGGTGCATTAGAAAAATACGGTTTGGGGCCTAAACAACTAGAAGCATGAAATGGCCATTCTCTGAGATGAAAATTTGGAGAGGGGCAAGTTTATCTAGGAACCCCAGTCTGATAGTGGGGCAGAAGGGAACCCTGAACTCAATGCTCTTCAAGATTTCTTCCAGTACAACTATGAAGAATCCACTCAGGTGGAAACTGTGGTAGCTGAAGAAAAACTGGTCTGCCCTTGTCAGGAATGGTGCATGAGAGCCATATACATGGACTTAACAGGAAAGCAGTATTCCATCTTCCAACATGTATTCGGTGATCCAGATCTGACCCTTTGCAAAGCCAGAAGACCCTTGAACTGTCCTCCCCATGGTCTCATTGTCCATGTTAATAGGTGAGGAATTTCCTCTTCCTTTGGCCTTACTGCTGATGGGCAGTGGGCTGAGTGTTGGCTCCACCTTCTCCCTACATCACCTGGCAGTGAAGAATGGAGGGAGTTCACTAAGCCTGTGCGTGCCTTGAGTTTGATTGTCAAACAGAATTCCTTGCATGTTAAAACCTACAAAAGCAATAGGATTTATATAGCTGAAATACTTGTACCTTTCTTCCATTAAAGAACTTTAGAGAGGTAAAAATTTCTAGTTGCCTACCCCAATATCGGTTTTCCTTAGTCATAGATTCCCTTGGGGACATGACGGCCTGGAAGAAAGACCACACCACCCAGCCTCCTCACAGCTTGGTGTCCCATATGACAAATTTCTGGCCAATGTTATCTAAATAAAGGTGGGTATGGCAGTTTCCAGAAAACTTTCTTTAAAGTTTACATGCTTTGCCCATTCTCCATTTCTGCCCCAGCCCTACTGCCTGAAATGAAGAGGTGATGATTAGAGAAAGAGCACCACATCCCTAGAAGGGTGGATGGTGTTAGGAGGAGCTTGGCCGAGTGTCTTTGTGGAGGCCCCATCCCAACCCTGGATTGCTTGTGTCTGGATTCATCTACCATGAAAGAAGTTAAACATCTATCTCTCACATAAAGCATTCAAATGTGGGGTTCTCTGTCACTGCAAACAAACCGAATTATAACTGACATACACGTAAATGGTTTCTATGAGTCAACTTTGGCAGAAGCACTGACCAGGGGTAAAAGTGCTTTATCTTCTTTCAGATTCTGATTTCTTCCAGATTCTTAAGAGCCCTTCAGGGTGTTCAAGGACTACAAAATAATGAGGCAGCGAGGGGAGGTGTGAGGGTAGCACTAGCATCTACCATAAGGTGCTTCCCCTGCTAGTTCATCGGCAACTCTGCCCCAAGTTTCCAACAAACCTAAAATGTCTAGGTGGATTTGTTAGAAACCACTTCGACTGTGATCCATGTGCCTGACAAATGCCCTTAAAATTCCATCCAACTTTAGAGGTTTTTGCAGTATTTCCATGTGCCATTTTTATTTGCCATCTTGCTTTTTTAAATATTCAATATATCTAAGGCCATCTCTCTTTTTTAAATCTTTGATAAGCAGTCATCAAATTTACAGTGTTTTGTAAATAATGAATTTTTTAAAAACATTTTGGTGTTGTCTTAGTCCATTGGGGCTGTTATAACAAAATATCATAGACTGAGTGGCTTATAAATGATAGGAATTTTTTCTCTCAGTTCTGGAGGTTGGGAAGTTCAAGATCAGACTGGCAACATGGTTGGGTTCTGGTGAGGACGCTGTCTGAGTTATAAACAGCTGACTTCTTGCTTTGTCTTTGCATGGTGCAAAGGGTGAAAGAGTTCCCTTGGGCCTCGTTTGTAAGGGTACTAACCCCATTCATGAGGCCTCCACTTTCATGACCTAATCACCTCCCAAATGCCCCACCTCCTGATACTCACTTTGGAGGTTAGGATTTCAGTATATGAGTGTAGAGGGTATGCACACATTTAGAAAATAGCAAGTGTCATTTTTCCTTGTGAATAAATGAGAGACTTTTAAGCCAGATTTTCTAAAGATACTTTTCTCAAAATTTAGTTAATATTTTTTTAGTTAGTTTTAATCAATTATGTTACCTTGTGTTTAGTTTTACATGAAGAGCTTACAGATGTGAAACTTTCAAAGAGGTGAATTTTAAGAGAATTAGCCATTAGGTGATCAATCATTAGGCAGGTTTTCTATGAATTGGTTTTGGGTGACATGCTCCTTGACACATGTCGCATTTCCAGAACCTATGCTCTATAAACGTAGTCAAATGACTTGAAATCTCCAAGTCTCAGCTTCCACACATGTAAGATACAGATTTTTAGATACCCATCTCATTTAGCTACTGATATAAAAGGGAAAAATAAAAAAGAAGACAATAGAAAATGTCAGAGAGGATAAAGAACAATGACAACTCTCACACTTTGCAGGTGGGAGTATAAATAGATATTACCAATTGGAAAAATAATCTGACATTACTCCTAAAAAACTGAACACACACTTATAATAAGTCCTAGTATATCCCTAAGACTATTTCTAGTAGTGTTTTCCACTGCTAGAAAAATACTTCACAAACTCCTTTCATGTGTACCCGAAGATGTATGCAAATGCTTACAGCAGCACTTGTACTAGCAAAAAGTGGAAACAACCCAAATGTCCACAACAGAAGAATAGATAATAAGTTGTGTTACGTTCTTGCAGTGGAATAGTATATAGAGATAAACAGGAATGGGCTGGGCACAGTGGCTCATGCCTGTAATCCCAGTACTTTGGGAGGCCAAGGCAGGTGGATCACCTGAGGTCAGGAGTTCCAGACCAGCCTGGCCAATATAGTAAAACCCTGTCTCTACTAAAAATACAAAAATTAGCTGGGTGTGGTGGTGGGTGTCTGTAATCCCAGCTACTCAGGAGGCTGAGGCAGGAGAATCACTTGAACCTGGGAGGCGGAGGCTGCAGTGAGCTGAGATCACGCCAGTGCACTCCAGCCTGGGAGACAAGAGCAAAACTCTGTCTCAAAAAAAAAAAAAAAAAAAAATGGACTACCATTACATACGGCAAGATAAGTTATGGTGAAAAAATCAGAAGAGCACACAGAGTATGATTCCATTTATATAAACTTCAAAAGCAAACAAAACTAAATGATGTATTTTTTATGCAAGCATATCTAGATACTTTTAAAAATCTAGGGAAATGATTAACACAAAATTTAGGATCCTAGTTTACATTTGGTAGCAGAGGGGGAGTGACGGGGGAATTCTGGGATTCAGTTGTTCTGTTTATTAGCTTAGGTGGTTAAAGAATGCATATTTATTTTGTCATTATCCACAAAATTTGGTTGAAGTAGACTGCTAACATGATCAAAACTCAATTTTGGATCAACTGAGTTTGCTCTGGTCCATAGTCCTCTTGGAATCCCATAAACTAATCTGTAATGTGACCATTAAATACCTGTGGTCACCAGGGGAACCAGGTAGAAAAGCTTCGGATTCCACATTCCAGTGCCTGTGGTTCTTGTATGCAAGGTAGAATTTATTTCTGTTGCATCATTTGGGTCAGAGGAAAACGCCAACGTGCCGTTGAGGCTGAAAGTATTCATCAGTGTAAGTCACATGGTGATCTGACTTTCTTTGAATGTTTCTTAACAACCGCCATCCTCAAAGCCCTTACAATGTCCCTGCAGTTGTTTATGAGCCCTCTCGGGTTGTTCCATGAAACAGAGGCTATAGGCATGTTGTCCATAGATTAGCCCTTCCGGATGTGGCTAATGGTTTCAATACCAGGCAACGGGGATATATGTTTGTGGGCACTGAGGAGTAGGAGATGGTTAGAGACCCTTCATCAAAGTAAAACAGAATGGCACCAACCACAGATTTAATTCAAAAACAAAACACTATTGGTTGTGGTTTCAATTGTCTCTTTCTTTCTTCACAAATACCTCACATCTGTGTAAAGATTGGCTCAAACCCCACTTAAAAAGCAAGCCCTTACCAAGATTCTAGTTCATTGATTAACAAGGAGGGAAGAAAGCTTGCTTTATGCTGTAAAAAGTTTGATTTAATTGCCCTCCTCCCTGGCCTCTTTTTGTCTAAATTGCAAAGTCCCGCAGTCTTGAGACTCTACTTGGATTTCCTCCCAATATTTGAATACATAAATATAGGTCTGTGAGTACGCTGCCACCGTTTATGAGCCTTTTAAAGATCAAAGAGTCATTTTCAGCTCTTGGGTTTGTCACTTTAAAACATACCGTACTTTACAATTTAATGGGTAGTTCTTTCAGAATAGCCCATTAGCTCTCCCCATTTCTGTCTTAACAGAATCCTACAGTTTATATAAAGAAGAAATGCCTTTAATGCAGGATGCAACTCAATTTCCAACATCTTAAAATGCTCAGAATCTCCCTTTACTGGAGCTGAGTTTTAAAGGGTACAGTTCTGAGCCACCATACATGTCATTCTAAAGATGCCAGTAGCTCTGATTCAAAATTGGTTGGTCACATTGACAAAAGAGAACATCAAAAAGTCAGGAAGAAGTAAGAGTCCACAGAACACCACTTCTCCAAGTGCTTGCAGAGCTTGAAATGTAAAGAATGACTCTAAAATTATGTAGCCTGGGGACCAGGTCATATTGCGTAACAGGTTAACAGTGACGATCCTTGCATGTTTACCTAATGTTTTTTGGGGCAACACCTTTAAATTCAGCATTGGGTTCAAATTTGAACTTTTGGACAGCTTCAGTATTTCTTACACAGATTAAGATGACTATAGAACAAATAAGAGAAATAATAAAATGAGGAAAAATAAACATCTTAAACTTTTAGTTTAAATTGATGCACTGGCTGAAATCATAAGCATGATCTGTGTGTTCACAGAACTGGTTCTCAGAAGCATACCAGGTTGCCTGCCCTAAAGTTAGGTGGAGTTATTTATTTGGTTTGTGGAAAGTAGGTTTTGAAAGATTACTACCTCCATCGATGGTGGTGGAATAGTGTGTTACAAATTAACACTCACACAGAGAAAAATTAACAATTTTAAATCACTTCTCTCTCTCTCTCTGTGTGTGTGTGTGTGTGTGTGTGTGTGTGTGTGTGTGTGTGTGTGTTTGGAGACATCAAACCAAAGTAGCAAGGACTTGAGGAGCCAATATCTTGGGGAAAAAAGGAAAGTTAAAAAGAAGTGAGAAGTGAGATAAGTCTGACATATGTCCATTACTTTATTTTTCTCCTCAAGGCATTTTATGTTTCTCAGAAAGATGCTGAGAAGCTAAGAAACTTCTGCATGTCTTGCAGGGAGCAGGAACAAAATTGGAGTGAAGGACTCTCCAAAGAAAAGAGGTGCTGGTAAAGAGCACAGGCTTTCCACTGGGGTGCTCAGAGAGCTATACTTGGGAGAACAGCCTCACAGGTACTGAAACTCAGACTCTAATCACCCCAATATCTGCATAGGCAAGTCATTCCAAACCAACTGACTTCAAAACATACAGAGCTGCAAATTGTCTCAACAATTTTTATACAAAATGCTTTGTGTTTAATTGCAAATTACTTCATACACCAGGAGACATGAACACATAACAGAAAACTGAGAGAAATCAACAGAGAAAGGAACAGCCTCACAGGATTTATCAGATATTTAGTTTAAAATATATGTGATTAATAAATCCAAGAAATTAGATGGCTATGTGGAAACCCTCAGCAGAGAACTTGAACCTGTAAAAAGAAGAAAGTGGACATTCTACAACTGAAAAATGCTTGAACTGAAATTAAGAAATTAATGAATGAATATAATAGTAAGTGACAGAAAGCTGAAAAAGGAATTAATGAACTGGAAGATCAGTCAGAGGAAATAACCAGATTGAAATAGTTTTGTTTTGTTTATAAATGGTACATACAGAAACATACAAAAAGAAACATAAGAGATGTAAGGTTACATGATGAAAGGTCCACTATGTATGTATTCAAAATTCCAGGAGAGGAGAATGAGAATAGGTAGGAACAGTGTTCAAAGAGACGATAGCCAAGAAGTTTCCACAACTACTGAAAGGTAACAAGCCACAGTTTAAAAAGTGCTAAAAACACCAAGCAGGATAAATACAGTCATGTGTCACTTAATGACAGGATAGGCTCTGAGAAATATATCATTAGGCAATTTTGTCATTGTGTGAACCTCAGAGTGTGTTAGTGTGTACTTACATAAAACTGGATGTATACATATTTTTAGTTACACACACACACACACACACATATATATATGCTTCATATGAAAAACCAAATGTCTCAGCACCAATACTGAATATCAATCATTTCCCCTATTTGATTTGTAATGCCAACATCAAGTGCCGTACATCAGGTTTCTATTTATGCTCCATTACAATCTTATAGGACCTCTGATGTGTAAGTGGTCTGTCATTGACTGAAACATGGTTATATGATGCATGACTGTACTAAGAAAACTACATCTAAGTACATCATAGTAAAACTGCATTGAAAACCAAAAACATGGCCGGGCACGGTAGCTCACGCCTGTAATCCCAGCACTTTGGGAGGCCGAGGCGGGCGGTTCACGAGGTCAGGAGATCGAGACCATCCTGGCTAACACGGTGAAACCCCATCTCTACTAAAAATACAAAAAATTAGCCGGGCGTGGTGGCGGGCGCCTGTAGTCCCAGTTACTCGGGAGGCTGAGACAGGAAAATGGCGTGAACCTGGGAGGCAGAGCTTGCAGTGAGTCGAGATAGCGCCACTGCACTCCAGCCTGGGCGACAGAGCGAGATTCTGTCTCCAAAAAAAAACGAAAGAAAGAAAGCAAAAAAGGAAACCAAAGACAGAAAAAACTGTTAAAGCCAGAGAAAAGAAAAAAGACATATTATCTTCAAAGAGCAACTGTAAGACAAATGACTTCTAAACAGAAAAAGTAGAAGTCAGAAAGTAATGGAGTGGCATCTTCAAAGTGCTAAAAGAAAATAACTGCAAACAGAACTCTTTACTCAGTGAAAATATATTTTAAAATAAAGACAGAATAAAGACAGTTTCAGATCAACAAAAACAGAAAATTTGTCACCAGAGTATTGCAATACAGAAAAATTATAAAAAGAATTCTTTGAGAAGAAGCAAAATGATTTCCTATGGAAATGTACACTGCAAGAAGGAATGAGGAGCAATGGAGATGGTAAAATACAACAGTATGAAACACTAAAAATATCTTGTGAGGCTTAAAAATAGACAGAGAATTAAAATATGTGATAAAAGTAACCCTACAGGCAGGAAAAAACAAAGTATCCTATGGACTTTGCCTTGTCCATGAGTGATTTAAAAGGTATTAATTTACATTAGATTTTAACGTCAAAGATGCGTGTTGTAATTTAGAGTAACCACTAAAAGAAGGTATAATCAACAAACATTTAGCAGAGCAAAGGAATAAAAAATTATTCCAAATAAGGCAATAAATATGTATTAGCTGTCTACTGATTTGTAACAAGTTGTCCCAAAACTTAACACTTAAAACAACAAAACATTGAATGTTTCACAGATTCTAGGAGTAAGGAATTTAGGAAAAAGCTAAGCTAGATGGCTCTCAGAGTCTTTCATGAGCTTGCTGTCAAGGTGTTAGCCAGGGCTTCAGTCACATGAAGTCTTGCCTGGGGTAGAAATACAGTAACTGCCCCCCGACCCCCACCCATTAACCATGGTTTTGCTTTCTGAGATTTCAGTCACCCACAGTTAACTATGGTCTGAAAACGTTAAATGTAAAATTGCAGAAATAAACAACTCAGAAGCCTTAGATTGCACACCGTTCTGAATAGGGTGATGAAATCTCATGCCAACTGGGACGTGAATCATCCCTTTGTTCAGTGTATCCGTGCTGTATACCCTTCCTTTCATCACTTAGTAGTCAGTCATCTCAGTTACCAGGTTATCTGTTGCGGTATCACAGTGCTTGTGTCCCAGTCACCCTTATTTTACTTAATAATGGCACCAAAGCACAAAAGTAGTGCTGCTGGCAATTCAGATAAGCCAAAAAGAGGCCAGAAAGTGCTTTCTTTAAGTGAAAAGGTGAAAGTTCTCAGCTTACTAAGGAAAGAAAAAAATCATATGCCGAGGTTGCTAAGATCTATAGTACAATAAGATATTTTGAGAGAGAGAACCACATTTACATAACTTTTATTACAGTATATTGTTATAATAGTTCTATTTTATTAAATATTGTTAATCTCAATTAATATATAAATTAATTATAAAATTTATAAAGCAGGTACATGCCTTTTTTAATCTAGTCTTTAAAAATCACTGACTGTCATTTCTGCCTTATTCTATTTGATAGAAATGACTCCCTAAGTCTAGGCCACACTCAAGGAAAAAGAGATTAAGTTCCACTTCTTATCAGAGAATCTGTGGACATGGTTTAATACTGCAATAAAATGAGAGAAAAAGAATTACAGAAAATGAAACAAATAGAAAATCAAAGACAAAAGGGTAGATTTCAAACCACATATCTCAGAAACTATATTAAATACAAAGATTAAATGTTTTGGTACAATGACAAAGACTAGGAGACATGATAAAAAATATGCTGCTAATAAGCACAACTTAAATATGAGTATACATTTAACAGAGTAATGGAATAAATAATTACTTTGAATAAATAATTTAAGGCTTATGAATTGTTGATTTCTGCAATTTTCCATTTAATATTTTCAGCCTATAGTTGACTGTGGGTGACTGAAACCTCAGAAAGCAAAACCATGGTTAAGCGAGCATTACTGGAATTCAACCCCAGTAAAGCCTTCATATGACCACGGCGCTGGCTGACACTTTGATGGCAAGCTCATGAGAGGCTCTGGATTAGAGCCACCTCGCTTAGCTGTTTCTGAATTCCTTACTCCCAGAATCTGTGGAATATTAAATGTTTTGTTGTTTTTAGGTGTTAAGCTTTGGGGTAACTGGTTACAAATGAGTACATAGCTAATACACACTGCCTTTCTCAAGATCTTTCTCAAATCTTAAATATGATAAAGATTTAAAATAAAAGGATGGAAGTAGATATACACCATGCAAACACTAACCAAAAGAAAGTGTGTGTAGCCACATCAATACTAAAATAGTCCTGAAGGCAAGAAGCATAACTGGATACAGAGGGACATTTTATAATGATAATGACATTTTGTTATAAAAGGGTGAATGTACACAGAAAATATAATAATCCTAAACTGATATGCCATTAACAACACAGACCCAAAATATAGAAAACAAATTTATCAGAACAATAAGGAAAAATAAATAAAAGATCCACAATCACAGTAAGGAGATGGAGTATTTTAATACGCAAATAATAAACTTAACCTATTTGATACCTATACAGCACTATATCCAACAACTGTAGAGTAAAAGGCATGGAACATTTAAGGAAAAATAAATAATAGATCCACAATCACAGTAAGGAGATGGAGTATTTTAATATGCAAATAATAAACTTGACCTAATTGACACCTATACAGCACTATACCTAACAACTGTAGAGTAAATGGCATGGAACATTTACCACAAATTGACCCTATGCGGGTTTACAAAGCAAGTCCCAACAAATTTCAAAAGATTAAAGTCATACTGGGTATGTTCTCTAACCTCAGTGGGGTTGGATTGGAAATCAATAACTAAAAGGGAATTAGAACATTTCCAAACATTTTGAAATTAGGCACTACACTTATAAATAAATCATGGGTTTATGCAGAAATCTTTAAAGAAATACATATATTAGATATAAATATATGTAATATAAATTATATATTACAGATTTATATAGAGATATACAAGTCAATAAATATAAATTATATATGCTATATATTGATAAATATAAATTAGAAAATACATCAAAACTGTAAAATGTAGCTAAAGCAGTGCCTGGAGGGAAATTTGTAGCTCAAAGAAAGTAGATAAAAGGGCCGGGTGCAGTGGCTCACGCCTGCTATCCCAGCACCTTGGGAGGCCGAGGCGTGTGGATCATTTGAGGTCAGGAGTTCAAGACCAGCCTAACCAACAGGTTGAAACCTTCTCTCTACTAAAAATACAAAAATTATCCAGGCGTGGTGGCATGTGCTTATAATCCCAGCTACTCGGGAGGCTGAGGCACGAGAATAGCTTGAACTTGGGAGGCAGAGGTTGCAGTGAGCCGAGATTGTGCCACTGCACTCCAGCCTGGGCCACAGAGTGAGACTCTGTCTGAAAAAAAGAAAAAGAAAAAGAAAAAGAAAGTAGATAAAAGGAAATGATACAGATAAGAGCAGAAATAATGAAATGGAAAACAAATGCAATGAAGATAATTTTAATTGGCCAAGATGAGTTCTTTGGAAAACGTGTGAAACTCATAAGCTTTAGGCAAAACTGATTATGAAAAAAAGAAGGAAAAAAACCATCAATGTCATGACCAAAGAAAGGGAGACTTCACTACAGACATTAAATAGATGTAAGATATTATAAGCAACCCTATGCCAATTAATTGAAAATTTAGATAAAATGAACAAATTCACGGAAAAACACAACATATCAAACTGACAGAAGAATAAAAACTCTCTAAATAGATTAAATAATAATTTAATAACTAATTATTAAAATAATTAGTTCCATGATTTAAAACCTCCCCGTAAAGAAAACTTCAAGCCCTGATATTTCTTTGCTGAATTCTCTCAAACACTTAAGGAATTAATAACACCAATTTTACATAAATTTCTTCAGAGTTTAGAAGAAATAACATTTCATTTCATTTTATGAAGTCAAAATAACATTAATACCAAAACCTAAAACAAACATTGCAAAAGAAGAAGGGAAAAAGTACAGAACAATCTCTCCCATAAGCACATCAGCAAAAAGCCTAAACAGAGTATTATCAAGCTGAACTCTGCAATCTACAAAAGAATAATATATCAGACCAAGTTGAGTTTGTTCCAGAAATTCAAAGTGGTTTGCCATTTAATAATCAATTAATATAATAGACTAGCATAAATCATGGTGTATTTATGCAATAAGATACTATATAGTCCTGAAAATTAATAAACTTATTAACAAAATTAATAAATTTATTAATAAAATTAAAGTTAATAAAATTATTAAGAATAAACTGCTGCAACAGCAAGATCTATCTCAGAAGCATTCTTTTTGTGTGTATGTGGTGCCATCTCGGCTCACTGGAACCTCCACTTCCCGGGTTCAAGCAATTCTCCTGCCTCAGCCTACCGAGTAGCTGGGACTACGGGTGTGCACCACTACGCCTGGCTAAGTTTCATATTTTTAGTAGAGATGGGGTTTCGCCGTGTTGGCCAGACTGGTCTCGAACTCCTGACCTCAAGTGATCTGCCCAACTTAGCCACCCAAAGTGCTGGGATTACAGGCGTGAGCCACTGCACCCGGCTATCTCACAAACATTCTTTTTTAAAACACAACTGTTACCTTCGTGTTTAAGAAGCAAAACATAAAATAATACATACTGTATGATTCTGTTTATATAAAGTTCAGAAATAGGCAAAACTAATCTATGTTGTAGAGGTCAGGATAGTGATCACCTCTACAAAGGATGCAGCAGGTAGTGGTTAGGAGGAGGCTTAAGAGAACTTCTAGGGTCTGGATAATACTCTATCCCTCATATGGGTGTTAGGTTCTCAGGAGTGTGTTCATTTTGGAATAACCCATCAAGCTACATCATTAGTTATGATTTATGTATTTTTCTGTCTCTCTGTATATTTTCATGCAAAAACCTCTATAAATGGATTTACACATTGGAACTAAAAGTAGTTGTTTAGATATTCCAGATCTAACAATCCAAGTTATATACTAAATCAAAGTTGCATAGCATTTACAATCCAAAAAGTGCATTTGTACATTACTTGTTCACTCTTCACTTTAGTCATCAGAGGTAGCATAGGGTGTACATGTTTCCATTGTACATATGAGGAAATGGAAATACTAGTAAGTGCAGTGATTTTTTTCAAGATTACATAGCTACTATCATAATACCAAGTCATCCAAAAATTTTAAAAACCCAGAATTATTGAACTATCGACCATATATTTGCCTTGGACTACAATTTAGCAAAGTTCATTTAAACTACTTCAGTTAAATTCATGAACATGGCTATATAGACTCCATTTTCCCCCACTGATTTTTAGAGCCAGATTATCCAGCGTAGGGTGATGGATAGAACACAGACTGCAGTAAGGCCAAATGTTGGCAAAAAAAAAAAAAAAATCCACACCTTGCCATGAATTTGGATATGGTACTTCATTGTTCTAAACCTCACTTTCCCAATGCACAAAATGGGACTAATAACATACCTTTCATAGGGTTATTATGAGGGGTAAATCAGATGACATGGAGGAAAAAAATGCCCCGCAGAGTGCCTGAAAGTAACTTGTGCTCAGTTATGGCGGTTTTACCCCTTCCTCCCAGCCACTAACTTCATTTAGGAGGTGAGTCATCTGCCCCATGGAGGTCAACCCAAAAGCTCTTCAAATAATCATAGAATAAGGCATAGAGGGGCACTTGAATTTATCTAATGCAGCAGAGGCACCTATGGGTGAACTGGCTCATTCAAGGTCATTAATTAGTCAGACACAGGCCAGAATCCGTCCTTTCCCTTTGGCAAGTGGTAAATGTTTCCAGAGTGCATCCAGGATCATATTTTGGCATCCTGCTGTTGGGAATGAGGCTGGGGCACAAAAGCCACTGAAGTCAACCCAGCCATGGACTGGGGCAGCCCAGGGTCACAGGGGCATTTGAGGTAAGGAATTGAGACTCCATTCCCTGCATTGAGAAGGATCCAGATAGAGGCCCTCCATGCATGGATCTATAAGGGATATTTAGAGGGACTCAGTTTTGTTTTGTGTTTCCCCAAGACTCAAGTCTACCTGGTGGCTTCTACTTCCAGTAGATGATTTTATTAAAGGGGCCACACACATTTTTGGTAAGGGTGACATGCACCCCCAGAAAAGAGACAACAGAACTTCTCTGGTGCAAGAGCAGGGCTGCATTTAGCCATACTCCTGCTAAGTGACAACAGCAGTAACAGTAATGGTGGCTGCTGGCAATCCTCATAAAGGACAAGCCTATTAAGTGCTAACCCTGTGCTTGGCTCTTTATGAAGCACTTGGCATGGATTATCTTATTTAAATGATCTTTGAAATAACCTCTTTAAAATATTTATAGACATATAAAACAATATATGTCTATATATAGACACACATATATACACATATATACCCATACATGGCAGCCTCTCCATCCTTCAGACAGTCACCAATATGTATGGGTATATATGTGTATACATATATTCTTTTTAGAGACAGGGTCTCACTATGTTGCCCAAGCTGGTCTCAAACTCCTGGGCTCAAGAGAGCTGCCTACCTCAGCCTCCCAAAATGCAGTGATTGAAGATGTGAGCAATCACACCTGGCCAAGAGATATATTATTATTTTCATATTACACATAGAGCAGCCGAGCCTTAGAAAAGTAGCTTGTTCATAATTGCACAGCTAGTAAGTGGCAGAGCCATGACTCCAACTGAAGTAATCTCTCTCCAGAACGCATGTTCTTGGCCCATATTCTATACCACCTCCCTACAGAGTAGGTTCTTTGTTTAGTGAATACATTAATGAATGAGTAAATGAA
The DNA here is from genome assembly GCF_000001405.40 of Homo sapiens. NCBI lineage: Eukaryota > Metazoa > Chordata > Mammalia > Primates > Hominidae > Homo > Homo sapiens. The sequence continues at coordinate 34,765,915 of NC_000021.9, read as the reverse complement.
TAAGTGAGTGAAAAGAAATATGGATTGAGTGCCTATTACATTCCATGCAGTGAGCTAGGGCTACTGCTAAATTTCCAACTTGCAGGTAGATGATGTCATCAGGTCCTGAGATGAAGAACACAAAAGTTCGAGCATCTGTGAGGCGGAAGGTGGTGGACTGAGTTCTGGCCATATGATGCTAGGATGTCCATGCGGGACATTTTGGGAGGTCTTCATCATAATCTCCCCACATATTTTCTTTCCCTAAGTAAGTCTCTGATCCATGCAGAGATAGACAACAGACAAGCTGAATTTCTCTGGGGTTGCTCATGTATATGTCCACTGAGCCTGTCAGGATCTTCCTGATCAGACTGGTAGCTCTTAGAGAATAGGGACTGTTAGCCTCACACACTTGCAGGTCTCACATCACTACTCACTGATTGATGATTCAATGTGGCTGTTCTCAAACTTGGGCCATAAATCGCTTGGGGGAGCTAACGTCTTAGGAGTTCACCCATCAAGCTTGCTTCTTGGTGACACTGTACATATATGTCTCTTGACCAAGCAGGAAGAATTATGTTGGCTTTCTGTGAGACACCCATGACATGCTGTCAAAGCTGAATTATGTGTTTTCAATTAGTTGTCCTTGAGCTTATTCCAGAAGCAGCAACCTTCAAGGCTTAGTACAATTCCCATCTTCTCCACAAAGCACTGCTGGCCCATGGCAGCCTCTGCATCCTTCAGACAATCACCAAGACTCACTGTCTGGGCCATAATTTGGCACTTGCCTTTTATTACATCATTCATTCTATATCGTATACCAACTGTAAGCTCCATGAGGGCAAGAGCTATGGCTTCCACTTCTTTGAGTAGCAAGATAAGATTTTTAGATACATATTAATTCTACAAATCTTTATGGGGCATCAGTGATATGCCACCCATAAACAACAGAAGCAAAGCAGATTAAAATTCCTTTTCGAGTGGAGGTACTCTCTTCCCTACACTTCCTTATTCTCCCCACAACTCTCTTCCTTTATTGCTACAGTGGTATATGCTAACCACTGAGAGGGGCTACAAAGAATACAGAGATCAGGGCCAGGTGCAGTGGCTCACTCCTGTAATCCCAATGCTTTGGAAGGCTGAGACAGGAGGATCACTTGAGGCCAAAAGTTCGAGATCAGCCTGGGCAACATACAGAGACCCCCATCTCTACAAAAAAAAAAAAAAAAAAAAAATTAAAACTAAAATTAGCCAGGTGTGGTGGCATGTGCCTGGCTAATTTTATTTTTTTAATGTATTTATTTATTTATTTATTTATTTATATTTTATTTTTAGCCAGGACTCTAGCTACTCAGAAGACTAAGGTGGGAGGATCACTTGAGCTATGATTACAGCACTGCACTCCAGCCTAGGTAACAGGGCAAGACCGTGTCTCTAAAAGAAAAAAAGAGAGAGAGAGATCAGAGTAAAAGTTATGCCTTTGGTGTTCCAAGTCAGGCCTCTGGGTGTCACATCAGGGTCAAGGTTTTTAATTTGCAAGAGGAGGTTTTTGAACTCCCAAAGAATATCAAGCCCTGGTCAAGGACACTTGGTAGAAAAGAGCACACACAAGAACTAGATGACCGTGACCCTTTCCCTAGAGACTAGACAAATTTTTCCCCACAGGTAAGCTTGGAGCTGGCCCATGCTGGCAGCCAATTGTTAAATTTTCAGGAATTTTGTGAACTGCTTGAGGCTGGTAGCCTGAAATTGACCTTAATGGGAGTTTTCATGTCCCTGAAATCAGCAAGTGCTATAGATTCAGGCCTTTCTGCACACCTCTCCCCTTGCTATCAGAGCCAATTGGGAGACATTTGCCAGCACACCAATTCCTATCACTCCTTCCCCAGCCTGGGCCCTCAAAGAATTGCTCCCCTACTTCCCACCCCCAAAAGCAGTTGAGTAGAAAAGGCAGCAGGGCTAAGAAGAGATGGCCAAGATAGTACCAGAGAGCCTCAGAGAGCACCAGAACTTGTCCTCTCTCCCTGAGAGGGGTGTGCCTGGGACCTCACGGTCAGGATAGGAAGGAATCAGAGGTGGGGGCTGATGACTGGAGACCTCAGTAGGGTCTCCATGACAAAGACTCTCTCTGATGGAACTTTAGCCAGCCTTCTCAGGGCCCTCCTCTCCACTAGGCCTCAGCCTTGCAATAAAGACTTGAGCAAACGCTAATGTCTTTTCTAACAGCCCAAGGCCACATCCCTAGGATGGCCCTACCCTCCTCAAAGTGCCTGCATGAGAAAACTCAAGGCTAGCAAAAAAATCTACTGTTTGTTCCAGCCAAAACCTGAGGACAGGGCTTCTGCCTCCCAGTCTCCATGGGAGGAGAGAATCCTAACTTTGATAATTGTCAGCCAGCAGACACAGCTGGCCTAGTCACATTTTTGCTGGTGAACTCTGTGTAATTTTTCACTTTCCTGATTCTGCTGAGCCCCCACTTGCCCCTGCCTGCTCCCTCATTCTCCCTTTAAAATGTGCAGTTACCTCTGTACAAATCCAAGTTCAAGTCACATTGAACTCTTCTCCCCATTGCAATAGTTATTCCTGATTAAAATCTGTCCTCGCCACTTTAGCTAGTATCTGGCTTTGTTCATCTTTAACAACAGGCATCTCATAACATAACTAATTATTTTAATCATTATTATAAATAATTAACTAAATAGAAGTGGGCCATGGTGAGAGTTTGGCATGACCCAAAGTTTATGATTAATCCAATTCTGTGTACCTGCGATCCAAAAGATGAAGAAAAAGAAGGAGGAGGAGGAGGAAGGAGAAGAGTAAAACACAGACAGCCATGTGCTGACTGCCATGTTGGGACCACAGGCATCTTGGCCAAAGCCAAAGAGGGCAGAGAATGTTGACACCAGATGCTGTGGTTTAGGCAGCTGCTTTTCTGGGAAGAAAGGAAAGACAGAAACTCCTGAGCTCACTGAGCTAAGTCCTAAACTATCCAAGAAAAATCCAGTGTATATGAATGCATTTACCCTAAATTCATTAAGATTGTTTCTACCACTAGGTGGAAGGAGGACTCTGAATGGAAACTGAGTTGACACTGCTGGTGGGGCTGTGGCTGGTGGGGCTGTGGCTGGTAGGCTGACTCTCACCAGGGCCAATGCAGGCCTAAATTATCACAGCCTTGCAGAGGGAAATTTGAAAACATCTATAAAACTTACAAAAGCATTTGCCCTCTACCTTAGTGATTGCTTTTCTGGAAATTTTTCCTATCAGCCTTCCTATCGGCTGTGGTTATTCACTGCAGTTTTGTTTATAATAAGGAAAGATTGAAAACAACCAATTGTCCCCCAATAGGAGGCAGGTTAAATCAATAATGGAATATTCTACAGCTATAAAACAGTAAAGAAGCTCTCTACGTAAAAGTATGGAAAGGAAACAAAGAAATCAAGGTGCAAAATGGTGTATGCAATAGGCTTTATGCAAAAAGGGAAAATTAAGAACATATATTCACTTTGGTTATATTTTTCAAAGATTCATAAAATCTAAGAAAATATAAATAAGACGTAAAAAGTTGTAGCTTTTTTGTATTGGTTTTGCTTTTATGTAATATGATTGTATAATCTATTAAAAATAAGGGAAGAAAACCAAATCTATATTTCTACATAGCTGAGTTTGAGACTTGTGAAAAATTACTACCTTCTCTACCTGTACCTTCCATATCAAGGGGTTCAAGGAGCACTTGCTGATTGGCTGATTCCAAGCCTACTGAGTCATTAATATTACATCCTTCAATCCCGTAAGAATGTGGTGAGATCCAGGCTATGCTTGACCTGACCTGACAAGCTGCATGATTTAAGGGAAACAGCACTCGAGTCAAAGTAGACTACTGGAGCCAAGATCTGGTTAATTTGCATATGACTTTAGGCAGGTCACAGACCCTCTTGTAGCTTCAATTCTTACATCATAAAGTAAAGAAATCAGCTGAGGTTAGCAAATATTTATTGGGAGATCACTGCCATCTTGGAGCCTCAACACTGCAGTAAGACTCAGTGCCTGTCCTCAAGGCCTAGAGGACTGATGGAGGAGGGAAGCAAGATGGAGACAAGGTCTGCAGAAGGAGTCAGGAACCAAGTCAGAGGGCTCTCCATGGAGCTCTGGATCCCAGAAGAGGGCCACACCCATCCCATCCCACGGCTCATGGAAACCTCTCTATAGGAGAAGGATTTGAAGAGAAGGTATCTCAGCAAACAGAATAGGAGGAAAGAAGGTGTGACCTGGGACCCATAAGGGAAGCTCAGGCAGCAAGGATTACTGAAGTATCGAGCCTGGGATGGGAAGGAGTGGCGGGTGCAGCTGTGACTGTGCCCTTCCAAAGATCCAGCCAGCTCTGACTCTCCAGGTGTCTGTGTTCCACAGGATGGTGCAGCGAGAGCACAGGCCAGGTCAGGGACAATCGAAACAAAACGGGTTCCACTGAGGACCAGGACCAAGGAAAAGTTCCCTTTGCATCCACTGGGGACCTATGGCTGGGTAGGCAGGAGCCTTTCCTCTTCAGCCCGAGCTCTGCCAAGCCTTGCAGGAGCTGCATGCATGAGTGCAGAGGAGTTAAGGAGATGGTCCCTGGCACTTGAAACCCCATTCCCACCTCCAGCATCTTCACTGCATGATGTCCCTGGTGCCCAGGGCTCGTTCTCCCCTTAGGGACATGGGCCCACCTGAGATCTCTTCTGCTGTCCCCGCCTCCTAGGGTTAGCACTGCCTCTAGTGTTGGCATGCCCCACTGATCAGTGGCCTTACAGGGACCCAGTGGCCTTGCAGGGACTATGGTGCATGGCATTACCCTCATCTCATTTGATTCCCACCACAATCCTTCGAGGTAGTATCACTGCATGCATTTTACAGATGAGACAGTGAAGCTTAAAGCAGCTAATTGCCCCATGGTCCCAGAGTTAGTTAGTAGTAGAGCTAGGATTCGAATCTGGGTCTCTCCTCCCCAAGCCAGGGAGCTGAAGCAAGGTCTTTCTCTGCCTGGAAGAAAGGGCCTGTCCATTTGCTTGACAAACAGGTTGGCTATTCCAAGCTTTGTCCCAACCATCTTGGCCAGGCCACTGAGCTCCTCCCATATCCCAGCCCACCCCATTCATCCCCTAAATCCAAGGCCAGCTCCTCACCCTCCCCTGAGCATGGCTGGATCAGATGAGCAAAAGCAACAGCGCTCACAAGATTGCCCCACTTGGCTCCAGCAATTAATTAAGAGCCGTCTGAGAGCCTCCAAGGGGCCTGCAAGCTCCAGCAAGATGCGGCACACATGGCTCAATCCAAAATATTCACTGTGTTTTTCCCTAGCTGGGGAACCAGTCCTTACCTGTTACCTGAACCTGATTAAATGCCCAAGCCGCTCACTCTTGGTGCCAGCCAGGAGCCAGCCTGCTGGTCCTATGGAAGGTGGGGTGGTGGCTGGAAACTTGACAATGATAGTCATCCGTCAATAAATACGGCGTTGTTTATGGGCTATAACATGAAGCCTCCAGGGCCTGTGCCAGGCACTGCTTATTCTGGTCAACAGGCTGCTGGTACACAGGAGACCTATGGGCTCAGCTGGGGCATGGGAGGAGCCCGAGACTCAACCCAGAGGGGACCATGGGGAGGGCTGCTCTAGGCCATGTTGGGGGCCTCATCACCACCATTCTGGTTCCCAGGTGGTCCATCCTCCACCTGGCACCGGACAACCTGGGTCAGGTATATTTTGTTGTTATTCCTCTGCATAAGACCTTCCATTGCCTTCGCATATACAGTTGGGCCCTTGAATGTTGGAATCTGATTTAGACATAACACTTCCTTGGAAAGCTCATACACCAAGAAGAAAGACACCTGCTATGACGGTGGTGGACCATGGCCCCTCATAGTCTTAGACTTGTCTTAGGGATCAAGTGACTCTGTCCCACCCTGCAGCATAGTCTATGTTCTGCCAGCATTAAAATTAAAGTCCTACTGGCTCTCACTCCAAAATACATCCGAACCCATCCATTTTCTCCACCAACACCTAGACCAGGGAGAGCTCAGTAGCCCTTTTTGGTGAAGAGCCAGATAGTGCATACTTCAGGTGTTGTAGGGCAAGAGGCAAAATCAAACCTACTATGCAGTTACTTATTATTATTTTTTTTTTTTGAGACAGATCCTCACTCTGTCACCTAGGCTGGAGTGCAACGGTGCAATCTCAGCTCACTGCAATCTTCCCTGCCCGGGTTCAAGTGATTCTCCTGCCTCAGCCTCCCGAGTAGCTGAGATTACAGGTGCCTACCATCACACCCAGCTAATTTTTGTATTTTTAGTAGAGACAGGGTTTCACCATGTTGGCCAGGCTGGTCTTGAACTCCTGATATTAGGTGATCCACCTGCCTCGGCCTCCCAGAGTGCTGGGATTACACGCATGAGCCACGATGCCCTGCAGCAGTTACTTCCATAAAAAGAGTGAAAGCACATTTCCATACTTTTTTATTAATGAAAATTAAAATATGACAATATTATTAAAAATCAAGGATATTAAAAAAATACAGTTCAACTAATGAGAAAAAAATGAATTCTTTTTTTAGAGGGGATAAAATCTCACTTCATTGGGGCTCAGAGGTAGTATTCTCTCATCAAATCAATCGAGAGTGTTCACCATTCCTACTTAATGGGCCAGACAAAACCCAGCAGCCGGCCAGATTGGGCCCACAGCCTACCGTAAGAAGATCCTTGCCCTCGACAGAGGATATTGAAGCAGGGTATTGCCAGGACATTGAGACAGCCCCCTCGCCCCCCACCCCAGATCTCCCTGCCTCCATTTTGGTTTCCCACTTGAGGATGGACCAGACAACCTGGGTCAGGTATATTTGGTTATTATTCCTCTGCTTAAGACCTTCCATTGCCTTCCCAAAGACAGGCTCTTGAATGTTGGAATCTGATTTAGACATAACAACTCCGTGGAAAGCTCATACACCAAGGAGAAAGACACCTGCTACGATGATGCCCATCTGCCTCCAGGAAGCCCGGAGCAGGCCCCAGAGGTCTGGGCACTTGGATGCTGCCTACAGGTGATGCATCAGGGCTCCAGAGGCCACCTTGGCAGGACTCACGGCCCTCTGCAGGCAGCAGTTGCTCTGCCTGATCCCTTAAGGGGTTACGTGGGACAATGATAGAGGAATCTAGTCTGACTAGCTAACTAGCTGCCAAACAAGAATTTTAGAGCTCAGTTCTGAGTAGGTTAGTGTGGACAATGGGCAGCATGGTTTATGATAACCTGCTCTGAGCCAGGATTGGGAGGGCTGGGCTCCATTTCCAGCTTCTCCTCTAACCGGCTGCTGACCCTAGCCATGCCACTAGCTCTCTGAGCCTGTTTCTTCAGGAGTAAAAAGTGAGGAGGGTGGTCCCCTAAACTGCTGGTAATCAGAATCACATGTGGAACTTTAAAGACCCAGATTCCTGAGCCCCATCCACAATCTAGTGAATCAGGAGGTAGGGATACATAGATATACACACATACGCATATACATATAATATACATAATTATATATGCATGCATATATACATATATACTCATGCATAATATATGCACAATGTAATAATGTATATCTATAATGTATACATTATTGTCATGTATAATATACATGTGTATTGTATATATTATACACTCATGTATATGTGCAATATGCTCATGTATAATATATGTGTATTGTATATATTATATATCCATGTTGTATATCTTTACATACATACACGTATATACACATATAGATGTGTACATGCATACCAGCATATATACACACCTAGACATACACACACAGACCTGTGAGTGTGTATATCTTCTTGGTAATTTTGATAATTAGACACATTTTTAAAAACACCGTCCCTGGCCGGGCGCGCTGGCTCACGCCTGTAATCCCAGCACTTTGGGAGGCCAAGGCAGGCGGATCACGAGGTCAGGAGATTGAGACCATCCTGGCTAACATGGTGAAACCCCATCTCTACTAAAATACAAAAAATTAGCTGGGCGTGGTGGCGGGCACCTGTAGTCCCAGCTACTTGGGAGGCTGAGGCAGGAGAATGACGTGAACCCGGGAGGCGGAGCTTGCAGTGAGCCGAGATTGCGCCAGTGCACTCCAGCCTGGGTGACAGAGTGAGACTCCGTCTCACAAAAAAAAAAAAATTGTCCCTGGGGCTTTCTAGCTTTAAGGGTTTATGTGATAAAGAAAGGTGCTGTATTTCGTACAGTCTGATGATAAGCATATTCATGAACAATTGCTCGGCCCAGAAGTTGAAACCAAGTGAGGGAGTCGCATGTATCTTGGGGTGAAGAAAGCTGCTAATAAACGATTTGATTTAGGTTATATGAAAGACTCTAAATACATTACAAAGCACTTCACAGTTCACGGAGTCCTTTTATTAACTTTATGCTCTTCACAAACTGGAGTTTTACAGAAGAGATTCACAGAGGCTGTGACTTTTCCAACCTCATGTAGCTAATTAATTGTCTGGGATTGGACCCTAAGCTTCTAAACTTTGGACTCAGTATTCTCTCCATCAGGGAAAGAATTACTGTGAACATTTTTTTCCGAGAAGAATTGGTTGGACAGGCATATGTTACTGCAAATGCCAAATTAATAGAATCCAAATTAATGACTTTATAGTTATATCACAGGTGGGTACATAAGAAATTATCGTTTTTTCTAATTATTACTTGTAATTGACAAAAATAATATATATTTATGGAGTCTAGTGCAATGTTTTGATATATGTATACAATGAGGAATGATTAAATCAAGAGAATTAACATATCTACCACCTCACTTACTCATCATTTTTTTGTGGTGAGGCATTTGAAATTCTCAGTAATTTTGGAAAAATTATTAAATTCCTTTATAAATTTAAAAACTCTCTGTCCCTACAAATTTTTACTGAGAAAATTTTCCACTTGGCTCAGGGGTATAAGGTTTCTGTTTATTTATACAAGCAAAATAGAATTTTTTTAGCTGGACTTTTTTTTGACAATTACACTAAAAAAAAGAACAGCCTGTGGACTGAATTATTTTGCTGTTGTCACCTCTGGGCAGAGACGACAGTGTAGGGTAACGCTAACACAAGTTACATTCACACATTTGTTCATTCATTCATTCAGCAAACACCTGTGTGCTCACAGCATCATTCTCTGGAAAATTACTTTCATCATTTTATCTCCCAATAACCACACAGAACAGAGAAGCCAGGAGACAGTATGACCCCTGAACACGGGAGGACAGGAAGGCAGTGGAGGCATCATGCTATTGAGTCACTTGGTAGGTGCCAATCCAGCTTTGAACCTCGTTGGGACTTCTCCCTTCGTGGGTGCTGCCTGTTGACAGAATTATCATCCTTGGTTCCATCAACACCAAATCCTTGTGCAGTGTTGGGAACTGCCCACAGCTTATGGGAAGCAGCAGGATGAAGGCTGAAGACAATCATGGATCCACAAGTGGTTTTTTAGAGACAGGGTCTCATTCTGTCACCCAGTCTGGAATGCAGGGGCACGATCATGGCTCACTGTAGCCTTGAACTCCTGGGCTCAAGCAATCTTTCAGCCTCAGCCTCCTGAGTAGCTGGGACTATAGGCACTACCACACCTGGCTAATTTTTATTTTTTGTAAAGACAGGGGGTCTTGCTATGTTTTCAAGGCTGCTCTTGAATCCCTGCGCTCAAGCGATCCTCATCTTATCTCTGCCTCCCAAAGTGCTGGGATTATAGGTGTGAGCCATGTACCCAGCCTACAAGTGTTGACATGAGTAGGGCTCTTGTTAGAAATGCTCCCCAAACGTGTCTTTATTTTATCACAAACATTTTAACAGTCTTAACTAATACTTGGTACACCATATAAGACCCAAATCAGTATTTCTTTTTCATTAGGCTTCAAATCAACCCACACGATTTGTTTTCCCCATCTCTGCTTCCCACCATGCAACCTATAAAAGGCAGGGCCCCCGGATGTCCCAGTAGGGTCCTAGGATCTGCTCTCTATGTACCACTAAAGAATCAGACCTTGACTTTGGCTGCACACAATACCCTGAAGAGCTTCACAAGATACAAATGCCTGGTGGCGCCCCCAAAGATTCTGATTTACATGGTCTGGGCTGTGGTCTGGCCACCAGGATTTCTGGGACCTTTGTGTGGTACTAACACACAGCCAGAGTCAGAAACGTCATTTCTATCCTGTCTCAGAGTCAAAGACTTGTAGTTCTGGAGGCTCCAGCTCTAAGGAAAAAGATCAAGGCTCTTTTGGATTTGGGAAAGCAATAAATATAGCTAAGTGACTAAAATTACCTTACATTCGCAGCCCTGCAGACCACCAACAACTTACTACAGCTCTCAGAGGGAGATGCTCAGCTCAGGCCTATAAACGGGGACCCCAGCCCAGTGCTCCCTGCAGCTGTGGGCTCTGTTCACTGGGTGCGGCTTCCTGCCCCCCAGATATGCCTTCCCAGCCTCTCTCCTCGGTCCCTTTTTGTCCAGGCTGGGAATCCAGAAACTGAGTTCTCACTCGCACACCTTCACCTGGTCTGGCTTCCCTGCCCTTTTCTACTGGGAAATAGCTTCTGGTCAGAGTAGTAGAAATGTGGGTTTTTCCCCCTTTATTTTCCTTTTTCCCTCCTGTTTTCTCCTCTTTTTATTTTTCCTATACTCATCTTTCCCCCTTTTTGTTCTCCTTTTTTCTCCTCCTTTTCGTGTCTTTCTTCATTTCTTCTCTCTTCATTTCTCTTCCTTTATCCTTATCTAGTTCCCGTTTTCTCTTCCCCTTTCCTATCCTTCTTCCTTTTTTCTCTTGTCTATTTCCCTTTCCTCATCACCTTCCTTCTTCTCCTTTTCCTGGTAAGTATTCCTAAGGGTTTCCAAGCAACAGGCAGGGACCCATTGACTCCAGGACAAACCACGATGAAGACAGAGCCGAGGACGCTAGGCAGCCAGAGATGGGGAGGACAAGACGTCACCAGCCTGGTTAGGGAGGTATCGCCGGCATAAGGCGCCGCGCTAAGCCCTGCAGCAAGTGGGAAACCATTGAGTTGTGGAGATAAGACACACCCATGTGGAGAGGTGGCGAGACAGGCAGCACAGGAGGCGTTCAACCAGAGGACAGACAGCACCCCAAAAGTTGTTTGTAGGCCAGTGGCTTAGTACTTATACACAATGTAATACCTTGCCCCATAAAAATGCCTCCAAGAGGGGCAGGTTGCTTGGCTAGCTCGTAAAAGCCAACATCATCAAATGTGTTTAAAGCATGGCTCTCAAAGCACCTTTTCAGGTCCACCTACCTATGTAGTGCTGGTTACCTCAGCAGGAAAATTGATTTCTCGTTCCAACTTGCTACGAAAACATTCCCATTATCCCGAGGGTGGGGGCCGCAGGGCGGGAAGGGTTGGTTGTTCTGGGCATCAGGAACTTGCTGAAGCTTTAAGCGTGTGTGGATGAAGGCCCTCTCCAGGCCACGCATACCCCTGAAGATCTGAACCTGGAAACAAACCTAGGTGTGTGGGTTGTTCATGAATTAAGCATTTTGAAAGCAGAGTCCAGCCTCCTAATCAGATACTTGATATGTGAGGCAGAAAAAAAGAAAGGGGAATCTCGGTCAAGGACTCTTCAGGAAGGAGGCAGGGATTGAACTGACCCAGAAGGACAAGCAGGGTGAGGTCAGAAAGGACTCAAAAAAGGTATAGCCAGAAAAGGGCCCTGGGCTTTAGGCACCACTGAGAGTTGGGCAGCGCCACCTCCAAAAGAAGCTGGAGAGATGGTGGGGGCAGCAGTAGGAGGTGGGGCACATTGGTGGGAACTTTGAGAACCAGGCTTCAGATTTCCAGCTTTGCCTGTGTCAAAGTGTGGGTACAACCCATTCAGGGGTTTTGAGATGAAGGTAGTGGGGCACCTGCAGCATGAATTCCAATCAAGTGGAATCGAATCGAATGGCGCGGAGTGGAACAGGAAACAGCAGAAGGAATGTCACATAGGAGTAGTGAACAAGAATTCTTCCATGAATCTTGCTTGTTTGTGTGTGTGTACACATATACATATATATCTACATGTATGTATGTAAGCATGTATATTTGCACATACTTGTGTATGTGGTGGGTCATACTGATTCTTTACTGTAGCAGGTTTTTCAGAGGTTTTGAGGAGTGACGTCTTGACATGGATGTTTTAAGACGAATCTAGAAGTGATTTGGAAGATTGGTTTCAGGGGAGAGGGTTGGGCAGGAAGTGGCCCAAGGAGGAGGCAATTAGAAGAGTGGTGGGACCGTGGTGGGGGCCTTAAATTTGGGTGGTGACAGCAGGAACAGGATGAGTGGCCACCAGCCTCCTTGCAAAGAAGGTAAGCCCCACAGTGTCTGTAGAATCAGAGACAAGGATTCAACCATTGCCGGGGAGTTCGGCAGCCCACCTCTCAGCTCCAGGTGTCAGCCCCTGCAATTCCCAGGTGCCAGGAGAGAGAGAGAGAGAGAGAGAGAGAGAGAGAGAGAGAGAGAGAGAGAGAGAGAGAGAGAGTGTGTGTGTGTGTGTGTGTGTTGCCAAAAATTTTATTTTTCCTAACCTCCCTCTGTTCTGTGTCTCCTCCCAATTTCTTCTTGGATTTTTGAACTTTTAATTTAAAGACTGCGCAATTTTAAATACTGCATTCTAAAGAGAACTGTTTTAATTTCATACTACCGTACACCAATAAGCATAACACCTGTGGTTCATATCATACTTGTTGACCTACAGAAGACATTTGTATTCAGAGTTTGGAATAACTGCAAAGAATAAAAACCCAAATTTGGATCTGATGAAGGAGACCATGTGGGAGACTTATTCTAGCCTCTTCATTCATTCATGACAGGCAAAAAGAAAACACAGATTATTTTTTCCAGGTGTGTGGTAACTTATTCCCAACCATCTAGAGATCTTCATTCAGAGCATGTACATTCAGAAACATATTCCTTGTTCCAGTCATTTCATCTTGCTAAATGATATCAACAAATTAGACAAGCGTTTGCTCAAATTGCTGCTGTCTCTTCATAAGGCTCACCTGGCAGGAGTAACTGATTGCAGTTTATAAAGAAGCTGACACACCAACACCAACGCACAGAGGAGAATCCAGTGCCGGATGTGGTAGGAGATGTCGCAGGGAAAACGAAAAGGAAAACAAGGCGGCGGGAGGATGGGGGTGGCAAGGGAGTGCTTCCTGCTTCTCAGTCCCCGAAAGCGTGAAACACGAAGGTGTCCTTTGTGCCTTGAGGAAGGGTCAGGTGGGCCAGCTTGCACCTAGTTTGCACCTTGGCAAGTGGGTACCCTGCTTCTGGATGTAAATCCAGAGATGAGGGGTGCAGTGGATGAATCATGTCCTCCAGAGTTATGTACAAGTCCTGCCCTCCATGCCTGTGCATGTGGCCTTATTTAGACCTACGGTCTTTGCATTCATAATTAAGTTAAGGATCTAGGTGTGAGATCATCCTGGACTAAGGGTGGATCTTAAATCCAGGGACTGGTGTTCTTGTATGAGAAAGAAGAGGGATATTTGAGACACAGTGAGAAGTCAATGTGAAGATGGAGGCAAAGACTGGAGGGATGGGTCACTAAGCCAAGCAACACTGGGGGCTGCCAACCACCACTAGAGGCCGGGAAACAAACATGGACTGTATTCTCCCTCAGAGCCGCCAAAGGGACCAATGCTGTTGAGGCCTTGGTTTTGGACTTCTGGCCTCCAGAACTGTGAGACAATACATTTCTGTTGTTTTAAGCCTCCCAGTTAATGGTGATTTGTTATGGCAGTGTTGGGAAACTCATCCAATGGGAATATTCACTTATTGCAAGTGAAGTGTGAGACACTGATGAGAATAAAAGGGGGAAATAGGCTCACACAATCACAACCCCTTCTCCCAATAAAAGGAAAAAAGATGCAATGCCTTAGAAAACCCTGAGAACTTGCTATTGTAGCCACGGCTGCAGGACCACCACATGGGCCTGGGCTGCTGGCCTCGCACTCCCTCTCAGGGAAACACAGCCTGGTGAAAAGTCAGGAGCCAGTCTGGCTGGGTTTGAACCCTGGCTCCATCCCTAGCTGTGGGGCCTTGGACAAGATATTTTATCTTTCTCCCTCCTAAGGTTGTTTTGACAATTAAATGACCTACTTATATGTGTTACATATTGGTCCATTTTCACGCTGCTGATAAAGACATACCCGAGACTGGGCAATTTACAAAAGAAAGAAGTCACAATCATGGTGGAAGGTGAAAGGCATGTCTCACATGGCGGCAGACAGGAGAAGAGAAAGAGAGCCCAGTGGAAGGGGTTTCCCCTTACAAAGCCATCAGATCTCATGAGACGTATTCACTACCATGAGAACAGTATGGGTGAAATTGCCCCCATGATTCAATTATCTCCCACTGGCTCCATCCCACAACACAAGGGAATTATGAGAGCTACAATTCAAGATGAGATGTGGATGGGGATACAGCCAAACCATATCATGCTGTGTGTAAAGTATTGATAATAAACAGAGCAGTGTTAGCTATTACTATTAGTTCAGAGATCATATTTCAAAAGTGGGAGTACAGGTGACTGAAGCATGGGAGGAGGATAATACTAAAAGAATTAACTAGACCCTTGTCTCCAGTAACAATTTAGCTCTGACTTATAGGGCTGAGCTACAGAAACCTCCCAGACCTGAGCCATGGGCAGGAGACAGCACACAGCGCAGTCTGGTGAAGGCTGAGGGGACCAGCAGGGAGGTGATGAGGGAAGGCTGGAGACACAGCCCAGCCATGAGCCCAGCTGAGGACTGGTGGGTGACCACCCAGGGGTCTCTGCTGCATGTTTCCCGGTGGCATCAGAAATCTCAGTCACACTGTGTTCTCTTCCAATAAAATCACAAAGAGCACACAAAATGTCTCCTTTAAACAGAAGTCAGCTGCGTAACAGAATGAAATCATCACTCCAGAAATAATTGTAAAAGAAGACTCCACAATTCACGCCAGCAGCCTTGACAATAAGTGGCCCAGTCAAAAATTCACAAGATGATTGACCATAATGGCTGAAAGTTTGAGGTCTGGTGTCCAACTTTGTGGGTGAGAATCCCATCCCAGCAACTACTAACAGTGTGACGTTAGCCAGGTTCTTTACCCCCTCCGTGTCTTAGTTTCTTCCGTAAAGTATAAGGATCAATGAGATTTTATATAAAACCCTTAGTGTAATACTTCACCTGTAGGAAGGCTTCAGTACTTGTGAGCATTCAGCATTGTTTTCTCTAGACAAAAGCACATATATATTGGCATCACACATAACCAAGTGTCGTAATAATAGACAAATAACTCCTAAAATCAATGAGAAATACAATCACCCCAATACAAAAGAAGGATAGAAAGCTTCTGAAACAAGCAAGTCAAAAAAGAAGAAACCCAAATAGTCAATGCACATGGAACAAAAATGATCAACCTGACCTGCAATCATAAAAATACAAAATAAGAACACACACACACAAAACCAAACAGAATATGTGAAATTTAAAGGACTACCAATACAACGTGTTGGCAAGGATATAGAGCAACTGGAACTCACATGCACTTCTGGTGGGAGTGTAAACTGATACAACCACTTAGACAAAAGATTTGGAAGTATCTACGAAAACTAAATATACAATCTGACTCAACCCCTCCTCTCCTAGGCACATATTCCTTGGATGTGGGTGTTCATGTCTACCAAATGACATTACAAGAATGTGCATAATAGCCCCACACTGAGACAACCAAAATATCTTTCCACAGAGGAATGGTTTATCCATGCAGTGAGGTATACCCAGCGATGAGAATGAGAAAAATACCAATACACACCAACACAGGTGAATCTCACAGACATCACACAGGGCAAAAGAAGCCAGACACAAAACAGCAGATATTGTACATTTCCACTTATATGAGGGTCAGAAAAAGGCAAGACTGTTCCAAGGTGAAAAAGCCTAGAATAGAGATTACTTTTGATCGGGGGACATTAGCTGGGAGAGGGCACAGAGAGCCTTCTGGAGTGGTGGGAATGTTTTGTACCTTGATCTGGGTAGTGGTTACATGGGCATCTCTATACACAAAAATTCATTGAGTTGTGCAATTAACATGAGTGCATTTTCTGTAAGTTGTATCTTCACAAAAGGTAAAATTAAAAAAAAATTAAATAGTAATGAGATGTCGGCCAGGCACAGTGGCTCACGCCTGTAATCCTAGCACTCTGGGAGGCCGAGGGGGGGCGGATCACCTTAGATCAGGAGTTCGAGATGAGCCAGGCCAACATTGCGAAACCCCGTCTGTACTAAAAATACAAAAATTAGCCAGGCATGGTGGCGCATGCCTGTAATCCCAGTTACTTGGGAGGCTGTGGCAGGAGAATCACTCGAACCCAGGAAGGAGAGGTTGCAGTGAGCCAAGATCGCACCACTGCACTCCAGCCTGGGTGACAGAGCGAGACTTCGTCTCAAAAAAAAAAAGTAATGAGATGTCATTTTTCTCATATAAACTATAAAAATATTTTGTAATTAAGTGATACTGAGTGTTCCCTTGGGTGGAGAAGACACATGGTACAATGTTTCAGAAGAGCATTGGATTCTGCTTATCTAAAAATGTTTTCATGGGCATCCTTTAACCCAGCATTTTCACTTGTAGAATTTTATCCTGGGGAAAGAATCCAACAGATGTATAAAGATACTTTTTCCAGAATGATTATCACTTCAGTGCTAATAACAGCAAAAAATTTGAAGCACCTAAATAAGCGACAATGGAGGGCTGATTAAACAAATTTTGCAACATGTATGAGTCAAAGTTTATTAAGCACCCATTTAAAAAGATGGAAGTGAATATTTAACAGAATGGAGAACACGGCACGTGAAGAGAAAGGTCACAAAACAATGTGCTCTTCATAATTTTTACTTCAAAGTAGGTATGGGTGTATATGTGTGTGTGTAGAGATTTATATAGCTGATGAACATCAGTCAAAGGGGACCATTTTTCTGTCTGAATGGTGGATGATGGGTGATGTTAATTTTGTTCTTGGTACTTCTCACTATTTTTTTAATTTTCTATTAATAGAAAACCTGGTAGCCCTTAAAGAAAATACACTGTTCTCATAGGCAATAGAGGTTTAAATGAAGAAAATCCCAGAAAGCAGTGTTCTTTCCTGCTGAGTTTAGCGTTCAACATAAACAAAAAACTGATAGCCCCCTGGCAGGATTATGTAGGGTTGGACAGAACGATGGGTGAAAACGTCTGGCGTGAGATAGACAAGTTGGCCAAGGTGGTTGTTCTCTGAGATCTCCCTAATGACACCACACACACACACACACACACACACACACACACACACACACAGTGCCTCTTGCTACACCACACTGATCTAATCCAATCCAGTCTCTTGGGAGTTTGAGATTAGACAGACACCAAGAGTTGAGACTGGGGCATGGGAAGGCAGGTCCCCGAGAGAGGGACACCTGGCCACAGAAGGGCCAACTCAGTGCCCCAAGGTCACCTCTGAGCCCATGAAATGCGTCTCCTTCCAGTACTTCCCACTTTTAGTTACACCGAGATTAAACTGATAAACCAGAATCCATTTCTGTGGTTTGTAACCAAAAGAGCCTCACCGGTGCCCAACCGCTTTGAAGAAGTTAGACTCCTTTCCCAGCTTTGTCCATTTCTTCCCCGGCACATCTGTTCTCTCAGCAAGCGAGGCTGGAAGACACACCATTGGCAGAGCACTGTGCTCAGCGCCTTTTAGACTTTCACGTGGAGTAATATCACGTCGAGGTCTTGCCGTTGAGGTTGTCGTAATGCAGCTACAGGAGTTGTGTGGGCTCTTTAAAAATGACATGAAGCAGGGCACAGTGGCTTACGCCTATAACCCAGCACATAGGGAGGCCAAGGCAGGCAGATCACTTGAGGTCAGGAGTTCGAGACCAACTGGCCAACATGGTGAAACAGCGTCTCCACTAAAAATACGAAAAGTATCTGGGTGCGGTGGTGGGTGCCTGTAACGTCAACTACTCAAGGGGCTGTGGCAGGAGAATCACTTGAACCCAGGAGGCGGAGGTTGCAGTGAGCCGAGATCATGCCACTGCACTCCAGCCTGGGTGACAGAGTGAGACTCTCTCTCTGAAAAAAAAAAAAAAAAATGACATGAAACTGACTCATCAGAGCTCCATCAGGCCACGGGCTACAAATGTGGCTGGGCCACGTAGACAGAAAGACACACGGCCCTGGTGTAGGAGAGGAAAACACACTGTTTTCAGGGAGGTGGAATTAGGGGTTTCCCTGTCCCTTCTCTCTCAAAGCCTTTTCCAATGAATCTAGAATTTTTAGTTTCTTAATAATGTTCCTGTTGCTCTTCCATCTGGATGCAAAGGAGATCTATTCACGACATCTCCAAGAATGAACTCCATAAGAGCAGCAGAGTGGTCAAGGCCTACTTTCCCAGGGGTTCATTTTCTTTTTGCCTTTTTTTTTTTTTTTGAGACAGAGTTTCACTCTTGTTGCCCAGGCTGGAGTGCAGTGGCACAATCTTAGCTCACTGCAACCTCTGCCTCCTGGGTTCAAGGAATTATCCTGCCTCAGCCTCCCAAGTAGCTGGGATTACAGGTATCCACCACCATGCCCGGCAATTTTTTTTTTTTTTAAGTAGAGACAGAGTTTCACCATGTTGGCCAGGCTGGCCTTGAACTCCTGACCTCAGGTGATCCACTCGCCTCGGCCTCCCAAAGTGCTGGGATCACAGGCGTGAGCCACCGTGCCCGACCAAGGTTCATTTTCAATGCTGTTGACACGAAGGCTAAGATCACAGGGGAGGTCACAATTTTAGGATCTCAGCTTTTAGAATGCTGTCTTTTTAACCCCTTCAGCATTTCCATCTTATTGGAAAAGGGCAGGCAGGAGGGCAGATGGGAGGGAGGGAGGCAGTTGGGCTTTCTTCCTGTCCAGGGGCCAGCTCTGCCTTCCTGGTCCTCACTCCCAGCCCCACTCCTTCCTTCCCCTGTTCTGTGCCTCTCCTATCTACTCCTTCCACATCCCTAGCCACCTCACAGGCTCTTCATGGGGCTCAAGTGAGATAATGCAGGGTGTGAAATTCTTTGTCAATGAACGCATCAACTCTACGTTCCATTTGCTGTCATTATCTCCTGTATCTTTGTTCCACTTGTGCAGGTGATTTGTCCCCCCGCCAGTCCCCGTCCCCTCACCCCCAGTTTCATGGATAAGGACCAGCTGTAGACTCTGCCAGGCCCTGGGCAGTGTTGGTATCGTGCTTGGAGGTGCTGCTCAGTTATGCAACCCACCCTCCTCCCCCAGCCAGAGCCACAAAGCCACTAGGGCACTGTACCAGTTTGTTTATTTATTTATTTTTGAGATGGAGTCTCCCTCTGTCACCCAGGCTGGAGTACAGTGGCACGACCTTGGCTCACCACAACATCCGCCTCCCAGGTTCAAGCGATTCTCCTGCCTCAGCCTCCCGAGTAGCTGGGATTACAGGCGCATGATGTCACGCCTGGCTAATTTTTGTATTTTCAGTAGAGTCGGGGTTTTACCATGTTGGTCAGGCTGGTCTCAAACTCCTGACCTCAGGTGATCCACCTGCCTTGGCCTCCCAAAGTGCTGGGATTACAGGTGTGAGCCTCTGCTCCCAGCCCCACCGTGTTTAGCTTGGTTAGGCACAGAGCCTTGCATGAACCAGCACCTCGGGGACCCCATGACGAGGTCAGAGCGGGTGAGAGGCACGCACCAGTGTGACTGAGCCACTCGCTGGGACTCTGGGGGCAGCGTGGTGGGGCTTGAGATCAAGGAAGTGCCTGCAAGTGGATTCAACGATGAGACACTTCCCCGGCCCACAGGGTGGAGGGGTTGGCTGGAGGGGTTGCCTGTACTTACCAGAGACGGTCCCCGAGCGAGCTTGATAAGCTGAAAGAGACGCTCAGGAGAGCCCTGACAGAGCTCCCCAGGCTGGAAAGGACAGAACTCCCCACCGGAACTTTCATTTTCAAAGTTCAGCACCTCAGTTAAGTAATTAATAGGTCTGGTCACGTTCACAGCTCTCCAAAAGAGACTGATGGAGCTCTGCTTTTCCTCCGGAAGTGCTTTCATGGCAAGCCCAGAGAAGCCCCCTAGGAGGCAGCCTGTCATCCAATAATCACTTCCTCTCTCAGGCCCAAATTCCAAATCAGCTCAGCAATGGGCAGGGCGGCCCTGAGCCACGTCCAGAGGTTGGGATTTGCTGACTCCTGGAGGATATTCTGAGTATAGCAAGTAAGTGAACTCGCACAAACAATGCGTTCAGCAATGGGAAGAAAACAGCTGTTTTTGTCCGAGAAGTGTCTGGCATACCCAAGACTTCTTAAAGAGAGGAAAATATTAACCTAGAGCATAACAACCCCTTTCTCTTTTCAGTCAAAACCTAGACAGACTGTGTTGATATTAAGTTAACAAGTTCCATGGGCTAATACCTTCCGAATGAAATGAGAGGGTTCTTAAATTAATAGATGAAAACTCCCCTTCATACATCAGAGAACTAAGGAAAGGTAATTGCCCCCAATATTTATTTTCGATTTGGAAAATCCAAAGCAAGAAGGCTTTGAAGAAGTCAAGATCTGATTATAATTCTAGGCTCGGTGCCAATGGGATAAATTATCTGGCAACTTTTTTTGCACAGTTATTGATTCTATTTGTCTCTGACGCCAAGCGCCCAGCATGGCACAAAGCCTCACAAAGTGCTCCGAAAAGGGTGTCATCCCCACACCGTTGATAAGGCTCAGAGTCTCTCCACGGCCATAATGCAACCCCCTCCTCCCCAGGGGGCTGTTGGCACCTCAACCCACTAAGGGATCAGGAAGTAGAGTTTGCCAGTGAGGAGCCTGGAGACTTCAAGCCTGTTTGGCCTTGGTGTTCTTGTGATTTAGTGCCCTGGACTGGCAGGTCTAGGGACTTTTTGCTCTAGACAAACTTTTTAAATAGGCCAGGTGCAGTGGCTCAAACCTGTAATCCCAGTGCTCTGGGAGGCTGAGGTGGGAGGGTTGCTTGATCCCAGGAGTTTGAGGCTGCAGTCAGCCATAATCACACCACTGCAGCCCAGCCTGGGAGACAGAAGAAGACCTTGTTTCAAAAAAAATTTTTTTAATAAATATAAATTTAAAAAATAAAAAATCCCAACACATGCACACACATACATGCACACACATACATGCACACACACACATGCACACACATACATATATATGCATGTGCAAAAGGTATGCCCAAGCTATACTCTCTTTATTTGAGTTTTAATTTACAGAAGTTTTCAACCTGGCCAGGCCTGGAATCATGGAGAATGGGCTGGGAATGGGTCTGCAGAGGTTCCCAAGGACATGTTTGAAAAGCATCCTCCACCTGGGAGAGCTGGGTCAGAATTAGCACACTCTAGGAGAGTTGGGGAACAGCTAAGAGCGGGGCACACCAGCTCGACTAACTGAGCCTGAGCCAGTGGGAAAGTCCTCATAGCAGTGGTCACTGGAGCACGAAACAGGGACATGGCTGGCTGGGGCTCCTTCCTCCGCCCCTCCCCAAGCACAGGTGGGCATGCCGTGGTGGGGCTGGGAAAAGGCCTATGGCCAGGGAAGCGCAGGATGACAACAAAGGAATGGTCAAGGCCTAACAAACAGAAACAGCGATGCAAATTGCCTAGGAGATGGAGCGGCAGTCACTGGAGCTGGCGTTGCCCAGACTTTGGTTGGCTTCAGGGTGACAGTTCAAGAAGGCAGCTCCTCCTGTGGGCCAGTGAGCTTGCTCCAAGAGCAGCCCTTTCCAGCTGACGCCCAGAGTGACCCAAAGGCTCTCCCGGAAAGTCCGGTTCTAAGACGATACAGCTGCCCGTCATGGAGCAACCTGCCCAAAACCACAGGGGGAAAAAAATCCAATAACCAAATCCCGGTGACCACACCCTGTCTGCAGTTACTCAGAACTCACTGGCCAAGGTCCAGGGAGCAGACCGAGTCAGGCTGAAGTCTATCCACATTTAATTTTCAATTGAAAATGGAAACAAGTCAAGCCAAGACAAACCCAGGGCCTGATTTAACAGCATCTACTGCCATGGCAAAGACATTGTCATGTGGGGTGCCACAGATCAGCCACCACCACCCCAGGGAAAGGTTGACACCACCACATCCAGACACTTTTCACTCACCTTTCATATAGAAGCTCATCCACTGCATAGCAGCTCAATGGTATTGTTACTGTTATGTTCTTTTTACAGGTGAGAAAACTGAGGCACAGGTTAAGTGACTCACTAAGCTCTCACTGTAAATGGTGGGGCAGGTTTGAACCCATGTGTCTGGCTCTTTGGTTCTACATGCGTTAATTCTGATTATAGTGAACGTCTGAATGGCTAGAAATATTTGGAGATTGTGCCCGGATGACAGCTGCAGAGAAGTGACCGTGGCTGACCCTGGACAGCAGTGCTTGGTCTTGCTGGGAATCGTCAGGTCCTCTGCCAGGCTTTCCTGGGGAGCACCAGGTGAAGTATCATGGATTTGAGGTCCTCTGTACTGGAGGCAGGACGCAGACACCAAGAACACCTCCAGGCAGGTGCTGATTCGCCGGCGGAACATTTGCAATGTGCTCACCCCTGTTGTGGGTAGGGGATGTGGGAATATTTGCACTATTGGGTTATACAGGGCTCAGAGGGGAAGGCATCGTGGAAAAGGATTTGGCTTGAGGAAGGAACACAGGAGACATGGCCATGCCATAAGAAGGAAGATGCCTCCCTTTAGATCAGGATTTGACATCAGAAAAGAAGAGATCACTCCAGTGAAGGGCCAGGAGACCTGCCTCCCAGGGCAGAGAACTCCCCGCTCCAGCCCCTCCTGGGGGGACCCTCTCCAGCTGCAGACCCCATGGTGGGTGATCAGGGATGTGATACCTTAGATGGGTCCCACATCCCCTTCAGACGCTAATGGTGTTTGGCTTTAGCCGACAATGCTCCTCCAGGGTGTGGCCTCATTTCCAATGTCCAGCGTCCTGGAGTCTCGAGGTAGAACCTTGAGGACTACCCTTGTTGCCCAATCTCATGTTTCCCTCTAAGGGAAAGGCTCATGTCCCCACTGCCAGGCAGCCTCTGACACAGGGGACTCTTGTAAGCAAGTCAACACACAGCATGGATGTGTGGAGGGACTCAGAGGTCTCTTGGTTGTGTCCCCTGTATCGAATCCCGCTTGCACAAGGAACTTGACTTCTCTGAACATTTATTTCCTCCTCTAAAAGATGGCCACCATTAGGCTGGGCACCTATGTTAAGTAGAATTTTAAAAGATTGATTTAGTGAAATATATACAATAATAATAGGCTTGGCCCAGGGTTTGCAGGGAGAGCGCGAGCTTTGGGAGGATGCGACACATTTTTGGGTATTAGAAGATGACAGCAGGCAGAAGCAAGATACCCTAGAGGATAGGCCAGGAGGTCCCCTCTGAAGTCTGCCTGTCTGGAGACTTGCAAGGCAAGAAGCAGGTGAACGAGAAACAGGTGAAGGTGGAAACAGCTCTCCCCTCCTGGCGACTCCTCTCCTGGGGTAGCCGGTGCTCCTGGGTGTGTGTTGAGCCTACTGCGTAGAACTTGGTCTGATCAGATACAAAGGGAGAAGCAGGAGTGACAGGCACAGTGGAAAGCTGAGCACCCCACAGACCTGAATTTGTATCTTTGTTTAGATGCTCACCAGCCATGGACCTTCAGACAAATTCTGACTTCCCATCTGCAAAGTGGGGTCAAGAGTCCTTAGAATGTTTGAGTGAAGAACACAAGATAGAATGCATTAAATGCCTGGCACACAATCCATCCATTCATCCTTGGGTTTTCCCTCTTTTTTTCATACTTATTTCTATTTGTATTTTTTAGAAATAGTGTCTTGCTCTGTTGCCCGGCTGGAGTGCAGTGGCGAGATCATAGCTCAATGCAGCCTTGACCTCCTGGGCTCAAGCAATTCTCCCACCTCAGTGAGGGGGTCCATGTGTGTTCCAGCATGTGTGCATGTTTTGGAGGAGAACCTTTCAAGAGGTTAAGAGCCACTGCTCTGAAAACAACTTTTCCCTCAAAGACCACCACAGTCAGGCATGTAGTATGTCTTGGGGGTGGTCCCGGTATAGCAGTACCTGGGGGTACATGAGTGTGCAAAAGTGGTGGCATTTGTGGCGGCATGAGAACACACCAAGTTGGGCTAAACCTTACTTTTACAAGTAATATGCACCAGGCTCTTGTTACCAAGCACTTTTGGAGCACTATCTTCCTGTGTGCTAATATATCCAAACACTGGCCATCGCAGATATTTTTGTTAATAGATCTATTATGCAGGCGGAGGCCTTGACAATCAGAGATTTTGTGGCTAGTCCAAGATTGCTCAGCTGGTAGCCTGGTGGCCTGTTATGCAGAACCCCTGCCTTCAGGTGACACTTGGTCCCACAGGCTTGGTGAGGGGCCTCCAGTCTGAGCTACTCACTCAGTTGGTGGAGGTGACAGAAAGGAGTCCACGACAAGGATTCTACAGCTTCCCTGGCTGGAGGAACACCTGGTTTCCTCCAGGTCTCCCACTATTCTCTCTTGCTCTTCTCTTAGACCAGATACTGGTGTCAGTGTCTTATTTAAAAATTGCTCCTTTGAATAAACATTCTGGGTCCTTGGCCAGAAGGCAACAAGTGCAAACTTGGTAATGGCTCAGTGCCCACCATCCTCCTGAACTCCCCACACCACACAACAGAGTCCTTTCTATCCAAGCAGTAATCACAGAAGGAAATTGGTTTGCTCGAAGAGAGAAAAGGTCTCTGATGTGAAAGGCAATGGGAAAAACAGGACCATGAGATGAATCGATCTCTGGATGGCCTCAAAGCTAACGTGCTTGAGGGGAGCAGGATTGGGAATGGTAAGCTACCAGGACAATGTGGAGAAGGAAGAGAAGGGAGAAGGATGGAAAGTAGGGAGAAGCAGAAGTTTAAAAGTGGTTGCTCTCTGCTGGGAGAGCCTGCCAAGCTGGAAGCACAGATCCCCCAGACCCTGGACATTGGAGTTCCTTCCTCTGGGGAGCAATGGGCAGGCGTATGCTGCTGACCTTGTTCTCATGACCTGCATGCCCACAGCCAATGTGTTGTTGATGGAATCTGAAAGGCTGGCACTGGAAGATGCTTAGTGAACGGTGACATGGCCCATTTCAGAGACAAGATTGAATTGAGCCCTTTAAAGCAATGGAAGGGAATGCTGGACTGGGAGAGCCCCAGGAGGTAGAGACCACATCTTATTCATCTTTTTATTTTCAGGGTCTACCTCTGGTATGTAAATTGATGGATGGATGGATGGATGGACGATGGGGCAAATTGATGAGTGGATGGATGGATGGATGGATGGATGGATTTGTAGATGTGTGGGTGGATAGATGGATGGGTAGATAGGTGGGTGGATGGATAGATGGATTAATGGACAGGTAAATAGGTGGGTGGGTAAATGGGTGGATGGATGAATTATGTGGTAATTTGGTGTGTGGATGGATGGATGGTTGAATGGATGGATGGGTAGGTGGATGAATTATGTGGTTTGGTGGGTGGATGGATGGATGGATGGATGAGTGGGTAGATGGATGGAAGGTTAGATGGGTGGATGGAGGAATGGATGGATGGATAGATGGATGGCTGGTTGGATGAATGGACTGGTAGGTGAATGCATGAATGGATGGATTTTTTAAAAAGGAAGTCAAGGGTAGATTCACTTCTGATGTACTCTAGGCCTCTTTCCTCAAGTATCAAGTAAGGCAGGTCAATTTAATTATCTCTAAGACCACTCCATGCTTTGTCATTTCATATTTTTATGGTCTCATGATTCTAAGCTGCCCAGGACCCAGGGCTGATTTATGGGGCAAAAGAAGTAAGTGTCAAAGTATCTGTCACCACTTAGCACCAAGGAGGTAAGATTCCTTAAAAAAAAAAAATCAGATAGAGCAAAAGAGTACTGTCTTCTGAGACCGCAAAGAGGCTGATGGCACTTCTATTCATGCACCCAAAGGTTCTAGGGCCTGAAGTGGCCCCCCACCCTCTCTAGCCCCCCTGTGAAGAAAGATGCTGGTTTGGGGCAGCACAACACCTGCAGAGATGCTAACGCTGTTCTCCTGCCCTCACATAAAAAATGCCAGTCCCAGTCAACAAGGAAAGATCCTGACACTTTTATCAGCATTAGAAGCAGTTCCCCAAAGGTTGATGCTCAGTGAAGCCCCAGGATCCATGATCTCAGAGGTACTTACAGAAATTTTCACCAAGTGGAGCAAACATAATTTTAAAATAAATAAATAACATGTCATTATACCCTAAAATGATTTCTAGGTAATCCTTAAACACAGCCTTTAAACTATATATTTAGCAAAAAGGAGATGGAACTAAAATGGTTTGAGTGCTGTGTAGTTTGGGTCTTCCAGAAACAGATACCAAGATGGGATTAGACACCTGAGGGATTTCTTGGGAGACACGGTCTGGAAGGGGCCAAGAAGGTGGGAGAACCCTCAAGCTATGGTGCAGGTCTGGCCCTGTGAAGGTCAGAGGGAAGGAGGAGGAGGAAAGGAAGGAAGCTTGTCTAGACACTGCAGCACAGCTCCAAGAAAGTTCTAGCAAGGCTCAGGGAGAGTCCTTGAGCCACAACTGTCTGTCAGAGAAATCCCACATCTCTCTGGAATGGGCCTGTCTTCGCATCCCTGTAGGGCCCAGTCACCACCTGGGAGCAGCTGTGGTAAGTGTGACCTCCAAGCAAACCCACTAGTGGATCCAAAGGACCAGTAGATGGGCTCATCCTCCACCCGGGAAGCACACTTTCACAGCTGCCATGAGTACTCTGTATGGGGCCAGAGACTTCCTAAATGTCTCCTTCAATCCTCACCTATTGCTGTTGCACATTGGTATTACTAGCCCATTTTGCAGATGAAGAAACTACATTTCAGAAAAGTTAAAGTACTCAGGGATTGTAAATGACCAAGCCAGGACTTAACTCTCTATAACTGGCTCCCAAGGCCCTGCTCATCACATCCCAGTCTCCCTGGTCACCAGAGCCCTGTACTGAGAAGAGGAGTCTGGGGTTAGCTTTTGAGAGATGGCAGAGTGAGGTCAGAGTGTTGAATGTAGGGAGCAAGAAGCAGAGGAAATGAAGAGAAATGCTCTCTGGGTTAGAGGATGGAGGTGACACATTGACCAGCAGATGCGGGCAGCTCAAGCATCCCCACCTCACAGCCGTCTTGGGTGAAGCCTCTTGCCCTCTCCTGATTCAATACTTAAATAAGGACCATCCAGGCATCGTGAGAACCATGGCAGGGAGAGGTGCTCATATGTGGTTCCTGGGATGAGAAGGAACGCAAGCTCTAAATCTGTGCTGTTTGCAAACTAGAGAAGGCGGCTGGCCTTCTGAGGATAGCCTTTTTCCTGGGCTACAGCCTGCCCGAGGGCCAAATTTCCTTCCCTGGTCTTGCAATGATGGATGGAAGGACACTGTGCACTCAGTTGTCCCTCCATGATGATCAGATGGTAAACACGGCTGCTGAGCAGTGTGGTCTTGCTCTCCCTGCTCTCACCAGCCTATGCTCGCAAAGGCAGAGAATTGCTCTTTAGATTTAGGGGAAGTGGGAAAGGCAGGAAGAAGGAAGAGCTGTTCGCTTCCTCCATCCATGCAGAGAGAGATGTTCACATGGAGGCCATGACATCAAATTGTGAATGCCACACATTTTCAGGGGATTAATTGACCTCAATTTAGGAGCAATAAGATTCTTCAGACTGAAGCAACTTGAAAGGCACTTTTACAGGTACCTGTAGAAATTTTTAATGGAACAATCAATGAGCTGTGATTCTTGCCACATTTGCTGTCACACTGCCTCCAAGGATTAAACCTTGGGGTGACCAGCCACCCCCGCAACTCTAATGAGATGGGAAAGAGCCAAAAAAGAGACCTTTCAACCCAAGCCCTGCTCTGCATCACAGGCAGCTTTTATCTCCATAATTAGAGGGCTCGTCATGCTTTTAAATAAACTACTGGAGCCCAGGCTGGGCACTCAGAGGGGAGCTGACTGTGGGGAGTCAACAGTGGGGAGTGTGGAGGAGTGGGATCTCACAGCCTGTCCCTGGGACGGTGGGAAGTGAGGTATCCTGGGAAACAGAGGCCTTCCACAGAAGCTTCTTTCCAGATAGGGAAAGGTGTGTGGACTTCGGCAAGTCACTGATTTTGTGGACATTACGGGAAATTACTGCATTTTTCATTTATCCTTAAATGTAAACAAGTAACATGGAGGTTCCAGATGCATTTTTTTTTTCCTTTTAGGAGACAAAACCAGAACTCTTTAAATCCTCTTTCTTAAACATAGGAATAGATATTCAAATTCGATTACACTGAGATTGGGAGAAAAATGCAGAGTTGGGTAACTCACTCTTTGGTGGAGGCTGTGGGACTCTTGTGTACCGCCAGTGAGCATGTGAATTGGCACAACCCCTGCAGAAAGAAACAGAGTGATCATTAACAAAACTACAAATCCACATGCCCTCTGACCCAGTCATTCATCTTCTGGGAATTTGTGCTGCCGAGACACTTTTAAGATGACATGTGTGTGAGATAATTCATGGCAGCTTTGCTGGTGATGGCAAATACTTGGAAACAAACCTAGATGTCCATCAAGAAAGGATTAGTTAAATAAAGCATGCTAGATTCAAACAACTACTATGCGGCTTTAAAAAGGAATGAGGAAGCTCTCTGTGTACTGATGGGGACAGAAGTTCCAGGACATTTTGTAAGGTGGCTGAAAAACAAGGTACAGAATATTGTGTATAGGATGTTACCTTTCATGTAATAAAAGGGGGAGATAAGAGTGTGTGTCATATTTGTTTGTATTGGGATACACATATTCTAGAATACATATGCCTCCACAAACAAAGAAGTCATCTGTGGGAAGGGAGCCCAGGCCGATGGGGGAGAAGTAAAAGAAAGGAAACCCTTTTAGACTTTTAGATTTTGAAGCAATGTGAATGTCTAGCATGTTGAAAATTTTCAATGAACAAACTGATCTGCCTTAGATGAAAATATCCAGAATAGGCAAATCTCTAAAGACAAAATGCAGATGAGTGGTTGCCAGAGTCCAGGAGGAGGGAGGAATGGAGAGGGACTGTTTATTGGGTACAGAGTTTCCTTTAGGGGTGATGAAAATGTTGTGGAAGTAGGCAGTGGTGAAGGTTGCACAACATTGTGCATGGACTAAATGTCAATAATGGTAAATTTTATGCATGTATATTTTACCACAATAAAAGGTAAAAGCCTATTTGTCATAATGGCTACATTTCAAATTCCATAGGAGGATTTCACTGGAGCTTCATTGTTAATTCAAGAATTCTCCCTTCTGTCTCTAAAGCAAACTCGGAGACATTTAGAGTTCAGACAGGATCCACTAAAGGGTATTTCCGAAGTTCTGCTCATTTCAGAAAGCTGGAGTGCAAATCTGCATTCCAGGCATAAACTATGAGCTCTTGAAAAACATGGGCTCACGGGAACCCCTATTTCCCTGAATTCATCAAAAGCTAGAAGCCAATGAGTGCACGGCAGTAGGGGTGGGATGGGGCCAAGGGAATTAGTCAGTGGCTTCCTGAGATGCCAGATGCTGGAAAAAACAAGGATGTGAAGCCATGGTATGTCCCCGGGGCACTGACCCACCGGGTGCAGGGACTGTTGAAGAGACAGAGGAAAATGTGACTTCCACAGAGCAGAGAAGCAACTAGGTAACCAAACACACAGACCCAAAGACAAGACATCTTTATTTTCAGGGATGCTGGTGTCCATCTGTCAGAGCCCTGAGCAGGTCCAAGTCTGCATCACCATGCCTGGCACTCCACAAAGTTCCATGTCAAACTGCTGGTTAATTGAGTTACCAGGTTACCTGGGCAGACAGATGATTACGTATCATCAACTAAGCACTAATGGGTTAGGAACATAATCAACCCATTCGAGTTGGGAAAAGGAAGTCAGAGCAGAAAATTCCGAGGTTGAGCCTATGTTCATGACCTCCCAGTAAAAATTCGATTTCTGGATATGGCTGTTGGGGAGGTTAGTTTATAGAACAAAACTTTTCAACATATTATCTCATTCATTCCTCAAAATTAACCTATGAGTAAAGGCTTCTGTGTTATTGATTAGGCAACCAATATTCTAGGATTTAAAAGTGGCTTCCCCAACTTGCTCAGCCTGTCAATTACCAGACGTTAGCTTGAAATCCTTATCTTTCTCCAACATACTATTCCATCTTCCACCATGATTCTGAATGGTGTGTGTGTGTGCACATGTGTATGTATGATCCAGTCTTCATCGCTTATTTGCTGCATGGCTTCGAAGATATTATTTGTCCTCTCTGTGATTCAGTTTACTCACCTGTA
The DNA here is from genome assembly GCF_000001405.40 of Homo sapiens. Lineage (NCBI taxonomy): Eukaryota > Metazoa > Chordata > Mammalia > Primates > Hominidae > Homo > Homo sapiens. Next base: position 34,735,500 of record NC_000021.9, on the reverse strand, counting down.
AGTGGAGACAACAATAATGCCTCCTTCGTAGGAGGATAATTGTGGGCATGACACAGAGAATGAATTTGAAGCAGACATAGAGGGCCTGTGACCACAGTAAATCAATGCTAGCTGGGATTATTTCAAAAATAATGCATAGTTGTAACTGCAGTAAGTTCTCTCTTATCCAGCATGGTTGAAAACAAAGTTTCCTGATTAAGAAAAAATGCTGATAACTATATTTGTCACATATATCACAAGTGCTTATGTTTCAGAAATTTAAACATAATAAAATATGCTGGAGTTGGATGCTCGATAGATGCTTTTCTTGGACAATCTAGAAGGCCTTTGGGCATCTGGTGGCACCTTATAATGAATACCAATTTAATTTCCATGCAACTATACAGGTCTATAAAATGATACAGGCAGTGGAAATGGGTCACAGAGAATTTACGGTTACAATGTGAAAACGTCAACCCAACGCCATGGTCTACTTCGTGCTTGGAAGCAAAGCCTGGCCTGGATGCGGTATGCACTCATGACTCAACCTTCTGTTGTCACTTGCTGTTTTTGGATTCTTCCAAGTTCAGAGTCAACACAAAACTCTTCCTTTAAAAGAACAGCTTGGCCCCAGGAGGCTGCTGAGTGACATGTCAAGCTGTCCTGAGAGCACACTTGTTTCCCAACCACCTGAGTCATGACAAATTGCTTGAGGCTTGTACCAGAGTAAAGTCTGAAAATAGTTCTTCTCGCCCTCCCTACCAGACAGATGCTTCCAGAATCAATCACCGAATGGTGGATCTACAGCCAACCACCCATTCTCTTCAGTCACTGAGGCAAGTACCTTAGGGGTCCTCATAATTTAGGGAGAAATTCAGTCTCATAACTTCTCATAAATCTCCTAAGAGAGCACAAGGCCTCTCCTCCAACCTGGTCAATCTCCTTATTCTTTCTACAACTCACTAGGCCCATTTCTACCACCTGGTTGCTAATTCTCTTCTCCTATTGATATTCCCAACCTCATCTCTATAGGCCAAAGCATTAGCAAACTCATATCGCCCGTGGTGTCTGCATCATTCCAAAATTCCGTCATATTTTGCCTTACTTCTCAGTATCAAAGCCTCCTTGGTCTATGTTGTGACTCCTATGAGCTCCTTGAAGGAAGGATCTTTGTTCAATATGTCCTTCTGATCCATATGGTGCCTAATATGGGAATGGGCATTCAAGATTAAGTGTAGAAATGAATAAAAGAATCAAGTGTGATAGAGATCATTGGTAAGCACTCAACTCTTCTACAAATGATGAAAAATACTGAACTGTCCCACAAAAGGTTTAATTTAGCACGGCACAGAACACTGTTTCTCAAACCGTAGCAAGTATTTGAATTCCCTAGAGGGCTGGTTAAAGCAGAGATTGCAGAGCTTCTGACTCAGTAGGTCTGGATGGGGCTTGATAATTTGCATTTCTAATGCTTTCCCAGATGATATGATGCTGCTGGTCCAAGGACTACATTTCGAGAACCCCAACCACGCATGGATTGTTGTCAACTATGAATCACAAGGTTTGAATACTAGTTCCAGCATTGCTGTATGTGGCCAAGGGACCTAGGGCAAGTAATTTAAGCTCTCTGGGCTTCTTCAGCTGAAATTTGTCTTGTATAATTGCTAATGTTGCCTTTATCTCCAAAGTTATCTGAGCAGAAAAGGTCTAAAGTACCCTTCCTTGTGTCATCTGCAGTGCTATCATCTTCATGAAATCTTAGGCAGCAAAGGCACCAGTCAGAACAGCAACCACTTTTCAAATCTTGAACTCACAGAGATCAGCCCCAAGTGATGGGCCAGGAAAGAGCTCAGTAAAAGAGGAGAAAACTGAGGCCAGGACTCAGGAAACTCACAGGGGCAGGAGATCCCCTTGAAGGAGGCCAGACCAGATTCTAGTATGGACTCAGAGCCTGATCTAAGTTGAGATGCTGTCCCTGTGCAGCAAGTCCTGAAGGAGTTTTTTAGGAAGCTAAAGTTGCGGGCTCCACAGAACCCAGTGTTGGCTCCATGGCCAATGCCCCAAGAGAGATGATCCTGGGACCAGATATAGAAAACGGGTCCTTCTCCTGTCTCTAGAATAGATCAAAAAATTGTACCTTTGTTTTTCTCTTTGGCATCTCCAAGGATGCGTTTCACTCAAGAATGTAATCTTCACCCATGACTGAGTATATGAAGAGGTATCCGTCCTCGGACATACTCAAGTGGGGAGAATTACCAGGACTGGTTCCATATCCTCAAAAGGAAAGGGCAAATATGGAATATTGACATACAGAGATGACAAGCCAGCCCCCATGGTTGTCTTTAGGAGACGATAATGTAAAAATTAGGGCCTTGGCATTCTTGACACTGACACCCAATGTATTTCATGTAAGACCCATTCTTAACTTTTGTGTTGAGCCAGATTTCCAGGGTTTTGTCTGCTGCCTTCCCTGCAAGCCCTGCCATCCACTGAGACCCAACCTCAGCCATTCTTGGCACATCAGCCCATGAGAAGTCTGCCACTCTTTCTTCCTAAGCAAAGCAGCATCCTTCAGGGCCTGGAGCTCCTGGACACAAAAGCCATTTTTGGGAGGTAAGTAGTGTAGCTCTCAACTAGTGGGTTAAAAGGAGGGTTGATGTTCTTTGGTCTTAAACATTTTCTCTTAGTCACGCCCATCTCTATTCTGGTTCTTAAAAAAGTTTCTCAATTAATTTAGAAAGTTAGTGACTAACCAGATAACCATCAACATAATGAACACGTGTGTTACACCTTGCATTCCTATGTGTTCTCTCATGTAATCCCAGCTGCTTTGTAATATTAGGTTGGCGCAAAAGGAATTGCTGGTTTTGCCATCTCTTTTCATGGCGAAAACTGAAATTCCTTTTGCACCAACCTAATACTTGCTTTCTCTAAAGATTTATGGTCATTTTTAACAGTGACTCACAATCTAGATGATACAATGGGGAACAGCTAAAAGCACAGAAGGCAGAAATATGACTTATGCCTTTCAAGGCCCTTCCCATGCGTTTTCAACTAGAGGAAGTCAATCAGACTAGATGTTGATAAGGGTCCCCTTATCCACATCTTGGCTTGTGCTTGGCTATGGCTTCAGAAGCAACCTAGATTCAAAGAGAACCTCCTTCCAGGCTCCCAGGTCGAGGGGCTCTTCCTGAGGAGGTTTTTCAGGGACAAACGGTATCTGGGACAGAGCTAGGCAGTTAACATTAAAAGTATTTTGGAGTGAGATAGCACCCCTTGACACTGTTGCTTAGACAAGGTCAAGATAATTTTTCTTCCATTTCCTCTTGCAATCTCAAAAAGACAGGTGTGATTCTTGTTGGCATTGAGGAGAAAAAGTGGCCTATTCAAGGCCTCCTCCACAACAGACTGACTTGATTCTTCCACTCAGCTCTCTGCCCATAAGGCTGCTCTGCCTCCTGAAGCCTCTTTCTTCATCCTTCAAGGAGTTGTCCAAATGCAAATTCTCCTCCTATTGATGGCTCTGCATTGGTGTCAATTGCTTCTGATGGAAACACTTATTGTATACAAAAACCTAGCCCCAAACCAGGAGAAAACATAATCTTTGCTTGTATCTAGTATTTCCAATTTTTATGCACTTTCCCATTCATTCTCATAACAGTTCCAAGAGCTGGGTAGAAAAGGTGTTTTCCAGGTGAGTAAGTTGAGATTCAGCAAAATCAAACAATTTGCCCAAGGCCACGCAATGTTTTGCCCAGTCATTTTGAGTCCCAGTTCAGGAGGTAGGAGAAAGAAAGATGGGGAATAAGACTGGTAAGATTGGTCTTAAAGAAACATCTACAACTGTTTGGTAGCCTCAATACCCACACTAACCATACTTATATGCCTCACCCAAATAAGGTGAGCCAAACTCTGAAAGCATTTGAAAAAGGAAAAATGCTTTATCCCTGAATAACCCTTTCTATTGTTTTAAAAGTTCTGGAAAACAGTGAACACTGTAGGATTACTGCTTGTGGATAATCATCCAAATTGATCCAAAATGTTCTTCATTGACTCCTGAGTCAACTCAAGTCAATGTCAATGGAAACCAACATTCACCATCGCACCAAAGCTCATCTCTACCAGGTTAAAGCAGCCATTGTGTGCCCATCTCCCTGCCAAGCCCTACTGATTGCTCTGTTTATTAAATCTCTACTGGCTTCTGTTTTGCATTTTTATATTCTGCCCAACAAAGGATATGCTGTTCTTCACTAAGATCCCTTGATTAAAAATCCAAGACTGAGTCATCTTGCCACTCTCACCAATGCTAAACCCTGTTCCTGGATTCTCATCCACTTCAACTTCCTCCTCCATTCCCCTTATGAAGAGGGGATCTGAAATCCGTATGTTTCATATTGTCAAACACATATGCACATGTATAAACGGTATATCCTGAAGGCCTGAGGATGGGGAGAGGGAAAGTGGGCAGCTGGGACCTGCCATTCTCCTGATATTACATGGTGCCACAAAAATGAGCTTCAGGCATTAGCGAATAATCAGACTCTGAGTTCTAGATCCAAACTTTTACACAGCATGGGAGAGAGCCAGGACTGGCCAGACTCCATTGAGCAAACAGAGAAGGCTCTTGTGATCTCGGGATTTAAGGATTAGATTTCCTGGGGTGGGAAATCACCATTGCACTATCAAGCCCATCAGGAAAACACCTCAGGGGCTTCACCAAAACAGGGAAGCCTAGTATTCCAGGTGCAAAAGGCCCCTGCCTTGGCATTGCGAACATGGTGGTCCCTGAGGGTAGCGTTTCAAATTTTGCCTGTGAGTGCCACTGCGTTTCAAAAGCTTCTCCTCTTTAAAAATGGAAATGAATTGTCAGACTTCTCAGAAATACCGAGTAGAAGCTCTTTCACAGAAAATCAACATCATTGATATCACTCTGATAGGTGATCTAACCAGTTCTCTGGCTGCCGGACAGGGCCAACCTAGGACATCTCCGAGAGAGGAGATGTTTCCTTTATCAAGATCTCCTGAGAGGAAACGTCGTTCCCCCTCATTTCAGCCATTTCGGTGTCTAGTAATTATTCCTACCCGGAAATGTCTTACAGAGCCAAGTCAAATCTCACCTATACTCGTGGAGAACATTTCTTGGATCTGGTCCTCAGGACAAGGTGGGAACATGTTATTCTGTGAAGATCACATTCACAGGGAGGCCCAGAAAATGTTCTTATTAATACAGATAGGAATCATTTTATCTGTGAAGACATATTGTGGTTGAAACCATATATTCATTTCTCACCAAGGAAACTGCTTTTATTGCATTCAACTTTAATAATGAGATAGCTACTGAGAACAAAGTCAGAATGCCTTGGTTGTTTTTATCTCTCTCAAAACAAAATAAAAATGTTATTTTGTTCCCAGAACATAAAAACTCAAGAACCAGAATGGTAAATAGTATTTTTTAAATTTTAATTTAATTTTTTAAGACATAATGGCATTGCATTATTTAATATCTGTCCCCAGGAGATGATTTTCTGGTGAAAATTAGCAAACCAACCCAAACTTGAGAGCTGGTCACCTGCCATCTCTTCCTGCTGTGAGATGTTCATGACTTATTTGGAAGTGGCTCTTATGAAAGTTGTAAAGTCATGACATAGCTACACAGGCTGTGTGGAGAATTGTGTGTCATATAGAATCAAGGCATTTTACTGCTAAAAAAAAGAACTCTGGAGACAACGTGTAGGCCAGATTTCTCATTGTGCACTAAGAAGTCTGAGGTCTGGGGACTAGGTCTCTGGCCACGTAGTGTCTGCTCTGACATGTTTCATTTTACAAGGAGGCCTCTCTTGGTTCTTGTGTCCACACAAACCCAGAGTGACATTTTTACCTCCACTCTCCAACTCAGCGTTCTTATTTTGACAGCGATTTTCATGTCCTCGTAATTTAAAATCCATAGGCTTGGCCAGTCGTAGTGGCTCACACCTGTAATCTCAGCACTTTGGGAGGCCAAGGTGGGTGGATCACTTGAGGACAGGAGTTTGAAACCAGTCTGGCCAACATGGTGAAACCCTATCTCTACTAAAAATATAAAAATTAACTGGGCATGATGGTGCACACTTGTAATGCCAGCTACTCAGGAGGCTGAGGCAGGAGAATCGCTTGAACCTGGGAAGCAGAGGTTGAGTGAGCTGAGAGTGCGCCACTGCACTCCAGGCTGGGTGACAGAGCAAGACTCCATCTCAAAAAATAAAAAGCAAACAAACAAACAAAAATCCGTAGGCTTATGACTCTGAAGTGTCTTGCAACACAAGTAAGAGAAACCCAGTCCATTATCCCCACAACTCTTGTCACTTGAAAAACTATGCTTGGTTTGATGCATCATCCAAGAGTATCCATGGCCAAAGGATGGACAATAAAAGATGCATCAAGACATGAAACCACCAAACAGGCATTGATGAATAACACGGGATGAAACTCACAGAGAATCAGGACAAGTTGGTGTCTGTTTTGTTTTTCTAAACTCCACGTAACTCCTCCCAGACTATTTGTTTCTTTCTAAAGATAATCTTTCTTACAGCAGCAGGGACTGTGACCTTTATTATTCCTATTATTATTCTGAATGTGACCCACTGGCTGGGGACTGAATGCAGGGAAGACCAAGGGGGAGAAATCTGTTTACCTTGTACCCAAGACACTTGGCCACCTGCACAACATGAAGCAAAATTATAACAAAGCATTTCATTGACCAACTGCAAAAGAGCCCTTCCTTCTTCTCCACCCTCTCTCCCCACCCTCTGGCAAAAGCTGAGTAAATAGGTACATTTGGTGCCAGGACTAGCAGGTCAACAAACTCCTGCTTTGTCAGAGGGACCTGGGACTCAAGTCAAGAGGACTTCGCGGAAATGCCATACTTCCCGCTCCACAGGTGTTTGAGCCTAAGGATTAGAAGTAAAAGTGTCTCAAGGAAACTTGCCAAGAAGATATGCAGCAGACACCTGATGCTAGGGTATGGCCTGGGACCCCCTGAAAAAGTGAGGTTTTACTATCCCAGCTGATCTCAACCCTGGCTTGTGTATTGATGAGGGCGACTTCCCCTGGAAGGGTTATCACAGATCCCCAGACTCATCTCTAGCAGGATAATTTGAAGATGACCCCAAGATTCCTGGGCCTTGGTGTTCATGCCCTGTGTAACTCTCCCACCCTCGAGGGTGGGTAGGACCTATGAATACGATGGAATACCACTCCTCTGATTAGCCTGCATTATAGGGCAAAGGGGAAGGGATTTTGCATATGTAACTGAAGTTCCTTATCAGTTGACTGTTTTGGGACATTATCCCCTATCAGCCTGATTTCATCGGTTGACTTTAAGTTAATCAGAGTGGAGACTACCTATCCTGGGAGGGGCTGACCTAATCATGTGAGCCTTTTGAAAGAAGGTCTAGAGGTCAGAAACGGAGAAAGTCGGAAAGATTTGAGGCAGCAGAGACATTCTCCCATTGGCCTTGAAGAAGCAAACTGCCATGTTATGGAGAAGGCTGTGTGGCAAGCGAGTGGTCTCTCAGAGCTGAGACCCTCAGTCCCACAAATGCAAAGAGCAGAATTCCATCAGCAACCAGTGAGCTTGGAAGCAGACTTCGAATCTCACTCACATCAGAATCACAACCCTGGGCTGACCTCGAGTTTAGCCAGTGACACCCGAAGCAAAAGTCCCAGCTACTCCTCGCCTAGATTCCTGACTCAAGGAAGCTGTGGGATGATAAATACAAGTTGTGTTAAGCCACTAAGTTTGTGGTTACATGACAGAAAACTAATGCGACATCCTAGGAACTGCAGAGAGGAAACGTACCCACATTTTCTCCATATCCATGTTTTCTAGACCCACTTTTCCCCTCAAGGTGAATCCTCAAAGTCAAGGCTTGTTTTATATACAGGCCTGATGAATTGCTGCATGGATGAGAGGCAGGTGGTGGGGGTCCTGGGAAAGGCTCATAAGATCTCTGGCTGTTGGGGTCATCAAAGGTCTGGTTGATCATGTAGAATGTGTTCTAGGAAAAGAAGCTCATTAGATCTTGTAGGTGATTAATCCTTTGATGTTAGACAATCGAATGATTAGACATTGCTAATTTAGACACAGACTACATTAATGTCCTAAATTTAGGAGTAGCTGTACCAGAAAGCAACATGTCTACCAAAAATCCCTAAAGCAAGTGGCTAGCAATGTCTGAACTCAGAATCAGACCTGGGGCATGAGCTGCAAGGAGCATGATGCATTCCTATGCCTGGGGGACTATTCTCATATGTTATTACTGATGCTAAACCTGTCTCTCTCTGGCTTAGCGTTTAGAACTTAACAGCTGGAAACTGCATAGCAGATTATGTCATCTAGTTCCTGCACTTAACAAATGAGGAACTGAGGTCCAGAGACATTAGCTGCTTTTCCCAGAGCCACACAGCCAGAAGTGACAGAGGCAAGACCAAAACTCAAGTCTTTCAGCTACTTCCCATCTGCTCACCTTTCCTGTAGCACAAAATGAGCCAATGGTTGCCTGTAGGGTAAATCACCAATGCTCTCCAACAGGGCATCCATTTCGGGTCTTGCTTCAGTCTGAACCCAGCTGTCCTTGCTGTGCCTGGAAACAGGACACAGCTCTCCTGACAGCCCAGCTTTCCTCTCATGTTAGCTGTGCTATCAGCTCTAGCATCTTTCATTGCTAAGCAATGACGAGGTGATTCAGCTGTCTTGAGACCCAAACCTTACCGAGTGGCTTAGTTTCCTGTGGCTGCAGTAACAAAATACCACAGACTGGGTGGATGAAAACAACAGAAGCGTATTATTCTCTCACTGTTCTGGAGGCCAGGAGTCTCAAATCCAGGTGTCAGCAGGGCTGTGCTCCCTTCAAAGGCTGGAAGGAAGAATCTTTCCTTGCCTCTCCCAGCTTCTGCCGGTTGGTGACCATCCTCGCCCTTCCTTGGCTGTGGCTGCATCACTCCAGCCTCTTCCTCTGTTCTCACATGGCCTTCTCCTCTGTGTGTGTCTGTGTGTCTTCTCTTCTTTTGAGGACATGCGTCACATAGGGCTTAGTGCCCACCTTAATCTAGCATGAGCTCATCCAAACTTACCAGTTACCTTGGCAGAGACCCTTTTTCCAAATAAGATCACATTCAGAGTCTTTGGGTAGACACGAATTTTGAGGGGACTCTGTATAATCCAGTACACTGGGTTTTATATGTGCGCCCAGAGCTAATCTCAACCAACTTCCCCAAGAGTAGAAATACTTGGTAGGTGCAGCCTTCTCTATCACTTCTGTTCGTCGCCCAGTCCCACCAGATGCTGTTTTAACCCATCCCCCAGACATTAGACAGAGCTAGAAATCACTTTACAGAGCATCCAGCCAATGGCTGTTAATCCTGCTCCCCCTGAGAATCACCTGGGGAGAGTTTAACAACACCAATGTCCAAGCCCAGAGATTCTCATTCAGCTGGTCTGAAGTGTGTCATAGGCATTAGTAGTTTTTACAGCCACACCGATGATTCTCATATGGAGCCAGGAATGAAAACCCACCAATTGCTGGGTGCGGTGGCTCACACCTGTAATCCCAGCACTTTGGGAGGCTGAGGCAGGCAGATCACCTGAGGTCAGTAGTTTAAGACCAGCTTGGGCAACATGGTGAAACCTCGTCTCTACTAAAAATACAAAAAAAAAATTAGCTGGGCGTGGTGGCAGACACCTGTAATCCCAGCTACTCAGGAGGCTGAGGCAGGATAATTGCTTGAACCTGGGAGGTGGAGGTTGCAGTGAGCCGAGATGGCACCATTGCACTCCAGCCTGGGCAAAAGAGCCAGACTCCATCCCAAAAAAAAAAAAAAAAAAAAGAGAGAGACAAAAAACAAAAAAAAAATCTAGCCCAAGTTTTTAGTTTTCAGATGAAAGATTCCAGGCAGACGAGCCTTCAGCCATCACTCTTCCCTCCGTCTACTGCCATCAGTAAGCCTTTAAGCCACCAATTCTCCAACTGAAACGTTCTGCCCCCTCTAGATGGGGCAAGGCCCCCAAAGTTGGCAGAACAGAGTCCTTGTGGTGCCCCACACCCTTTACTCATGAGGGAGAAGCAAATAAGACCCCTGCATGACTACTAGGCAAGACCTGCATGACCACCAGGCAAGCGAGGTGGCTGCCGTCACAACCTCCTCATCAGTGAGTGACACACACTCATGACCTCTGGAACGACACAGTGCTTGTGTAGGCTTTGCACACTGTAAACTGCTCTGCAAATGTATATCATCACTCTCATTACTTTATTTGTGGTAGCAGCCCCTCAGCCTCGGCAACTTTGCAAAAGTTCTTAAGTGTATACTTCGCCCACTTATTCATTTGGTTTCCACGATACTTGTTCTTGGGTCTCTTTCTGGCCACTATTCTATTTTCTCATTGGAATTGCACATTTTTTAAAAGCAAGAGCATTTTTGTTGCCTTCTTTTTAATCTTTATGCATTCCAGTACTGTACTCGAAACAACAAATTCTTTCCCTTGCCCAAGCTGGTGAAAATGTGCCAAAGTATGCAGCAGAAAGGTCTGCCCAGCGCCTGAACTACCATCAAAAGACCCAAAGTTTTTCTTGTGAACAATACTGTCTTTTGGGACCAGTAAGTCATTTATGAGCTGAAAAACAACAACAACAAAAACAAAAACAAGCCATTGAAAGATACCAATGGAGGCAAAGCAAGTCCTACCACTCAGCACTGTCCAAGAACTCCAGGCACCTTCCTATCTCATTTTCTCTCTTTCTTGGCTCCAAATGTGGGAGATCCCAAGATCATGAGAAGGAATCATGTGACCAGAAACAGGCCTCTGCAGCTCAGTCAGTGACACATATAAAAATGAAGAGGCAAAGAACCTTAGGAAAATAACTTGTGTTTTTTCTTTTATCTTAGTTCAGTCCACATTTTGGGGAAAATGTATCCAAATGATAAGTATATACTACTCTATACATTTTAAATGATTTAACACATGAAATGACAAGAAAGGGCTGGCTGGAGTCCGGGAAGAGTGTCCAGGCAGGTCTGGGGGCCACTGGCCTCCCCCTATTCACAAATCTCATCACAAAGCAAATTGCAGCTTCCCAGAAGGTCTATGGGGCTTACACACCTGTGGCCTGTGCCACAATCTCCTCTGCCGTTGCCATGGAGTCTCTCTCCTCCCATTTCCTCCCTTCCTTCCTCCCTATCTCTTCCTTACCCCTTCCCCACCCCTTCTCCACACCCCTTTAAGTCCTGTTCCTGGAAACCTCAAGGTCAATCTCTTTTTTAGATTTGGTGGTTTGTTTTTCTGAGCAGAAAAATGTGGATAAAGTCACTCCTGGGCCACCTGTCTGTGAGGCTGTATGGAAGCTGCCTACTGGTTTGAGGAGAGGCTGCTGGGTTCTTTCCTTTACTAAGGATTTGCTTAAGTCAGCCCTCCAGGATCCAAAAAAGAGCCAGAAAAAAGGTAGGCTTTGGTGACAGAGGAGCTGAGCACTGCATTGTGATAAAAGTCACAAACATATCACAGTAAAATCATCACTTTTTTCTTCTTCTCAGCCAGCAAAACAGCTGAGGCACAGACTAGATGGTAGTCCAAGGACCAAGACCTGGCCAGCCAGAGGGACCAGGTGTCCAGACCCCGGACTGTTTTCAATACAGTTATACAATGAAATCAAATAAATGGATGTATTGATTGCTTGGCAATTAATGGGGGAACAATTAATTTGGCCATAGGATAGGGGCTCATCCCCATGGACGCTTGAGTGTCCAGCAGTGATCTCTGTGCTCCCACCAGCAGCGGAACCCCACTTCCTTACCCTCTGACCCCACCATGTGCAGCGCCCCCATCCCTCAGGGTCAGGCGAGGAGCCATAGAGGAAGTTTGGGGGACACAGCCATGGGGTGCAGCGGGGAGACTGCCTTCTCCCACTGACCACCTGCACAGGCTGCCCTGGGCCTTCTGGGGCAGGAGCTATGAGGACAGGTGGGCCCAGGGAGGTGTGCTGGCCCCAAGAGCCAGGGCTAGCAAGGAAAGGAAGCAGGAGTCTCGGACCTCAGGATCCAGAACCTTGCCCCTTCCATCAGCTCCTTACCCATCTCTGAGCCATGGGCTCCTGGGTTTGGAGAGGGAAGGTTTCAGAGTGGTCAGAGAGTTCTCTCCAACTTCTGAAGTACATGAGGTGGTGCCCAGCTACTCCCCCAACACTGTCTGTTTTCACAAAAAGAAAATGGGTGAGAGGTACCAAGAGCAAGTTGTCTTCGAGTTAGGCGTGACAAGGGCCTTCTTGTCCTTGAAGGTATTTCCATGGCAAAACAGAAAGCCACAGGACAGAGGGGAGCTCCTCCTCCTCCTGCAGACACTCCTTAGCACATCAGAAAACACAGCCTGGGTGTGGCCGTCCTGGAAGCTGGGGCTGAGACCAGCAGGGTCATTTCACGCTTGGCTTCTCTGGCCCGGAAAGGCCACCCTTTGATGCGTGGGCCACCCTGGGCTGACACCCAGAGGGCTGGGCTAGGTTTGGATGAAGTCCCAAGGCTGTGTGGGCATCAGTCCATGGGGGTCAACCCAATAGTACCTGTCAAGGTAAAGCCCACCTGGCTACAGGGAATGGGAGGAAGCGCCACCTAGTGGTGAGGATGAGAGCCTGGCCTGGGTGGGAGGAGGGCTTTGACATTAGGGAGACCACCCACATTGATTGATCTGCTTTTCCACTCCTGAGAGCCTCAAGTAAATATCACACAACTGAAAACAGTGTCTCCAAGCCAGACTAGAGGGCTCCCAGATAGAGCTGTCAGCCCACTGTGGAGGCTGTCCAGTTCACTGTGCCTGACAGACAGCTGGACCTGCCCTGGACAGCCCCCAGTGACCGGCCGAGGGGGACAACTGAGTAATGACCAATATCACAGGGTGCTGCCTTGTTGTAGGGAGCCAGGAATTCAGAGCATAACCGCCTTCTGCCTCTGTGAGGAAGGTTCAAGGTCTTAGACACTCGTAAACTCAAACCCTGTCCATTTTGACAAATTACGTTTTTTAGGGCTGTTACCCCATAAGAAGAACAAATTCCAGAAAAATTAAATTGTATACAGTCAGCTGCTTTGCAGCTTTTATAGAGAACTTCTAAGATACCACCTTCTACATGATTGTGAGATATTGTTCCAATTTTCCAGATGAGAAGAGTGAGACTGAGAGGTTAAATGTTCATTCAGATATGCCAGAGGTGGGCCGGGTGTGATGGCTCATGCCTGTAATCCTAGCACTTTGGGAGGCTGAGGCAGGGGTGGGGGATCACCTCAGGTTAGGAGTTCCAGATCAGCCAGGCCAACAATGAGAAACCCCGTCTCTACTAAAAATACAAAATCAGCCAGTGTGGTGGTGAGTGCCTATAATCCCAGCTACTTGGGAGGCTGAGGCAGGAGAATCACTTGAACTTGGGAGGCAGAGGTTGCAGTGAGCTGAGATCGCATCATTGCACTCCAGCCTGGGAAACAGAGCAAGAGTCCATCTACACAGCTCACTGTGGACTCCATCTCCCAGGCTCCAACAATCCTCCTGCCTCAACCTCCTGAATAGCTGGGACTACAGACAGGCACCACTCCACCCAGCTAATTTTTTTTAGTTTTAGTAGAGACAAGGCCTTGCTATGTTGCCCAGGCTGATCTCAAACTCTTGAGTTCAAGCAATCCTCCCACCTCAGCCTCTCAAAGTGCTGGGATTATAGGCAGGCGCCATCCTGCCCGGCTAATTTGTTTTAATTTTAGTAAAGACAAGGTCTCGCTATGTGGTCCAAGCTGGCCTCAAGCTCTTGAGTTCAAGCAATCCTCCTACCTCAGCATCCCAAAGTGTTGGTATTATGGGTGTGAGCCACTGCACCCGGCAGAACTTGTTACATCTTAACGCCAGGAAGGAAAAAGCAAGCAGGAAAACAAAAACCTTAATGCTATTTGAATACATCCCCTTTAACAAAACCAAGAAGCATTCTAAGCAAGGACGGTTCTGTCCCCGGGCCCTGGAATTCTCCTGGAACCTGGGTAGATCCAAAAGATTTAAAGAGCCTCAGAATGTCCTAGCAGGTGCTGGTTACATGTGTAGGTCAGAGCTTCAGAAACAGACCTAACTCAGACTCGCAAGTGTCAGCCACCTGGAAAGAGGCCTTTGCAGGGAGACAGAGCCCAGCAGATCGGCTGAACCATGGGGAATCCTAGGCCAGCCACTGATGGCTACTGTCCTTGTCCACTCACCCAGGAGTACATCACAGAATCCACTACAGAAGGGGATCGAGGAAGAGATGGGAGAGGGAGGTGTCATCAAGAAAAATAGTTTCTCTTCCAGAATGTTGTTAGGACAAGCTTACAGAGCCAGGGGCCATGGGAGCCAGAACAATAGGGTAGGACTGAACAATAGGGTAGGCAGTCCCACAAAAGGGTAAAATGAATACAGGTTGGATAAGATCCCATTGGTGGCCCGATCCCAGGCCTTATAACCTAAGTAAATGGCTTCCTCCTCCCAAATATGCAGCTCCATGCTGCTGAACACAATTTCCTCTGGACCATGACTTGACCCGCCACTTCCCCAGGCAGCTTTCGACTCTGCCTGCCTAAATGGCCTCCTTCAAGGCAAGGCTCATAGAGGACTCCACCAGAACCCTCTGCAATGGGAACAATGACCGTGTCAATCCACCAGCTGCAATGGCAGGTGCCACTCCTGCTGGGTCCCTGAGATCCCAGAAGCAGAAAGGGCTTCCTGACACCCCAGACCTGCAAAGGCCCTGAGGAACAGTGTAGTCAGTCCCTTTGTGACCAGAGGCCACACACATCCCTTACAAAGTGGCCATGGCCTGAAATGCATGTAATTTATTAAACCAAAATACCAATGTGTGAAGGGAAATTGGCCACAGGATAATTGAGACTTACACCCATATATGGAAAGAGAAGTCATTTTGTCATGTGAATAGCATCCCCCAATGCATCCATTTCATGTATGTAGGGCTTTGTTAATTATGTGTGCTTAGAATGAAGGACATCTTGGTTCTCTTAACTGTAAAATAAAAGAAGGGTTGAGATTTTCTTGTAAAAAAAAAATTTTTTTAATGCCTGCTGGACATGGTGGCTCATGCCTGTAATCCCAGCACTTTGGGAGGCCACAGCGCATGGATTGCTTGAGCTCAGGAGTTTGAGACCAGCCTGGGCAACATGGTGAGACCCTGTCTCTACTAAAAATGCAAAAAAAAAAAAAAAAATAGCTAGGCGTGGTGGTGTGTGTCTGTGGTCCCAGCTACTCAGGAGTCTGAGGTGGGAGGATTGCTTGAGCCTGTGGTGGTGGGTACTGGGGATGGGGTGCAGAGATGCAGTGAGCCGAAATCACGCCACTGCACTCCAGTCTGGGCGACAGAGTGAGACCCAGTCTCAAAAAAAATTAAAATGTAAAAAAAAAAGCCATTAATCTAAAATTTTCCAAAGCCTAATTATGAACCACTGGAAGGGGGAACTTCAGGGCAGGGTGGGTTGTGCTAAGAGTGAGTTACTGCTTACGACTGGGGGAGGGTGAGAGGGGAAGGAGTTCATCCTGCATGCGGGGTGGGGGTGGAGGGTGTGCATGAATGTCTGTCTGTGGGAGTGTGCTTATGAGTATGTGAGAGTGTGTGACAATGGTGTCACAAATTGGTGTATACACGTATGTGTGTCTAGTGTGTGTGTGTGTCTGTCTGTCCGCCTATCTTGGGGGTGAAGGGCTTGAACATATAATCAATTCTTAGAGATAGACTTATAGAATGGAAATGATTGAGACCTCTGGTCTCTGGAAGTCCTCTTCTGGGCGGATTCTGTCATTGCATTTCCGTATGCTGCAGTATCCACAAAGTAGAACCTTGTGATGCTCTCATGTTCCCTTCCAGCCTGCTTTAGGACATTCTGTGTTCTTAAGGAAAGTTTGGAGGCCGGGCGTGGTGGCTCACACCTGTAATCCCAGCACTTTGGGAGGCGAGGCAAGTGGATCGCCTGAGCTCAGGAGTTTGAGACCAGCCTTGGCAGCACGGTGAAACCCCATCTCTACTAAAAACAAAAAAATTAGCCTGATGTGGTGCCCTGTAATCCCAGCTACTTGGGAGGCTGAGGCAGGAAAATCGCTTGAACCTGGGAGGCAGAGGTTGCAGTGAGCCAAGATCGAGCTACTGCACTCCAGCTTGGGCGACAAAGCGAGACTCCATCTCAATTAAATAAAAAAAAAGGTAAAGTTTGGGTTTTTATGAACTAATTTTCAAGCCTCTCGGGCAACTAGAATTGAGAATGGAATCCTCTCCGTCCAGAAAAACTTCCACACAGCCTGAAAAGAAGAATTTGTTCATTATTCGTCCATGTTTACATTTTGTATGGTATCTCTTGAAGAACAAATGCATTTTGTTTTTTAAAACACACTGTAATGAAGATTTTGGTCCAGCAGAACAGCTCTGGAATATTTCTTACCTCCTTACACACATGTAGGTTTTTAGGAGAATCAAGAGGTGTGGGCTGGGGGCGGAGCTGAAGGCAGAGTTGGGACAGGGCTGGGGAAGACCACCCAGAACCAGCTCCTTTCCTACAACTCCACGTAAAAGTAGAACAAGAACACCCAGCAGGGTGTCGATGCCAGTCACCTGGACAAGGACTGTTCATGGGTGTCTTTGGAGGCCTCTTTAAGGTTCCTTTAAAATGTCTTTGTGATTCACAACTGAAGTATGGATTGTCTCTAATTCAAATGCCCATAATCTCAGGTTCAAACTTGCTCTCACCATTATTTTATTTTATTTTATTTTATTTTATTTTATTTTATTTTATTTTATTTTATTTTGTTTTTCATTTCATTTCATTTCATTTCATTTCATTTCATTTCATTTCATTTCATTTTGAGACAGGGTCTCACTCTGTTGCCCAGGCTAGAGTGCAGTGGTGTGATCTCAGGTCACTGCAACCTCCACCTCCCAGGCTCGAGGTATCCTCCCACCTCAGCCTCCCTAGTAGCTAGGACTACAGGTGCCCACCACCATGCCTAGCTAATTTTTGTATTTTTAGTAGAGATGGGGTTTCACCAGGTTGGCCAGGCTGGTCTTGAACTCCTGACCTCAGGTGATCTGCCTGTCTCGGCCTCCCAAAGTGCTGGGATTACAGACATGAGCCACTATGCCGGTATGCCAGGCCTGTCCTCACCATTTTAAAAGAAGCCCATACCATTCATTTTATTTCTTGAAACCTAAATGGAGAATGGGGAATGCAAAAAATAATAAAAAATAAAAAATAAAACCCAAAAGAAATTGGTTCCATTTAAACATTTTTATAATTTGTTTCATTTTCAAGGCACAAAGAGTTTATGTCAATCATTTTAATGTCTAAGAATACAAAGTTAGCACTAGTAACATCTGGTAGTCTAATCATTTATCATGCTTAAATGTAACATTACAAAACTACATTTTAAAATCTGCCCCCTAACCAGATGTGAAACAACGTGGACAAGGGTGACATGTGCTAGACCCAATCTCCAAAAACGTATGGTTGACAAAGACAGCTGACTGCTGGGGTAAAACTGCAGCAGTCATAATCGAAGAGCGAAAGAGGCCACTCTATTAAAGACTTTGTTTCTTTTGCTAGACATTTTTCACCTAATCCCAGGATAGTTTCTGTTAATGCATCTTACTCTCTTTCAAACGAATCGTCCCTAGAGCAGGTGTACACATTAAAAATGAGCTTTATAGCATCAAACACATACCACAACCAACTCTACAAGGAGGGTTTTCTGTAAGATGTGTACGACTGTCCGAAGAACACATTCTGGCTGATAAGTCTCAGCTCCTGTGAGGTCCTGATGAGTATCTAAACAACCTCACATTTTCTCTTCCACGCCTAGGGTTAAGGCCAGCACTCAGCCCACACACAAAGCTGTGATGAGAGGTTGGTTAGGGATGGTGGAGGCAAAGCCACAGATCAGCCAGAAACTCTTTTGAGTCAATAGTTTCTACTCCCTCCCTAACTGGACCGTTTACCAGAACTGCCCAGGACTTGTCACCATGAATTTAATCTCCCTGGATTTTCCCTGCTTGATGTCTAGATGAGACAATGAAGGGCAGAGAAGTATTGCTATCCCCACACGATACCACCAGCACTGAGGGACTGCAGCCTTGGGTCTCAGAGAGAGCCGCCCGGAGAAGGAACCAAAGTGTGCTTGGTTCACATTTCAGGGCAGGGAGGTTCTCCAAGTTGCAGCAGATATTAAGAGTCCTGCTGAAGGCACAGTCTCTAAGAGAGGGGAGGGAGCAAAGACAGGAAGCTGGAACCAGAGACACGGATAAGCACCCTCCCCCTTGCCTTTCCTGGAAGCAGAGGCAGTGGCATCCTGGAGGCAGAAATGAGGCAGAGTGGGGGTGACCCAGGGCTTCCGGTTCCTGCTGGTCATTGCGTGCGCATCTGTGGGCTTCACAATTCCCCACTCCTTAAAATCTAACCTCAAGCATCTTCTCTGGCACTGCGGTGCCCAATATTTTTGTATGGTGTAAGTCCTCTGTGTATGATCATCCAGGAATCACCAAGAGGTCCCCTCACCAGTGCTTTAAAATAAAATAATGCAATACCATATATGAATGAAATTGTGTGTGTGTGTGTGTGTGTGTGTGTGTGTGTGTGTGATAGAGAGAGAGAGAGAGAGAGAGAGAGAGAACAAGATACTGAAGATTTGGAACATGTTCTCCAGTAAGTTTTCGGTAATTAAGTGGAGTAAAATTGAAGGCGATTGTTAAAATGTCCTTCTTTACACCCTCTGATATTGCTTTAAAATATCAAGATAGGTGTGTCTCATTTTGTAATTACAAAGCAGTATTTTCATTTTGAAGAAAATTAAACTAATGTTTTAGAGAAGAAAAACAGGCTCTCAATGATTTAAAAAACTCTCAGAGACCAGTTTTTTAAAAATTGAAGGAATTGAACCCAAACCTAATTTGTTTTCAAACACACTGTTTTCGTATCCTTGCTCACTCAACTGAGAAATAAGACAGAAAACAGCCCAGCTTCATTTCATTCTTTTTGCAACATCTGAATATGCGTGTTCAATCTCTTGATCAGCTGGACACGTATTTGTGAACTCATCTCTAGCATAAGCATTATTCAAGTATCTCCAGATGCCAGTCATTTCAGAAGGAAATTCAAAATCTCTGTACTTCTTGGCCACAATCTGAAAATGAAGAGAAAATGATCAGTAAAGGGAAAACTTGCTAAGGTAGGCTCCCAAGTCAGACAGTCCATTCTTCTGAGGCATGCAATACATTCTTTCCCAGTTTCCCATGTCATCCCACAGTCATCCGGGCTACCCACCACGGCATCTTGACTTGCATAGGGCCATCTTGGGTGTGAGGAGGGCTATGAAGTTCCTGTACTCACTACAGTGACTGCACATAGTTCTGCCCACCAGTTTGTCACAGATGGGTCTTGGAATCCGCTGGCACGAGTATGCTCTGGACTCTGGTGGATTTCTCTTTGTGTTGCCTGTTACTTTCTTTCCATATGTTGTGCTACTGTGTTACTTGGTGCTATGTGAATAAAGACGCATGGTGGATCTGCTGTTTAAATGGTGCCCTCTCTTCTTCCTACTTGCTGAACCTCACTTCTCCAGTCCCAAACATCTGTGCATGTTAATCCTCCTGAATGCCATCATGCTGCCACTAAGAGCATCGTCTGATCGTGGGGCCCGCCTGTGCGGAGGAGAGATTCATGAACAAAGCAGATGCAAATCCCTACCCTCATGGGGATGGTGGGTGTAAGGAAGAAGCAGTCGAGAGACAGCACCAAGAGAAACACAGCAGTGTGAGATACTTCCTCTAGCAAGAGGGGTACAGTTGGGGAATTAGTCACAAAGATGTGCAGAACACTGGGGACTGTACCAGTTTGCTAGGGTTGCCATAATAAAGTAACACATGCTGGGAGGCTTAGAACAACAGAAGTTTACTGATTCCTAGTTCTGGGGGCCAGAAGTCCAAGATCAGGGTATCAGCAGGGTCATGGATCCTCTGAAGGCATTAGGGAAGGCTCTCTCTCCACTTCTGGCAGTGCCTTGGCTGTGCAAGCATAACTCCATCTTCACAGAGCCTTCTCCCTGTGTCTCTCTTTCCAAATTTCCCCAGTTTGCAACGATACTGGCCATCCTGGATTAGGTCCATCTCACTCCACGATGACTTTATTTTAACTAATTACATCTGCAAAGATCCTATTTTTAAATAAGGTCACATTCTGAGCTACTGGGGGTTAGGATCTCAACACAGGAATTGGGAGGAGGGCACAATTCAACCTGAAGTGGAGACCCAGAGCCATAAAGGCCAGTTGGGCTTTGCTGCCTCCTGTCCCACTGGTTCCCAGGATGTCTGCATGATGCAGGCATGGGGTTAATGAGAAGATCTTTGGGGCTTACTGCGCAGACTTTGGAGGCCAGCAGTCATTGATGCAATGTGACAGCAAAGAAGGACCATATAATTTTCAGAGAGCCTCCTAAATTGTTTGACACCTCTTCCTTGAATGCCAACTTCTTGATGCTCATGTTAAGAAGTCCGTTTTACTTTTGTTTGTATGTACCTGGTTTTTCTTTGCCCATCTTTTTATTTTAACATTCCTGAGTACATTGTTTAAGGCCATGCCTATGAACGTGACACTGAACTTGGTTTTCTTTCTTCTGTATGCATGTGTGTGTCCCTCTTTCTGGTCATTTAAAAGGTTTATGGTCATGTTAATTCTCCAGTGGTTTCCTACATAAATTTAAATATATAGGAATTCTCTATTTCTTGATTTATCAAGTTTTTTTTTTTTTTTTTTGTTTTTTTGAGACAGTCTCGCTCTGTCACCCAGGCTGGAGTACAGTGGAGGATCTCGGCTCACTGCAACCTCCACCTCCCAGGTTCAAGCGATTTTCCTCCCTCAGCCTCCCGAGTAGCTGGGATTACAGGTGTGCACCACCATACCTAGCTAATTTTTGTCTTTTTAGTAGAGACGGGGTTTCACCATTTTGCCCAGGCTGATCTCGAACTCCTGGCCTCAAGTGATCCACCCGCCTCAGCCACCCAAAGTTCTGGAATTACAGGTGTGAGCCACTGCACCCGGCCTTGATTTACTAATTTTAGATGCTGCCTGTTAACTCCTGATGATGACAAATGAGGGAATTTATGTATCTGTGCTTCTTTCCATTTCTTCTGTATTATCCTCCTTCCAATGGTGGTAATGACATAGTTTATTATATTCTGACTCTATTCTGTCCGTATAATTCCCACTGCTGTTTGGTCTTAGGACTAGTTTCAGATTTAAAGGGGTTCTCTGTTTAGGGCCTGTTCTTTTATTTCACACACCTTCTCTGTTTCTGGATTCTTACTTTGATTATGATTTTGTTATTTCATCATAGAACAATTTTATGTTTTTTAAAAAAGAGACCAGAGGTCTAGGTCAAAACGGTAATTGCCTAGATATAAAATTCTTACCTCATACATCATTTTCTTTAATTCTCTGTAGATGTTAAACCACAATTTTCTGATTTTTAATGGGTTCATGAAGACATCTGGGGCCAGTCTGAATTTCTTCCCTGTTTCACTGGCTTTACTCTATTTCATTCTTTTTATTATTATTACTGTTGTTGGTATTACAGTATTATTATTGTCTAGGTGCCAAAAAGGGTTGTTTTTTATTCTCAAAGCTCAGTAATGTATCAAGTATGTCTCAGTGTGTTGATCTTTCTGGGGCAATGTTTAACATGGCATGTCATTTAAACTGAAGATTCAGGTCATCCTTTAGTTCAAAGTAATTTCCCCATTGAACATTCTCTCGTTTTCTTTTATTTTTTTTTCCTTTCCTTTTCCTTTTCTGTTCTCTTGTTCCTGATCATGTATATCTGGGATCTCTCTAATCACCTTTTTTATTCTTCCCCACTTGATTTTAGATGATTTTTCTCAGGCTTGTCTTCCAAATCACTGACAGCACGGCTACAAACACATTCCACATGCCAAAACCAACTCTATAAGATGTGTGCGAATGTCAGAGGAAATCAATTTCAGCAATGTCTTCGTCTGTGTCTTACTGCTTCTAACAGGACTTTTATTTCTGCAGTTCTTTTATTTGTCTTTACTTTTCTTCTTGAGCTCTTCCAGCCTGATTTCCATCCCCTTTGTGATAATATATTTTTGAACATCTTGTGTCTTGTCTTTGAGATTTTTCTCAAAAAGCCCATATTCTCTTTCATTTCTTTGAGGCTGTAGAAAAATTTCTGTAAGAAACGTTCTTTAATGTGCTGGAGGAGCAGTTCTTGATCATATATGTATTTCCCATCTGTCTTTTTCTGTTTTTGTTTCTTGTCTTTATCATTCCTCCCCCCACCCCCTTCTTTTCAATCAACTCTGTCTACCCCAAGGTCTCACTGGCATTCTCTCTGGTATTGGCCTTCTTTGAATGAGGCAGATCTACTGGACCTATCATTTGCTTAAAAGCAGTGGGGAGGGCAAAGGGAGTGAGACAGGGCAGGTGGCCAACCAACTGGAATATTTGCTCCCAAGCACCTTGTCGCCAACCACTGCTCTGCCCCAGAGAGACACATTAGAGTTGGGGTTAGGGCTGGGGTTAGGGTTAGAGTTACGGTTAGGGTTAGGGTTAGGGTTAGGGTTAGGGTTAGGGTTAGGGCATCCTCCACTCTGAGGCTCACAGATTAGGCAGAAGGCCACTGTGGCTAGAAACGAAGTTTGGGCAATTCTAGTCTCTCTCTTGACTGGCTGGGGCCTAGATTCTTTTCTCTGCTCAGCAGTCACAATGCAAAATGCCACTTCCCTCCTTTCCTCCCTCTTTACCTCCCCTCCAGACTGTTCCTCTGGATTAGGTGCTGGGTCACAGCCTAGAAAGATGGCGTCTCTGTGTGGCTCCTCCTTCAATTCTGCCTCCCTAGAGATCTCAGCTCAACAAGGGTCTCTATAGGGAAGTTCTGTGATTCCCTCCTGGCCCATCTCATGCTCTAGGCCTCAAGCAAAGAAGTTTGAGTTGGGTATTTCAGGACTGTGTTCTTTACCTTTTGAGAAATCTGAACTTTGCTAAAGATACGGAGAAACATGTAATGGTTCTGTGGCTCCTCCCACTGAAAGAAGCTTCCTACTCTTTAAGTCGATGATCTGTCATCCCTTTGTAGTTTTACAAAAAAGATGAAGCTAATACCCTATTTTGATATTGTTTTTGCTGGGTTTCTGGCAGGGGAATAAATTATAAATCCCTTCACACTCTCATCTTTTACCATAATTCCCTTAGATTGATTCTCATTTCCTTTCAGAAGTACTCCATCCTGGAAGATCATTAAGCTGTTGGGTATTGTGAGTGCTAAATGGCCTTGCAGATTTTTCTTCTGGGTCTTATAGTGGAGCCATGAACTGCAATCTCACTCTAAAGCTTACCCTTTCTACTGAAATTTAAAATCGTCTTTTCTCATGGGAGCTAAACAAGGGGCCATGAATGCTCTGTGGCTGGGATATTTCTCCCCCTCTTCTTCAAGTTTCATGTGTTTCTGCAATGCTACGCTGGTCACAGTAGGGACTAAAAAGCATTTACCAAAAGGGACTCAATCAAAACACAGCTACATAAATATCCTGTTAGAAGGCAGCTCCCAAATTTAGCAGGTTTTGAGGGGTGGAGATGCTTTCATTAAATTTTGGATATTGGTGGACTGGCAAAGCTATTGAAAAGACATCTGCCCAAGGGATCAGCAACCTCCTGAAGGCCTGCATTTCAAGTCAGTATCCTCACGCACAAAAAGGAAGGGAGAAGAAGGGAGCAACAGGGCCAGGACCGAGAGGGGAAGAGGATAGAAAGAAGAAATGCAGGAAGACAAAGGCAAAAGAATGAAGCAGAGTCACCAGGGGTGGCCGGGAGCCCACAGGAGCCTCAGCACCATAGACTGTGTGAAGCTAACATGTAATTTATTTATTTATTTATTTATTTATTTATTTATTTATTTATTTGTTTGTTTATTTGACAGAGTCTTGCTCTGTTGCCCAGGCTGGAGTGAGTGCTCACTGCAACCTCCGCCTCCTGGGTTCAAATGATTCTCGTGCCTCAGCCTCCCAAATGCATGGGACTACAGGCGCACACCACCACACCTAGCTAATTTTTTTATTTTTTGTAGAGATAGGGTTTCTCCATGTTGGCCAGGCTGGTCTCAAACTCCTGGCCTCAAGTGATCTGCCCATCTTGGCCTCCCAAAGTGCTGGGATTACAGGCATGAGCCACTGCGCCTGGCCGCTACCTTGTAATTTCTAAATGCTAACTAAATGTGTTATTAGAACAAACAGTCCATGACTTATTTTTCCTGGTGTTTCTCCCATCTCCCCTACACTTATACCAACCACCTGGCTCTGGCCCTGGCAGGATTTTAATCATAAAAATGCCCCAGAGCCAGGCATGGGCTTCTTCCTGAGGTATCTGGAGCTGCTAAGGGCCAAGGACATAGCAATCTCATCACAGCAATCACATTCAACTTCTATAAGTGATAGAGCGGCTGGGAGCGCTGCTGTGCTGAGAGACAGCAACAGCTACAGAGTCCGAGTGTGGGGATATCCGCTTGGAGCTCCAGGGGTCACTCTTGGAAGCTCCGATTTACTAGCGCAGGCAGTGGGTCGGGGACTTACATTTCTTGTTTTTTTGGGGTTTTTGTTTGTTTGTTTTTTGTTTTTTTTCTGAGACGGAGTCTTGCTCTGTCACCCAAGCTGGAGTTCAGTGGTGTGATCTTGGCTCACTGCAATGTCTGCCTCCCGGGTTCAAGCGATTCTCCTGCCTCAGCCCCCCAGGTAGCTGGGAGTACAGGTGCCCGCCACCACACCTGGCTAATTTTTTGTATTTTTAGTAGATAGGGAGTTTCACCATGTTAGCCAGGATGGTCTCGATCTCCTGACTTCGTGACCTGCCCGCCTTGGCCTCCCAAAGTGCTGGGATTACAGGCGTGAGCCGCCATGCCTGGCCCGGGGACTCACATTTCTAAAAAGCTCCCCAGACAGTTTGTATGCCTACTAACATTGGAGAACCACGGGTCTGGCAGGTCTTTAAGCCCTAATAATACATGACTCATGGCTCTTAAATCATGTTCAGCTACTATATGGGAAGGCAGGGCAACAAATATGGCAGAGACTCAGCCAAAAGCTGCCAGCTGCTTCCTGGATGTTGAGGGTCAATGTTTTTTTAAAATAAATAAATAATTAATAACCTAATTGTTTTTAGAGATGGGGTCTCACTCTGTCACCCAGGCCAGAGTGCAGTGCCACCTCCTTAACTTGCTGCAGCCTCAGGTTCCTGGGCTCAAGTGATCCTCCAGCTTCAGCCTCCCATGTGGCTGGGACTACAGGCACACACCACCATGCCCAGCTAATTTTTTTTTTTTATTTTTTGTATAGATGGGGTCTCGCTATGTTGCCCTGGCTGGTCTTGAACTCCTGGCCTCAAGCAATCCTCCCACCTCAGCCTCCCAAATCACTGGGATTACAGGCATGAGCCACTGCACCTGGCCAAGGGTCACTGTTAAAAGCTAATAGAACACTCCTCTGTCATCCCTAGAAGGGGCCATGTGGAGCCCTACAATCACCAACAGTAGACTGCGTTCACATTTGAATAGCCCCAGATTCTACGAGCCTCATCTCTAATTCTCAATTGCTAACACCAGGTATAATCTACGAAATTCCTCAGGCTGCTTTCACATAACCTGTCTTTAGGCTGTGTGAGTAAGGCTGAGAGAGAAGCAGAAGGTGGGGCCATGTTCCCAGGCACTTTCTGAGAACACCCGAAGCCCATCTTCTGTGTGTGTGAAAGCTGGGGCTTGGCTGCCCCGAACAGAACTAGTGTTTTTAATCCAAGTCTCCACATTTCAGACTGTTTAAATGTCTGGCCCAAACACAAGTAAAAACAAAATAAAACAAAGCCCCGTTCGTGTACTCGGCACACGTGTCGGGAGGGAAGATGAACCTTAATAATATGGAGCTTGGGTAAGAGGTTGCAGTCAGCCAGCGTCAGCTCGTCCCCATCCAGAAACTTCCTTCCAGAAACAGTGACATCCTCGGTGCTGTAGGCATCTATTTCATCAGGCAGAGGGCTATTTAAGTAATTATCCAGCTTCCTCAGGGCCTTCAGCAGGTTCTTTTCATGAACTAAAACAGAAGGGCAAGAAATCACAAAGAGAGGTTTGCAAGTGCATGTCACTTTTCACCAGCTGTGATGGAGTTTGCTTCCCTTCCTCGCTGAGATGTGGCCAGCAAGCAATGGGTGCTGGGAAGGCAGCAGGTGGATGTAGAATATCTGAATAAAGGGCTCACTCCTCCCTGGAAAATCACACTGCTGTCTACACAATATTGCTCCTTCTAGAAGTGATTTATTTATTCAAAAATACTTATGGAAAGCCTGTGGGGAGACGTGGACTGGCAGAAACATCATTGAACATGATTCCCATGGTGTGTCCGGAACACCTGGGTGATGACTATTTTCCCTAAAAATGTTGTTTTCTGAGTTCCCAGCCTCAAAAGAAGCATTCATCTCTTGAAGCCCACGTGCAGATTCAAAGTTGGAGGCACTTTTTCTGTAGCTCCAGACTCACTTCTCTACCCACTGGGAAATAGATGGGAATACCCCAGGAGCGTATGGGCCGCCATGCTAAGACTCAAGTCTGTGTTGAAACAAAACAGGAGGATGGGAGGTACTCACTCTCATTTGCATCCTTCTTCGTGTTTTTTATAAACGCTGAGAATTTGGCAAACACGTCATTTCCTGCGGAATTAGATTCGGGATGTTGGGTCCCCAGCTTGGGATACCTTGAAAAGTTCAAAATTGGAGGATCACAGACAAGTGATGTTTTAGTGAAGATAATACTATACAATGGAGAAAAACAGCTTTCTCTGGGCATAAAAATGAAAAGCTTTCCTTCAACGTTTTCCTGACCCTTTTCCTCTCAAAGGTTGGGAAGTAACAACATCTAGGAGAATGGCACTGGACGGAGAGGTTTGGATTGTTGCTGTTTCCTGGCAGTGGCCAGTTCTGGGACACAGGACCCCACCTGGCCTTGCTGGTCTCAGGTGCTTCCCTAGTAAAACGAAGGGGATGGAGTAGAAATAGCTCCCCCGAGGTCCAAAAATCCATGATACTTCTTCCTAACACATACTCCATAGCTTCCAGCAGGGTGTCTAGGATACAGCCAACCACCCACCCTGGACCCATCTCCTCCCACTTCCTGCCATCAAACTGTGATTGCCAAGCTGCAGGTGCAGCACAATGAAACCCAGGTCCCCGAACTCTAATCTGGTTACACCAGGGTTATGATTAAGGAAGTGAGCACCGTGGGCTGCAGAAAACCACACACACACACACTGCCCAGAGCTTTAGAACTGACTACTAGTGGGGGAAAGTGACAATCAAGTTATGAACACTGGTTTTCTGAGGCCTACCTCGGGGGAGCTAATTTCTCCTCTAAGAACTCCTCGATCTTATTCACATCCGTCTTGACTTCACCATCAAAAGTCATGAAAGGAGGGTTTGTTCCGGGAGCCAGGTTCTGCAGGTCTGCGGGTTTCCTAGGTGGGAGGAAACAGCAGTGTTTATGGGCCACCGTGAGAATCTGGACTCATTTCCAGGGCTTAGCCGCGTCCTCACCAGTTTAAGAGAAGCAACTCTTGAGAACTGCAAAGTAGATGGTGGGTTTATGAAAATGTCTTGCTGGCGATGAAAGTAAAGGCATTCATTAACAAATGATGGGCTTGTTGAGGTGCCCCTTTGTGAATACGGAGCACAAAGGGGCATATCAACAAACAGAGGTGAAAAAGTTAACTCTCCCCAGTGTTATCAGCCAGGGATGGTGCTCAGACAGGCTTGGGAGAGTCACAGCTGACCAGCAACTGGAGAAGCAGGTTCTTCACGGCACCCCCAACTCCTCCTCCTTCCTGACTCCAGCCCAGCCGACCCTGTCATGACTGCTTGGCCCACATGTGGGCTTCAGTTCAGACTCCGACTGAGGATGGACGTGCCCATGCAGCACCGTTGGCCTCAGGTGTGTGTGTGTGTGTGTGTGTGTGTGTGTGTGCAGAGAACTAGGTACAGTTATTTCAGTAAGGCAGACGCCTTGTCTTACCTTTTCAGGTCCACTGTGGTCACATTAAATATAACGCCTTTCAGCCAGAGAATCATAAAGAGACGCTGAGAAAACGGGCAATTTCCGATACTCTCACCATCATAACCAGCCTACAAGTGGAGAAGGAGATTTCTATCTGAGCCAGTCTCACAATTATAAGTGCCAACACCACAACATGCACATGCAAAATCATTGCAGGTTGATAAGAACGGTCAGGATGCTGCGAATATCCTCCTGAGGCCATTTTACCAGCCTCAATGTGGAGTTGGCGGTGGATGTAGGGGTTAGGGGAGAGAACACCACACACGCACGCACATGCACATGTATGCACTGCACTGAGCATTTTCTTTCTTCCTTCCCCACCACCTCACCACTGCCTGCCACACTGGGCCTCTGAGCAGCAGCTCACTGATGGAAGGAGCAGCAATGGGAACTCCCTTTATCACCAATGTGAAAAAGAAAGACACGCCCTTTCCTTCCCTCTATCTCTCGATCCTCTCCAAGGATCAACTATTCTTAGCAGCTTTGGTATAATAGCTAAAACCTGGAAACAACCCAGATACTATCAAGAGTAGAATACTTGTGTCAGTGTAGTATTTCCATGCCTTGAGATACTACACCACAATGGAAAAGAATTAGCTATTATACAAGCAACAGTGTGGGTGCATCTCACACACACAATGTTGAGAGAAAGACACCAGACTCAAAGCTTCCTGCATGATTCAGGGTAGGTAGAGGGCAAACTTGTCTATGATGGTGGAAGTCAACAGCAGATGTCCCTGGAAGATACTATTGTCTCAGAAGGACAAAAGGAAGGCTTCTGGGTGGTGGCAATGTTGTTCTATGTCTTGATCTGCACGGTGGCTACACGGGTGTATGTGAGTGATAAAAGTCTTAAGGTTTGGGTACTTTACTGAATATAAGTGATATGGTTTGTATATTTGTCCCAGCCCCAATCTCATGTTGAATTGTAATCCCCAGTATTGGAGGCAGGGCCTGACGGGAAGTGATTGGGTCGGGGGGTGGATTTCTCATGAATGGTTTAGAACCATCCCCTTGCTGCTGCCCTTTCGATAGTCAGTGAGTTCTTGCAAGATTGACAAGATTGAGCTGTTGAAAAGTACGTGGCACTTCCCTCTCTCTTGCTCCTGCTCTGGCCATGTGACGTGCCTGCTCCCCCTTTGCCCTCCTCCACGACTGTGAGCTTTGTGAGGCTGCCCCAGAAGCTGAGCAGATGCCAGCACCATGCTTCCTACAAAGCCTGCAGCATTTGAGCCAATTCAGCCTCTTTTCTTTATAAATTACCCACTCTCAGGTATTTCTTTATAGCAATGCGAGAACAGCCTAATGCAGTAAGTTTTACCTAAATACAAAAGAAAAGAATGTTAAAATAGTAATTTAAAAAATATACAGAGTTTGATTCAGTGGGTCCTGCTGCATGGGGCCTAGGAATGTGAATTTTTAACATGTTCCTCCAAAGTGATACAATGCCAGTGGTCAGAAACCATGCTGTGAGAAGTTCAGCCTTAGTCCAATCTCGGGCAAGAGATAAGGCTGATGCTACCAGCATTATTGTCAATGTGTAAGACAAAACAATGTGAACCCCCAATTGGATGATCCATTGATAAGAAGACTTGCAGGATGATATCACTTTCCAGGTGATAAATACAGCTCCATAAACACAGAGTTAATAGGTGACCTTACTGCATATGAAGGGGCACCAATAGACCCAGATTACTGAATTCAGAGTCCCTAAGCTCTGGGCCTGTGCGTCACATCCTCTCCCACTCTCCCCTCCCCACGCCAGCATTAATTTCCTCTCTGCCTATTAGAGGGGAGGGTCTGAGAATCTCTCCAGGTATCTTGAAGTTGCTGGGAGCCTGAAGGGTGGAAGGTGGACAGTTATGACACATACATCCAAGTGGTCACAACAAGTCCCGGCAGATGGGCCCTGAAAAGCATCCCCTCGTCCACCTGAGGCTGTTCCCCACCTTGGGGTCCCACCACCCTATGGCCATTTCGAAGGCCACCCCCATCTCCTCCTCACTCCCTGTTCTGGAGCAAGTGGAAGTGCAGAGCTGAGTCAGAGAAAACTCCCAGTGGCTGATGACCTGGGAACCCTCTTAAACCGTGGAACTTTCTTAACTACTGCAGGTTTGAGCAGTCAAGCCAAGCAAAGGCGGAGCGGGGAGAAGAAAGTGCAAGGACGCATGTTTTGGCCAGTCCCGACTTGCTCTGCAGCTTGTAAACCTCTCATTTTTATAGTAGTTACATGAAGCACAGCAAAGTCTAAAATAAGTTCTGCGAAGTGGGGCAACTGTGTTCGTTTTTTCTCCCGTCTCTCTAACTTTTGGAACCCTCTTATAACTCACTGTGTATGTGGCAAATCTCTCCTGAGTGTGTGTGTCCCGTTCCAGTGAGGGGCATCTTGTTCAAGCACCCCTAGACAAAGCTCTGCCTCTGGAATGGACCCTTCTTGCAGTGGCCTCTTTCCACCGTGGCATCTGCAGAATAATTATATTGCACGGGGCTCTCCGCCTGCTCGGTCTCTGGTCTCAAACTCAAGTTAGTGATTTCCCTTGAAATTGTTTTTCTTGCTATTTCCTGAACTCTGGCAGCTACTTCTTTAGGGGGAATAAAGCCGGTAGGAGCAATAAATTTTTCAAAAAATAAAAACTGCCTTAGTCAGCCAACTCAGTAAAAACTTAAACTTCTTAACAGGCTCCTTCTCGGATCTGCCACTGGAATGGAACATCTGGCCAGAAACAGGATGGGACAATATCTGTTCGGCCACAGCTTAAGACACGGAAGAAAGTTGCAATTATACATTTCCCCCTTTGTGGCCTTAAAACCAAACTGTGTCCCGACCCAGCATGGCTAGTGAACCAAAGGCTGTTAGGCATTTAGAATTAGCCAGCAGCAGTGACTGCCAATAAAACAGAATTTACATATCCAGTATTGCCTCATCGCAAATTGCTCTAAAAAATTCCTTTCTGTCTCAGTCTGTTGTAAATGAGGGGGTTACGGGAACATGGTGGGAGTGACTGGGATGACTTGCTGCCTAATTTTATTACTTTAATGTGCTTCAGGGCCTGGATGTGCCAGCAAAAATAAAGGCGAAGATACGCCATCTCCATTGCCCATTATTGAGCAATAATGGGAGAGGATGGCCTTGGTCATATTCATTAGCCCGACAAGATGATGGGATAAAGACATATATTCCGAGGGAATAACTGACACTGTCGCCATAATTGGGACATTTTATCATACACAGCCTTCATTTTCCCCCAGTGCTGATAACTCTCTCAGGCTAAGTGCACTCTGGGCTAAAATTTCTCAGCAGGATTCTCAGCTTAGGAAGGAAATTTTTGTACATATACATTTCTGATCAAATCAAAGTAAGCAGTTTGAGAATGTAGAGTGTCTTGTTTCCAGCGAAGACTTAGGTGCTTGGATAACCCAGAATTGCATGTTTGCCTTTCGAATTCAACTTTGTTGAGTTCCTCCAAAGGTAATTCTCGAAAGAAAGAAACGGTGCCTCCAAAGCCTCTGACACCACATTCCGAAAAGCTCTCGGGATACCAGCCTCGTCATCTGAGAACCTGGGGATTCTGCTGGGTCCTGGCCTTGTGAACCTCCCTGTCTCAGGGCTCCCCACCAAGGTCCGAGTCGTATGGGTCCAAATGGCACCACGAGGTCACCAGTTCCTCCTCACCACACGCCCTCTCTAAATTACAGACTCTCCTGCCGGCTCTTTTCATGCTTACTCTACCCAAATTTAGAAAAAAGGCCTTTTTCTTAATTCCTTCTTTTTGTTCAGGCAAATGGCCTCTCCAGTGGTCTGGAGTTACATGTACAGGGCACCACCCACACAGCCACCTCCCACTAGACAGCTCTCTGCCCCACCACTGCCTTCAAAGGACCAAACACCTGGCATCCCGACGCAGACCTGACGGGGCGATGACTCCCCAAGACATTCCTGGCTGCTCCTCAACACCCCACACTCTCCTTCTCACCAGAGCAAGCCACCCCCTACCACCTTCTTGATTCTACCATCTTTCTAGAAAATTCTGTGTGGGCTTACATGGTGAACACGTTCCATCAAGTAAGCACTTTTCTCTACTCTGCCCAAATATAATGAAAAACAATTTGGAGGTGGTGGAGAGAAGATAAAGAGGCCACAAAGCGGTAATATTTTAATTGGGTATTTTCTGATAACTGGCTTTCAACCGAGGAGGCAGGAAATGCATCCGTGTGCAGGGAAGGATGCCAGTCCCTGCAGAAAACCAGGAGAAAGACATGGCGTCTGGTGGAGGGATCTGGGAGCAAGCAGCTGATTTGCCATCGCAGGATGTGGAGAGTGAGTGAGTGATAATGGGCCGCTCCATTCCAGCGTGCCAGGGGGACTTCAGGCTGAATAAAAACAGTAGGTGACCAGAGGAGGCCAGAGTCAGAGACAGAGTGAGGTGTGGGAGGCCAGAGAGTTGTCCTCAGAGGGGAACAAAGGGGCCAGAAGACCCAGCCAGGGCTCTCTCTGTTGGCAGCTGAACCAAACTGATGAAAAGCCAGAGAGAAAGAGTTAAGGCAGATCAGACGGGAGGTGACTCCCTCCTCCCAGTCCCACCCACACACTTCCCTGAATCCCTTCCCGGCCTTTTGCTGGATGCCCAGTGGCCTCACACACTTTGGACACTGGCAGTCAAGCATGCATTTCGTGGCCAAGCAGGAAGATCTTGGCCTTCAAGCCACACAGCCAGCCCTCCCCACCTCCGCTGCGCCTGCCCTGCCCATGGAGGCTGGGTGTCAGTCCCTGAAGCACAGGAAATTTCACTGCATGTACAACTGACGCTAGGGGGTTGACGTACGGGGTTGATGAACACCCCTCGTGGAATGTGTGAGTTGTAAACTCAACCCAGGAGAGCCTGAGGGATATTACTGTCAGCATCTGGCATATGGAATGGCGGGTGCTTGTGAAAGAGACACGCGGGAGCCCTGGCTGCTCGCCACGCCCCCAGCCTGCGCCCCCACGCCTCTGCATGGAGGCCTGATATTTGGATCAAGACAGGACCCAGAGATTGTCCCATCCCCTGCAGACGGTCCTGGGACACGGGCAGGTTTCAGCCCTATTGGGTCTTCCATTGCTTCCACGAGGAAAAGGTGGGGGAGCTGGGGTCTCTCTGCCCCTTTCTATGAGGGTTTCCGGAGTCAACAGCCCCCCATCTTCGGTCATCAGGGTGTTCCTAGAGCACAGGAAACGCTCACAAAATGACGGGGGCCTGAATCCAGTGGCTCCCATGCGCCTGGGGCCGGGTCCCCCGTAGAAAGTGCCTCACAGCTCCTCCCTGCTCATTCTTTCCTGGGCCAAAGTCCATGAGCTTTTTCCCTTCCAGAAGTTCACAAATTCTCACTACTAAGAGATCACCCACCGAGAGTCACATCTACGGGAGGAGGAGAAGAGGAGGTGGGAGAGAAAGTGAGAGGGCCTGAGTCACCCGCAGCAAGTCCGCCAGGCTGCCTTCTGTGCCCAGCCCCCAGTCTGATGGTTATAACTTAAAATGCAATATTTAAATTGATGAGACTTCTTGATTTTGAATAGTTCTGTAAATTAAAAAAAAATTATGAGTTTATCCATTTGCCTGAGGAGTTGAAATTTCCCTTTTCAGGCAACATCAGGTTTCTCCAAGGCAACATGGTGGACGGGAATGGGTGCTGGCGTTGGAGCCAGGGAGAGCTGTTGGAACCTTGGCCCCCTACTTACTAATTGTGTGGCCTCGGGCGATTCAGTTGTTCTCCCTGAGCCTCAGTTTCTCCCTTTTTTAAAAAAATAGGGATACATGCACCTACATCATGCAAGATCTGTGTGTGATACACTGGAATCCCTGGGCACCCAATAAAGGTAGCTATTATTGTCATTATCATCATCAACATCATCATCATTACTCTTCCAAACCTGAACACACCAGAGCAGACAATTACGGAGTGCAGGGTGCCTTTTAACGAGCCTCAATTAGTGAGATTTTTATGCCAAATTGTGCAGTCCTTAAAGAACCACTGATTTTTTTTTTTTTTTTTTTTTTTTTTGAGACGGAGCCTCGCTCTGTCGCCCAGGCCGGACTGCGGACTGCAGTGGCGCAATCTCGGCTCACTGCAAGCTCCGCTTCCCGGGTTCACGCCATTCTCCTGCCTCAGCCTCCCGAGTAGCTGGGACTACAGGCGCCCGCCACCGCGCCCGGCTAATTTTTTGTATTTTTAGTAGAGACGGGGTTTCACCTTGTTAGCCAGGATGGTCTCGATCTCCTGACCTCATGATCCACCCGCCTCGGCCTCACTGATTTTTTTTCTCCTAAAAAGTAACACATCCTATACCTACTCCAAGTGAAAATTAAAAACTTAAGTCCCTTTCTAAATTGCAAAGCAAACAGATCTTCAGCCAGGAGACAAAAAGGCAAAAATCCCTGGCCAGGCATTCGTATCTAGGAGCCAGACAAACCTCTTGTGAAAGGTCCAGAGAAGGGCTCACCTGGACGGCTGAGCACACCTTGACCCGTGGCGGAGGTGGCAAGCGTCCAGAGAACTGCTTCCTTTTCCAGAAATGACACCACAGTCCTCTGTAGCGGTGAAAAGGCTAAGGTCCCTTCTGACTGTTGGGGTCGGTGTTAAGAAAGCCTGAGCAGTGGGCGGCTGACTTTTCCTACCACCCCCTCGAAGAGAGGGAATTCCAAGGAATGGGAGGAGAACACAGCCACTCCCCATGACAGCTTGAAGTTCAACACCATGGGAATGCGGAAGCACGTGAAGAAGGGTTATAATGATACAGGAGTTAAAAAGAAATTATTTAGGCAGGTAGTGAGGTAAGGAAGTCCTCACTAAGGTTTCCCTTTTTATAAAAAGCAGCCTCCAAATCATTTCTCTTATTCTTTTCTTTTCTTTTTTTTTTTTTTTTGAGACGGAGTCTCGCTCTGTCGCCCAGGCTGGAGTGCGGTGGCGCGATCTCGGCTCACTGCAAGCTCCGCCTCCCGGGTTCACGCCATTCTCCTGCCTCAGCCTCCGGAGTAGCTGGGACCACAGGAGCCCGGCACCACGCACGGCTAATTTTTTGTATTTTTAGTAGAGACGGGGTTTCACCGTGTTAGCCAGGATGGTCTCTATCTCCTGACCTCGTGATCCGCCCTCCTCGGCCAAATCATTTCTTTTCTAACAAAAAGCAGCCTATAAAATCAAGCTGCAAACACGGATAAGCAAGCTGGAAGCTGACACCGGTGAATGCCGGCAGATGTGACAATAGGAAAAGGCCACCTGGGGGCCAGGTATGTTCAACATGGCGGCTCCATCTTCCCTTTGCTTTATCAACCACGTGTACAGTGAAGGAACAGGCAACGTGGCTCCAGCCGGCTTAAAAAAAGATTAGGGTGGGGTGGTAGCCAGCTTCTTCCTGCCCTATGTAAACATCATGCCCAGTCCTACCAATCTTTGGGCTCTATTTAAATCAAACACCACCTCCTCAAGCCAGTCTATAAAACCCCATGCACTTCACCACAGGAACAGAAGACCCACTGGGGTGCCCCTGTCTCTCTGCAGGAAGGAGAGCTATTCTTTTTTCTCTTTCTTTTGCCTATTAAACCTCCGTTCTTAACCTCACTTCACGTGTATCTGTGTCCTTGATTTCCTTGGCATGAGGCAACGAACCTCTAGTATTACGAACGATGCTGCTTCAATAACAAGATGCAGGAGGAACAAACTAGCCCATTCCTTTGCAGAACAGGAATTAAGGAGAATATCCTCCAAAAAGCAACAATTTCTAAGGTGACTTTAAAAACAGATAATAGGTCAGGTGTGGTGGCTCACACCTGTAATCTCAGCACTTTGGGAAGGCCGAGGTGGGCAGATTGCTTGAGCTCAAGAGTTCAAGACCACCCTGGGCAACATGGTGAAAGCCTGTCTCTACCAAAAATTAAAAAAAAAAAAAAAAAAAAAGCCAGGTATGGTGACATGCGCCTGTAGTCCCAGATCCTTGTGAGGCTGAGGTGGGAGAATTGCTTGAGCCCAGGAGGTCGAAGCTACAGTGAGCTGAGATTTCCCCACTGCACTCCAGCCTGGGTGTCAGAGGGAGATCCTGTCTCAAAAACAAAACAAAACAAAACAAAACATGACAGCTACCATTCACTGACTACCTACTCTGACTTCAGGTAAGGTTCTAAATCATTTGTGGATGTTGTTGAATTTAATCCTCTTAAAATCGTGTAAGACATGTCCTATTATTCATCCCATTTTATAAACAAGGAAACTGAACTTCAGAGATGCTAAATAACCTGGCCAAAGATGCAAATAGACTTCAAAGAATAAAGTGCGCTCTCTCTCTCGCTCTCCTCTCTCCACTCAATGGCCCCACTGTTTTTCCTGGTGCTCAAGATGGAAACTGGACTCTTCCCTACCCTTTACCTGATCATCAGTCTCTTGCCCAGCACAGCGTTTCTGCTTTTGAAGCCACTCTTGCCGGGTCTCAGAGCCTCGGGCCTGGGGGGTCTCTCTGGCTGGAATTCCTAACCCGTATCCTGGACAAGGTTAACCCTGATAAGATGCCATTTTCCTTAGGTCATTCTGCTGGAATGTTATTAAAATGCAAATTGGAATCACAGTGCTCCCAGGCAGTGTGACCACTGGCAAGTCACCTGACCTTCTAGTGTCTTGTCTTTCTTCATGTACAATGAAAGCATAATAGTACCTACCTCTTAGTGCTGGATAAGAATTAAATGAGATGGTACACATACGACGCCTAGAACAATGCCTGACACAACACTTAGGACCTTGGATAATCTGCTCTCCTTCCTTCCATCCTCCCTTCCGTCTGTCTTTCTCTTTCATTCCTTGCTTCCTTCCTTCCTTCCTCTTTCCTTCC
The DNA here is from genome assembly GCF_000001405.40 of Homo sapiens. Lineage (NCBI taxonomy): Eukaryota > Metazoa > Chordata > Mammalia > Primates > Hominidae > Homo > Homo sapiens. The sequence continues at coordinate 34,698,493 of NC_000021.9, read as the reverse complement.
TTCCTCCCTTCTGTCTTTCTCTTTCCTTTCTTCCTTCCATCCCTTTCCTTCCCTTCCCTATCTCCCTCCCTCCCTTCCTTCCTCCTTCATTCCTTTTGTCTCTTTCCTTCCTTCCTTCTGTCCTTCCTTCCTTCCTTTAGCACCCAATTGGTTACTAATTGTTTCCTGTAGGTGACATTCCTTCAGAGCAGGACAGTGTCAGCCTCCCTACAGAACAAGTGCTAATGCCTCCTTGTGGCGTGGCCCATGTGAATTTTCTTCCCACTCCCCATGGAAGCACAGGGCCAGGACCACGGAAGGTACCCCATGAAAACTCACATCATGGAGCACATGACCACTGTCCTCACAGGTCTATGAGACTCCTCATTACAGGCAGCTCCTACAGAGACAATGAAACCCTGTCCTCACAGGCCTATGAGATTCCTCATCACAGTGAGCTCCTATAGAGACAGCGAAACCCTGTCCTCACAGGCCTATGAGATTCCTTATCACAGTGAGCTCCTATAGAGACAGCGAAACCCTGTCCTCACAGGCCTATGAGATTCCTCATCACAGTGAGCTCCTATAAAGACAGCAAAACCCTGTCCTCACAGGCCTATGAGATTCCTCATCACAGGCAGCCAGAGACAGCAAAACCACTCCTCCTGAAGGAGAGCCTTGGCAGGCCCCGCAGTTCTCCTGGCCTCAACTATCCCCAAATGTCTCCCCAGCTTGCCTGTCAGGGGCTCCTTTCTCCACCCACCCAAAATGACAATCACTGCGTGACCAACTCACCCTGGTTTGCCCAGGACTGTCCTGATTTTAAAACTGAAAATCCCACCATCTCCCCCTAAGTCCTGGGCAAGCTGGGATTATTGGTCACCCTATTGTCTGCCCAGATAAAAGCCTTATTTTTAGATGGGGAAATACCATTGTTGATGTTTTCCTCACCAAGAAGCAGGCCTTTGCTCCTCGCTAATGAAAACACCAGCATAGATGCATCCATCAGACTTGATGGTTAACACTTTGAATGCTGAGGAGGTGGGACCAAAGATAGGGAAATAACAGCTGCTGAGAAGAGAAGGGAAGGGGAGGGGAGGGGAAGGGACCAGATAAACAGGGCTGAGGTCTGTCAGTGTTCAGGGAAGAGATGAGAATTTAAGACAAGCCTAACAAACTCCCCAAGTCTGTGGAGAACCAGCTAATACAGGGACGGCCTTTCCCCTCCTGGCTTTGGCCACCTTTGGAAAAGTCTGCTGCTCAGCTCAACTAGAGATGCAGTTAAAAAAATCACTGGCGTAGCACAGGTGGCAAACCTACCCCAGAATTGTGACAGACACTCCAGACCAAAGGGCACCACCCAAATGGGCCAGACACCAGGCCCTCCTCATTTCTGAATCTCTAAATCACTCTCAACAAAGGCTGCAATTTCTCTTTGATCCTCTATACTGTCCCTGGATTAAAGAGAAAAGCAAGAATCTCTGTCCAAGTCCAATCAGAAGACCCTGCAGGCATCCCCAACCCATCAGCAGCTGGTGAGAAAAGAGTGCCCTGTGTACCTGAACGGGTGCCGCGTCCCAGGAATTTAGAGATCAAAAGATCAGTATCGATTCATACATGCCACCTTGGAACATGCCCCCAATTCTCATTCTAAAAAGGAGATACATAATTACATGCATTTCTCAAAATAATACACCTGAGGCCTTAAGAAGATCGCAGATTCCAGTTCTGTCTTTTACAAATGTGATGATGAGCAAAATGGTTATGTTGCAAAATAATAATGGTAATGATGAAAGTGATAATGATAGCAACTAACACATATGGAGCATGTGCTCTGTACTACTCATGGTTCTGAGCACTTGTATCAACTCAGATTTAATCCTAGCAACAACCCTATCAGGTGTAGGTACTACTACTGTCTCCATTTAAGAAAACCAAGACACAGAGAGGTAGAGAAACTTGTCCAAGGTCACAAAGCAGGATTTGAACCCAGGCAGTCAGCTAGGATCCTTCTCTCATTCCCACCCTGGACAAATGGAGGGGACCCCAGGGCCAGCAGGGTCCTTCCTCAGAGTGATGGGAGTTGGCTTGTTTATTTGTTTGTTTGTTTGTTTTACCCAGCTCTGCTCTGTAAGGTTTGGAATCCATGGTGATAAGAGAACACATATCAGAAGCAGGTGGAAAGTGCAAAGTACAAACAGTGGTTAGGACAGAAAATGGAGCTGGGTTGAGGCTGTAAAACATGCATGCCCTGTGTGCTTGGGGCATTGGAGAGAAAACATTCGGCAGCCCTGGTGGACAACTTTGGTGGCCAGGTAGGCCAGGGATGGGGGGGGTCTCTAGTCATGTGTGCATATTCTGTCCCCTCTGTAGGAAACCCTTGCTACAACTCCAGATGACAATGGGTTTGATGTTGCATTCCCCCACACCAACACCTAGAGTGCAAAATGTCCTTCTGCCTTATTAACAACAGGCCTCATCCTCCATTCCCATGCCCTTAGACAACCTAGTGGGGCAGACATCCACATGCAGAAACCAGGAAGTCCTGCAAAGCCTGCATCTGGGCAAACAATTCCACCCTTTCTTCCAACAAGGCAGGCAGGGCCATGGATCTCCTTGGAAAATCTCATCGAATCTGCTTTAATCCAGGCCATCATGGCCCCAAGTAGCACATTTCATGTCGTTTAGCCAAAAGAATTTGGGTCTGGAATTTTTTAAGGCAGGTAAAACCAATGTCTGCCTTGGCTATGAATAGCTTTCAATAAAAGCACCCAGAGAGCATAGCACACCAAGTAAGGCCACTTCCTCATGTAGGAAAGGGACTTTTCAGACTTGCTTTTCTCATTTCAGAGTCTGAGAAGACACTGGTTAGGGTCAATAGGGCAATCCCCAACACAGCCAAGCAAATAACCACAAACTGACTTTCCAAATAGGTCAACCCTTGACCACACTCTCTCTGGCCATGGCCTGGAATGACCATGACAGAATGTGAGAGAACAAGCTCTGGGGCATTTACTCGTGCAGTAGGAAGAATAATGACCTCTCAAAGATGTCCATGTACTAGTTCACAGCATCTGTGAATGCATTACCTTGCATGGCAAAAATGACTTTGCAAATGATATCAAGGTTATGGATTTTGACATGGGGAGATTATCCTGGATTATTAGGCAAACCCAATCTCATCACATGAGCGCTTGAAAATGAGAACCTTTCCCAGCTGTGGTCAGGACAGGTTTGATTAGGGAAGAAGGGTCGGAGAAATGAAATATGGCTGGAGTAAAGACGGAGGATGGGGCCATGAGCCAAGACATGCAAGCAGCCTCTAGAAGCTGGGGAGGTGAGGACCTGGATTATCTCCTAGAGCCTCCAGAAAGAAATGCAGCCCTGCTAGTGCCTTGATTTTAGTTCAGTGAGACCCATGTCAAGTTTCTGATCAACAGAACTGTGAGTTAATAAATTGGAGTTATTCAAAGCCACCAAGCTTGTGGTGTAATTTGTTATGGCAATGATAGAAAATGAATACAGCTGAATTTCCACATGGGAATCCTCAACTTTTCCCCAGCACAGTTCAGCAGGTCAACTACTCATCAACTTGCAGAGGGAGGAAACCCTGAAGCAGGTAGTACTTAGCCTATTTCAGAAACTTCCTGCATAGAGCCACTCTGCTCATTTTCCAAAGACTTGCATGATGGCCATGGATGCCATGGAGAAAAAGTGAGAATCCCTGCACCAAACCTCTAACAACCAAGGTGTATTAGTCCATTCTCACATTGCTACACAGAACTACCTGAGATGGGGTAATTTATAAAGAAAAGATGTTTAATTGGCTCATGGCTCTGCAGGCTGTACAGGAAGCATGGCTGGGGAGGCCTCAGGAAACTTACAATCATGGCAGAAGGTGAAGGGGAAGCAGGCACATCCTACATGGCTGGAGAAGGAGGAAGAGAGCAAAGGAGGAGGTGCCACACAGTTTTAAACAACCAGATTTCAGCCTGGGCAACATGGTGAAAACTTGTCACTACAAAAAAATACAAACAAAAAATAGCTGGGCATGGTGGCATGCACTTGTGGTCTCAGCTACTTGGGAAGCTGAGACTGGAGGATTGCTTGAGCCCAGGAGGTCAAGGCGGCAGTGAGCTGAGATCACACTGCTCTACTACCGCACTTCAGCCTGGGCAACAGAGCGAGACCCTGTCTCAAAAATAAAAAAGAGAAACAAAAAAATAACCAGATCTTGGCCGGGCGCGATGGCTCACGCCTATAATCCCAACACTTTCGGAGGCTGAGGCAGGAGGATCATGAGGTAATGAGATGAAGACCATCCTGGCTAACACAGTGAAACCCCGCCTCTACTAAAAATACAAAAAAAAAAAAAAAAATTAACCAGGCGTGGTGGTGCTGTAGTCCCCAGCTACTTGGGAGGCTGAGGCAGGAGAATGACGTGAACCCAGGAGGCGGAGCTTGCAGTGAGCCGAGATCGTGCCACTGCACTCCAGCCTGGGCGACAGAGCAAGACTCCGTCAAAAAAAAAAAAAAAAAGAAAACAACAACAACAACAACAACAACAACAGATCTCATAAGAACTCATTATGAAGAGAACAGCAAGGGGGGAGTTCTCTCCATGATCCAATCACCCGCCATCAGGCCCCTCCTCCAGCACTGGGGATCACAATTCGCTGTCAGATTTGGGCAGGGACACAGATCCAAACCCTGTCACAAGGCAAGACCACAACTCCTCTACGTCGACTTGTGAACTATAGTAACTGTTTCGACCTGAACTGTGGGCAGGCCTGCTTGTTCCTTCACATCACCTTTGGGGCCACAGCTTCTAATGGACAAGCTCCAAATGGAACTTTCTATTTGGCTTCACATGGTTATTTTTCGCCAATTTTTCAACTTGGCAAGAGTGATTTGAGGTCCCTCTAGCCAAAAATCTAACAGGGCACAGACCTGGATCATCACCACAAGAGGATGAAGGGACTACCCATGACATTTTGCCTTTTTAAATCTTGGTTCCTTACTATGGTTTTTAGAACCTACCCTCAAACGTCAAGGTAGGGAAACAACTTCTGGAGGCCATTGGTGCCCCCTAGTGGTCAAGAGATGCACTCATTTATCACTTTCCCTTTTACGGTCTCCATTCCTAATTAGGTTTTGTGGGAAAATGCTACAAGTTAGTTTTTAGCCCCTAGTGGGGGACTAAACCATCTAGATTTCCCTGGGACTCAGTGATTCCCTGCTACACAGGATTTTCAGTTTTAAAACCAGGAAAGTCCTGGAAAAACTAGGACAAGCTGGTCTTTCTAACCCCTGACAGACCTCCTAGACTTCACAAAAGAATCACCGGAAGAAGGCAATGTCTTTTTGTCTAGGCACCTCAAACAGAATTAGGACCTGAACAGTGTGCTTTTAAAAATGCATCTTGATTTGAGGTCAGCAGCTAGATGGTGCATACTTTGCCTTATGTTAGGAAAACAGCAATTTACGATTGGTAAATTATTTCTCGACTCTCATTAAAGAACAAGGGGTGGGGCTGGGGAGGAAGTCCAGTGGTGGGAGAGTAGGGTCACCCCATATGCTGGCAGAGCAGACCAAGAAAAAGAAATTCTAATTATCTCTAAAAGTGTTCAGACTCAGCTTTCTCAACTGGTTCAGAATTCCCCAGCTCTTCTGCAAAGTTCTTTAGAAATGCACAGCTCCCTGGAGGTGGGGGTCCGGGGAGGCACCTGCCTTCTCTTCCTCTTTCCTTATAATGTTTTTAAGTTTTAAAGAGGCCAAAGGCCTAGAGCAATCTATTAACAATGAAAAAAGTCCAGTCCTTCAAACATACTCAGGTCAGTTTCAATGACCAATATATGAAACTTCTCTGCAGCTGGGAGCTGGGAATTGTATAGTACTTTTTGTTTACACTGAAACTAGTGAGTAAACAGAAATATCTTAAGGGTTCTTAAGGGAATTATTATGAGATCAGGTTTAGAGCCAATATAGATTTTAGAACACTTCCTTTTAAAAGACTCCAGAAATCAGAGGCTTTGCAGTCAGGTAGAAAGCAGGTGATCATCTATGTGGTATGATTTGCGAGATCTGGGAGAATCCACCTATCTACAAATGCCCCCACCAGCCTTTCATGAAAGTCTGAATCACAGAGGATTGTCTAGAAAAAAGCCACAGTCCGTCAAGCTACATATGTGGTCATCTTCCCTCAGGCCAAACTAAAAGGGGGCACCAGCTCCAGTGACCTCTAACCTCCCCATGAGTTGACACTATCTGTCCATTTCCTTATACACAAAGTGAAGGTGTTCGTTTTCATAACTTTTCTATACCTTCTCAACGGTGACACCTTCTCAGAGGTGGCTGAAGAAGTGGCAAAGCTAAATGAGCACTCTTGTCTTAATAAATTACATTTTGTAAAGACATGCTTGTCAGATCTCTTTCTAAAAAGTTTGAGGCAGTTTTGAGAAACTGTCTTAGTGACTACAGCTGGTCATTGTTACCATAAAGTATCCTAGTATTCAAATGTTAAAATTAAGTCACCTGGAATACTGAAAAAAATAGCAACCTAAAATACTAAGAAGATTTGGATTGCTAAATTAAAGTTCTCAATAGATCTCATGGATGACACGTTCATTGAAAAGTTTTGCTTCATTTTAAAGGGCAAAAAGAACAAGAGCCACCTGTAGTCAATTACATCATCAGTTTCTCCTGCAGTTGCCTTCCTTAATGGAACAATTTCAACAAAAAAAGCACGCAAATGAACGGCTCTCAGCACAAACAAAATTGCTTGTAAAGGAGCAAGGCAATTGCACAATGTGCTGTAGGACCAAACACCAGATCAATGGTAGAGTGGGATGGTATTTTTCATTTAAATGCAAATTTGGTAAACCTTGCCCTATATCCTCATGTTTAAGAAACCTCATCTGTATCAACCTGCTAGTTTTCCCCGACACTCCCTTTTTTTTTTTCCTGGCCACAGAGATTGAAAGGAAAGCCTGTATTACTAAACCAAAACTTCGGGTTTCACAAGCTTTACACTTAAGCCAGCCTGACATTTTGCATTGGTGAAAGCAGACAAAAGAATCAACCAGGAGTGCATAAAAATCATATTATGTATTAAATCAGAAAACTTGGCTTTAAGCTTCAAGAGAAGGGAAATCAGGGTCAGAATCAAAAAAAAAGTGTGGCATTTAGGGAAATCACAACATTTTATTAGAACTATCAATATGTTCAGAGGAGTGACTTCTCCAGTTTTAACTGTTAGATTCCAGTTTTGCATTTCCTTGTAGTCTCTGAATCTTTACAAGTTAAAGGGTTCCTAGTTCATGGAAAATTTATTTGCTAACCTTGAAAGTTCTATGTCAGTGAGCAAAGACATACAATACCTCCCTGTAGAAGTTAGCAATTTAGAGAGAGAGCTTTAGGATACCTCAGACATTATGGAATTATCTGGAAACTTTACCTTCCCCCATTTTCCACTGTGAGTGACTACAACTATATGGCCTGGTTTGACCCACACGAGAGGAAGGCCGTGGCCCAAGACCAAAGGGGATCAGCTGCTCTCCAAACAGGGAGAAACACCAGCCTGACTGGCCAAGTCTGGGCTTTATTATAAGGAATTCTTTTCTGTGCCACATGCTTTTTTTTTTTTTTTTTTTTGACATGTATTATAACTCCTTTCCCACCCTCACCCTGGGGAAAAGAAAAGGAGGGGGCACCCACACTATTTCAGGATTCACTAACCCTGACCCAGGCTGAAATCAGCTTCATGTAATTGTCCATAAAGCAGTTGAGGAGCAGATATTCAAAGGCTCCTGTTTTCAAAGGGGGCAGTTGTGCTCAGTGACCAGGAAACCAATGTCCCTAACTGGCTGCGAATCATATGGCGAACACAGCAACCCAGTGTCAGGGTAATGAGTCACTTCATCTGCCACCTGCAGATGAACAAACACACCTACACCACACAAAGGAGAGGCTGGCATTTTCCAAATAAGCTCATGTGTTACGCTAAATCCAATCTAGGCAAGTCCAGTGACTTAAGAAACTGCCATATTTCAGTCCTGTGTTAAGGGATAAAGGAAAGTGAGGCTTTAGAAAACTGGAATTCGAAAAGGAGGCGATAAAATATATTCTCTACAGAGAATAACTTGCAAATATTTTACAATAAGGTACCAGCAGGCAATTAAATAGGGAAAGATATGTGCTTGTCTATTTCGAGAAGAAAATGTCATGTGATGATAACTTGGCTGTGCTGTGGGGTGACAGCACTGGCCTCGAGGCTGATCCTGCACCGCTGGATATCCAGGCAGCGCTGTGCCCTCACCCTCTCTGAGCTGTGAGCCGGACCAGAGAAAGATCCCCACTCACCCCACCCTCACCCATCAAGAGGTCTGTCCTTTGTCAGGGAATATACAAGGGTCTGGACATTCCTGCCGGAAGCTCCAAACAAGTTCCTGTGATCCAACTATGGGAAACAGACTCAGAAAATAATGAAAGTCTTTTCCAAGAATAAAGGAGAAGAAACTTGTCTAGCCTCAAGACTAGAGAGCTAGAGTCAGAATGGCTCCTAAAAGGAAAAGAGAAGAATCTGTTTGGATAAGACAGTGTGGAGCAAGAAGCATAATTTCACGCTGTGTTGGGGTGAATCAAAAATGATAAAGCGTTCAAGGAAACATCAGAGAGCCAACAAAGACATGGAGTTGTCCGAAAGCTTCTGCCAAACCTAAGAAAGTGGATTGAAAAGAAAAATCTTCAGCAGCCGCAGTCCCCAGAGAAGGCCCCAGCCTGACATTGCACAGCGTCTCAGGGCGCATTTGTATTCCAGCCTGCACTGGGGAGTTTAGTGCCCCTGGAGCTGTGTCAAGCAGTATCAGTGGACACCAAGTCCATCCAGCCCCAGAAGATTCTCAGGAAAAAAAAAAAAAGCTTCAGATCCCTTAACTCACCAAACGAGACACTTGTTAGAGCACCTTCTATATAAGAAAGTGGACTTGCAATGAGAATGAGCAAGACATAATAATAAACAATAATACTCCGAATGGTAGTGAGATACAAGGCACGTGGTTTGAAACACAGACCGTGGAAGCCATCTCTGGTGTTGTTCTGCACGCACCTCCCAATCCCCAAAGGAAAAACATCATTCTTCATCCAAGTACCTTCGAACACCAGTTCACCTGGGCTTCTCCAATGTCAACACGCACCTGTGGGGTTGTGCTGAGCACTGACAACGTCTTCCTAAGAGTGGGTCTCACCACGACTGCTGGAGGTGTGGAAAACCAAAGGGGAGGTGCATTGCCCAGAAATCCATCTCCTTCTCTGCTCCACCCTCTCCCTGCATCTGGAACTGCAGTTCATGAGGAAGAAACAAGAGGGCTGTTGGCTTCAAAGATGCAGGTGTGGGCAGGGTCCTCCTCAGGCAAGGGAAGAATAAAGAAGGAGCCCTTTGCTCTCTCTTTGAACTGCGAGAGAGCTGGCCCACCTCATTCCCTCACCCCACACTGAGAGCAGCTTCACAAAGGTGCCCTGAGAGATTAGAAAGGAAGATCCTGGCTGGACAAGTGGCTCACACCACCACGCCAAACCTATTTCACAATTTCTAGAAGGGACTTGGACACCTTCGAAGGAGTCATAGAATACAAGCAGGCTTCTTTGGGGGAAATTTTGACATTGCGGCCATCAGAATTTGCTACTTCAGCTCAAATTCTGGAATTTCTGTTTCCCCTTAGAAACAAGTCAAGTCTCCCTTAGAGAAGGAGGAAAATCAGTCTCATTGCATCCCAGTCATGAGACCCACCACTGAGGTCCGCTCAGCTGTCTCCCTGCACCCTCTGCCCAAGCCTTTCTCAGCTCAGTCACCTTCTTCTCCCTTCTTCCTCTACAGTCTATATTAGCAAACTAGAGACCCTCGCTGGTCTTATCCCCCACCTCTTGGTTAGGCGCAAGATGGAGCTACCTGAGGTGGAGCAGGCGTCAAGCCATCGTACAATGAAAGGGACAAGGGCAGAGCAGATGGGCCATACAGGGCGTCTATGCAGACTATCTGTAAGGCGTCTCTGCTTCTTAGCCTCTCTGTAAGGCCAGGGGAACGCCAGCCGCAGAGGAGACCACCCGGGTGAACCGTCGTTCTCCGTCTTTTGTCTTCCCTCGCCTGCGCTCTAGTGGGGAGAAAAAATAGACAGCGAGGACAGCAACAGCCAGCAAAACCCAGCAGCAGAAATAAGGCTCCGAGCCGAATAAGAGTCAAACCAATGGTGGGGGGCGGCCACACTGATGAGAATTGAGGGGAAAGACTATTGTGTCCCCTCGTTTTCACATCTTTGCTAGTATTGTCCATTGTTATTATACCAGCTCAAACTATGACACAAATAGTAGGCATCACACTTCTTGTAAGTCTATAAAGGAAACATGTATCATCATTGCAGCAAGGCCTATTTTAGAAAAGAAATTTTTTTTTGTAAATAAATAAAAGTCCACACTTTCTAGACTGACTTTGTTTGCATGCTCAACCAATACTTTACACTGCATACCCCCAGTGGAGCGGACAGCTCCATCCCAATGCTCGTTGTCTGTAATTATCAGTAAAATTTATTGCCAGATTCCTCATTCCAGGCCATAAAAGGAGCTAGGCTTTCCCTTAAAACAGACTTCTCACTCTTCATTAAAACTTAGAAATTAACTTTATTCACTCCTACATTTAGATGCTAAGAAATATATTTTAGATCTTAACACTTTCAAACATAGGTGTAAACATTTAAAAAAAACTACTAATCCTAAACATATTCCTAAGTATGTATAGTATTTTTTCTTTTCAGCTGTTGTAACAATTAATTTATTATTCAATGGATTAAGTGGGTGACTACCCTCGACTCACATTGATTAATTACTGAACCACATTGCTCCTAGCTTTCAATTCTAGCAAAAGGCTTAATTATGTTAGTGTTCATTGTAACAGCAGGTGGAATCAAGGCATAAGAAGTCCTTGAGCAAACAAACTGGTATTTGCCATCTATTCTTATATATGAATTATGCTTTAAAAACTCCGGGGCTATTTTTAATCCATATTTAATAATATGGCCTGATACCAACTGAAGCTTTTACATGGAGATGAAAAGCTTATTTCCTTGTGAAATTCTCACAAGGAATTATTGCAACAAAGGAACATCTTGTTCTAGAAAGCCTGCTTAATATTGCAGCCTGTTTTTATATATCCCGGTGGTTTAGGTTCTTGAATGACAGAGTAGTCCAATCCCTACAGTGACTCAAAAGGGAAAAAATGCAGGCACCAAATGGAAGAACTGGCTGCATGGAGCCTCCTTCCTTTCCTCTGATTGCCCCCTCCCCTTTAGAATTGCTTTCAACTGTTACTCCACACCTCCCATCTGGCCCTGTCTTTTCACCCACTCAGATTTCACTAGCTTAGAGGAGACATCAGTCATGGCATATCCCAGTCACCAATTGCCACGTAACAAATTACCCACAATTTATCAGCCTAGAGTACCTGGTTTATAGTATCTCATGATTTTGTGAGTGAAGGATTTGAGCGAGGTTTGCCTGGGCGATCCTTCTGTTCCGTGTGGCACTGACGAAGGTTACTCAGCAGTGTTCAGCTGGCAGATGGGCTGCTCTGAGGGGCCAAGACAGTTTCATACACATGCCCAGTGTCTTGTGGATGGTCTGGTCTGAGGGGGCCAAGACAGCTTCACACATGTGCCCAGTGTCTTGCGGATGGGCTGGTCTGAGGGGGCCAAGACAGCTTCACACACATGCCCATCATCTTGCATAGATGGCTGGAAGGCTGGGCTCAGCTAGGATTGTCAAATGGAGCACCCACAGGTAGCCCCTCCAGCATGGTGACCTCAGGATGGTCAGTGAATAAGGCAGAAGCCACACAGTCTTGCAGGACAAAAATCACCCAGCATCACGTCCACTATATTCTGCTGGTTACGAAGTAGTCACTAAGGTCAGGCCAGATTCAGAGGGAGGAGAATCAAACCTCACTTCTTAATAGGAGTATTAAAGAAATGGCAGCCATCTTTAATCCACCACACTATATGATTCCAGGCTGTGCCAAAATGCTCAAAGCATATGTTTTTGGTTTTGGGTTTTTGTTTTGTTTTGTTTGACACAGAGTCTCACTCTGTCACCCAGGCTGGAGCGCAGTGGCGTGATCTCAGCTCACAGCAACCTCTGCCTCTTGAGTTCAAGTGATTCTTCTGCCTCAGCCACCCAAGTAGCTGAGACTACAGGCGAGTGCCACCATGCCCTGCTAACTTTGTATTTTTAGTAGAGACAGGGTTTCACCATGTTAGCCAGGCTGGTCTTGAACTCCTGACCTCGTGATCTGCCCACCTCAGCCTCCCAAAGTGCTGGGATTACAGGTGTGAGCCACCGTGCCCGGCCAAAGCATATGTTCTTAATCATATTAATAAATGCTTTGAGCATTTTAGTTATTTACTAAGTTGAACTGGCTTAACCCATTTATGCCTGAGGTTGCAAATTTTTTGTGTGAAAAAGCAGACCTTGGTGATGACATTGAGCAGTAGGATATAAATAACTTCCACAAGCTTAGCGGTCCAATAATGGAATACTAGGCATAAATGGGTTAAGAAAACCTTAGTAGTGTCTAAAAGCAATGGAGTTGTTGTTTTGTACTCAGCCATGGGTGGAGCTACATATGTGCAGGACTTCCCTTAGCCAGAGCCTCAATACCTGGAGAGTGACAGAACATTCTTGCTTTATTGCTGTTATTTATGATTCAAAGCATTATAATATATTAGTAAAAAGGGCAGCTAACAAAAAAATGTCCCCCTCCATGTCTGATGTGTTAATAGCTCTGTGTTTCTTTAAGCACTGGATTCTCTGTTTGGAGAGTTACATGACACAGAGAAGCCGCCGAGTGCAACCTAAAACTTCATCCAGTTTGATCATTTATGGGAAGAGAGTTGAAGACATCCAACCCGGAGTTAAAACAAAGAGAACAAAGCTGGGGGAGAGAGTTAAGTCTTTCCAAGGTTCTTTGAACTCACCTCCAAGGCTCTCACACCAAAGGCACCAAAAAAGTGTTGATTTTTCTTATTTAGGGAGAAAGAGTATCACTGGATCTCCAGACCAATAACACCTTTAGTTTGTGCGGCCTTCAAAGCAGATGATGGCTGTGATGTGCCGACGTCTTGGACAGGCCATATGGCCTTCACCCTAAGGACCCCATCAGAATATCACTGTGTGTTCCAGCCAGGGAATAAAACAGTGTCCTCTGTTCATCTCTGCTTTGATTCATCATCCCCATGTCCCCAGGTGGCTAGAGGAGGACCAGGGTCACCGCTTGGGGGATTGCTGGAGTGCATATCAGCTTCTTCCTACTGGACTGCAGCATCCTACACACCACCCCCCACCCTGCCACCCCACCAAAGCTAGGAAAATAAAAGCATAAAGCCTTGAGAACAATGGGTCCAGGCTTTCTTCTCTCTCAGTAGCCAGGTACCCTCTCCAGTGGAGAGTCTCCCTAGCTGGAAGGCAAAATCTAGGTTTATGGAAAAGGACCCAACTGCCTGGCTTCTCCAGGACAGTTTTGAACTCTCACACCTGGAAACCAAAAGGGTGCCCTGAAACTGACAGCCACTTCATCAGCACTGTGTTGCCTCTCCTTTGTAAAAATAAGGGCTGCTCCTTAAAGAAATAACTGCAGAAAGGGGACATGGAATGACCTAGGTCACATTTCCAGGTCCTCCTTGCTTGTGTACTATAATTACAGTGATTTATTTTCCTCTCCCTCATTTTGGCCTTCACTTACACTCCTCACTGTAGTCTCCTACCGTAGAAAGAGGAAGAAGGAAATAATCTTTCATGTGCCATAGAGCTTTAATAGTTGTAAAGTTACTGTGCTCAAAGTCAAGGTCTGTAAACACAATCTGGCTGCTGAGACATCACTGGCTTAGGTGAAAAGAACTTATGGATAGTAATATAAAATTACATTCTACAAAATGTATAATTAAAAATGGACCACCTGACAGAGTAGCTATTTCTACATGGCTGTCATTCATACATCCATCTGTTGTGCAGATAGATGGATAAATTGATTCATCTTCCAAATAGACAGGCACATGGCAGGGGGCCAGGCCTCATGGTCAGAGATCTAGAATCTAACTTTCCCCTAGACTGTTGTCACTGCCCAGCCTGCCAGCCTGCTCTTCCCACCCGGCCCAGCAATCTCCTGTGGTCCTCTTCCTCATGTTGCATAGTAGTTGTTTCTTTCTGGATCACTGTCTAGGCTGAAGTTCTCCAGAAAAGCAGGGGCTGTGTTTGTTCTAATCACTGTTACACCCCCAGCCCCAAGCACAATGTCTGCTACTTGGCAGGTAATCAATAAATATTTGTTTAAAATATACATTTGGGTGCAAAACAGCACTTGGTAGTGTGAAGGACAAAAAAAAAAAAAGCAGCGTTTACTTCTCCCTACTTATTTTTATGTGAACAGCCATATACTATTAAAAGAAGAGAAACAGTGAGTTGAGGGATAAAATCCACAAACCTAGTAAAAATCTGGAATATGTCAACAGAGTCTGTGTTTTCCACAAAAGCTTCAAAATTATTTTTTCAAACAACCTTTGATATTTGAGCATTTCAGTTCTCCCTCTGTATTAGTCCACTTTCACACTACTATAAAAACTACCAGAGACTGGGTAATTTATAAAGAAAAGAGGTTTAATTGACTCACAGTTCCACATGGCTGGGGAGGCCTCAGGAAACTTACAATCATGGTGGAAGGTGAAGAGGAAGCAAGGCACATCTTACATGGCAGCAGGGTGGGGATAGGGGAGAGTGCCACACTTTTAAACCATCAGATCTCATAAGAACTCACTCACTATCATGAGAACAACATGGAGGAAACTGCTTCCATCATCCAATCACTTCCCACCACATCCCTCCCTCAACATGTGGAGATTACAATTCGAGATGAGATTTGGGTGGGGACAAAGAGCCAAACCATATCACCCTCCCACTCCGTAAACATAAGCTATAGGTAGGCTTCATTGTCCTCCACAATTCTCTGGATCTCCTCATTCTCTATAAATTTTGGTCAATTCTTTCAACAGACTGGAGCACAAATAGAATATCTGGCCAAGAGACACAACCTCAGAGGCAATATTTTTATATCACTGCATCACAGGTGATATTTTCACAATGGTTTTGATTTATGGGAATCAAATAAATTTCAGTAGATATTATGCAAAGATCAAAGCGATATATCTTACATCTGAAGATGGGGTGATATAGGCATGAAGTGATCCTCCTGTCTGTACAGTTTAAACTTTGTTTTGAAAAGGGATTCTTACCATGCCACATGGAGTTTCATTCTAAAAGGGCATACACTTGATAAAATGTACCTGTTAATTAAAAATAGAGGGAAAGGGGGCCAGGCGCGGTGGCTCACGCCTGTAATCCTAGCACTTTGGGAGGCCGAGACGGGCGGATCACGAGGTCAGGAGATCGAGACCATCTTGGCTAACACGGTGAAACCCCGTTTCTACTAAAAATACAAAAAATTAGCTGGGCGTGTTGGCGGGCGCCTGTAGTCCCAGCTACTTGGGAGGCTGAGGCAGGAGAATGGCATGAACCTGGGAGGCAGAGCTTGCAGTGAGCCGAGATCGCGCCACCGCACTCCAACCTGGGAGACACAGCGAGACTCCGTCTCAAAAAAAAAAAAAAAAAAAAAAAAAAAATGGAGGGAAAGGGGTAGGACTGGAAATACCTGATTCTTCAGGATTTAAGAGGTTATAGAGTATAAAGTAAAGCAACCTTTAAAGATGTCAATGAATGAAGTTGGAGATTCTAAGAGTGCCATCATCATCCACACTTTGCTTTCCCATGCATCAATTACAAGAAATTACTAAGACTAAAAGGATACATTTTCAAGTGCAAACAGTCAGCACACTCTTATAAAAATATATGGAACACATGTGACAGACAAAAGTCTAACTTCTTTAACATCAAAATCAGAAAGAATAGGTCAAAAGCCCATAAGAAAAATGCAGAGAATATAAGCAGCCATCTCACAGAAAAACAAATATCAATATATAAAAGAATACTTATATACTTTTTAAATATATAAAAGTATACTCGACCTCACACATAATAAAAGAAATGCAAATTACATGACAATGGACATTATTTTCACCTCTCAGATTCAAAATATTTGATAATACCTCAGCAGAGAAGTTTGTGGAAATAAGCATGGCACTGATATAGTGTCAGAGGAGCATTACATGGTATCACCTCTTTGAAGAGGAAATTTGGTAATGGTTATCAAAATCTTAAATATGCACACCCTTTCCCGTAGCAATGCCATTTCTAAGAATTTAGCTCCCATATATTATTATGCATCTGTGGAGGGATATTCACTACACCATTATTTAACATATCAAAAAGAGGAAGCTACCTAAACAACTACCTACAAGAAAATGATTATAGAGTATACACATCACCAGAATACTATGACATTTTTCACAAGAATGTGACAGAGCTAGAGGCACTGATAAGGAGTGATTTCCAAGACATATTGTTAAGGGAAGAAAGCAAGATGTAAACCAATGTATTTCCAGTGTACTATTTTTTGTGGAAAAAAAAGTAGATGTGGTATTTTAAAGATTTGTCCACAAATTCTTTGCCTTTTCTTTTAATTGGTGGAGCCTAATTCCACTTTCCTTGAGGACTGGACTTAGTGATCATATTTCTAATGAATAAAATAAGGCAGAAGTTACAGCATGTAACTTCTGAGACAAAGTCATAAAAGGCATTATGGCTTCTTCCTTGGTCTCTCTTAGATCATTGCTCTGGAAAAAGCCAGATGCCATGTTGTGGGGACACTAAAGAAGTCCTATGAAGAGGCCCAAGTGGTAAAAAAAACTAACTGCACCTCCTGCCAAACGACATGTGAGCCAGCCATCTTGGAAGTGGATTATCCAGCCCTAATAAGTCCTTCAGATGAGACCATGGCCCTAGCCCCAATCAATCCTTCTGATGAAACCACAGCCCTAGCCCCAATTAATCCTTCAGATGAGATCACAGCTCTGACTGACATCCTCACTGCAACCACATGAGCCAGAACTACCCAACTGATAAGGTTTGGCTCTGTGTTCCCACCTAAATCTCACCTTGAATTATAATAATCACCATGTGTAAAGGGCAGGATCAAATAGAGATAATTGAATCATGGAGGCAGTTTCCCCCATGCTGTTCTTGTGATAGTGAGTGAGTTCTTATGAGATCTGATGGCTTTATAAATGGCTTCCGCCTTCACTCAGCACTTCTCCTTCCCACCATCATGTGAAAAAGGGCATGATTTCTTCCCCTTCTGCCACGATTGCAAGTTTCCTGAGGCCTCCCCAGCCATGCGGAACTGTCAGTCAATTAAACTTCTTTCCTTTATAAATAACCCAGTCTCAGGCAGTTCTTTATTGCAGTATGAGAATGGACTAACACAGTAAATTGGTACTGAAGAGAGTGGGATGCTGCTATAAGGATACCTGAAAATGTGAAAGCTACTTTGGAACTGGAAAACAGACAGAGGTTGGAACAGTTTGGAGGGCTCAGAAGAAGACAGCAAAATGTGGGAAAGTTTGGAACTTCCTAGAGATTTGGAGGGTTCAGAAGACAGGAAGCTGTGGGAAAGTTCAAAACTTCCTACAGACATGTTGAATGGATTTGACCAAAATGCTGGTAGTGATATAGACAATGAAGTCCAGACTGAGTTGGTCTCAAATGGGGATGGGGAACTTATTGGGAGTTGAAATAAAGGTGACTCTTGTTTTGCTTTAGCAAAGAGACTGGCAGCATTTTGCCCCTGTCCTAGAGATCTGTGGAACTTTGAATGTGAGAGAGATAATTTAGGGTATCTGGTGGAAGAAATTTCTAAGTGGCAAAGCATTCAAGAGGAAACAGAGCATAAAAGTTAGGAAAATTTGCAGCCTGATGATGTGATAGAAAAAGAAAAACCAATTTTCTGAGGAAAAATTCAAGCCTGCTGCAGAGATTTGCATAAGTAACAAGGAGCTGAATGTTAATGACCAAGACAATGGGGAAAATATCTCCAGGGCATGTCAGTGACCTTTGTGGCAACCCCTCCCATCACAGGCCTGGAAGTCTTCTAGGGAAAAATGGTTTCATGGGCCACAGGACCCCCTGCTGTGTGCAGCCTAGGGACTTAGTGCCCTGCATCCCAGCTGCTCCAGCCATGGCTAAAAGGGGCCGAGGTACAACTCAGGCCATTGCTTCAGAGGGTGCAAGCCCCAAGCCTTGGTAGCTTCCAAGTGGTGTTGGGCCTGCTGGTGCACAGAAGTCAATAATTGAGGTTTAGGAACTTCTGCCTAGATTTCAGAGGATATATGGAAATGCCAAGATGTCCAGGAAGAAGTTTGCTGCAGGGGCAGAGCCCTCATGGAGAACCTCTGCTAGGGCAGTACAGAAGGGAAATGTAGGGTCAGAGCCCCCACACAGAGTCCCCACTGGGGCACTGCCTAGTAGGGCTGTGAGAATAGGTCAACCATCCTCCAGCCCCCAGAATGGTGGATCCACCAATAGCTTGCACTGTGCACCTGGAAAAGCCACAGACACTCAACACCAGTCCGTGAAAGCAGCCAAGAGGGATGCTGTACCCTGCAAAGCCACAGGGGTGGAGCTGTCCAAGGCCACATGGGGGCCCACCTCATGCATCAGTGTGACTTGGATTGAGACATGGGATCAAAGGAGATCATTTTGGAACTTGAAGGTTTAATGACTGCCCTGTGGAATTTCAGACTTACATGGGACCTGTAGCCCCTCTGTTTTGGCCAACTTCTCCCACTTGGAGTGGGTGTATTTACCCAATGCCTGTACCCCCATCGTATCTGGGAAGTAACTAACTTGCTTTTGACTTTACAGGCTCATAGGTGGAGGAGACTTGCCTTATCTCAAATGAGACTTTGGACTTGGACTTTTAGGTTAATGCTGGAATGAGTTAAGACTTTGGGGAGACTGTTGGAGGGGCATGATTGTGTTTTAAAATGTGAGGACATGAGATTTGGGAGGGGCCTGGGTGGAATGATACGGTTTGGCTATGTCTCCACCCAAATCTCACCTCGAATTGTAATAATACCCAAGTGTCAAGTGTGAGACCAGGTAGAGATAATTGAACCATGAGAGAAGTTTCCCCCATGCTGTTCTCGTGATAGTGAGTGAGTTCTCACCAGATCTGATGGCTTATAAGGAGCTTCCCCTTTCACTTGGCACTTTTCCTTCCTGTTGCCATGCAAAGAAGGATGTGTTTGCTTCCCCTTCTGCCGTGATTGTGAGTTTCCTGAGGCCTCCCAGGCCATGCAGAACTGTGAGTCAATTAAACCTCTTTCCTTTATAAATTATCCAGTCTTGGGCAGTTCTTCACAACAGCGTGAGAACAGATTAAGCAACTCAAAAATCCCATCTAAGCAACTCACAAATTCCTGACCCTGGAAAACTATGAATAATATAAAATGTTTGTTGCTTTAAGATTCTAGGTCTTGGGACAATTTGTTACACAGAAATAGATAATACATTGAGGATATGTTTGAACTTGCATAGAATATCTCTGGAAAAATATTTGGTGGTTATCTCTAGGGAGAAAAATTGGGAGGTTGGGCTTCATGGGCGAAAGAAGACTTAATTCTCATTATATTATATCTTTTTATGTTTCTAAATTTTACTATTCCAATGTATTATCTTTTCCAAAAAAATGGTAAGTAAATTTTACAAAATAATCCCATGGACTACATAAATATGTTATACTAAAATTTGTATAAATACATTTAACCTACATTTTATGTTGACTTTATATAAATCAAAATTTTTATGGTTTTTGTAGGCAAAAAACAACCATTTCTAACAATATATAGATGTTTAGTGTCTTAAATATTTCTTATTCACTGTGAAAGAACCTGCCAGTTCTTTCTTCTACAACAGTTATCCTTTTTCCTTCTAAATCGAACTCCAATTTTGTATGAATGGCATTGTATCTAGCCCCAGATGATGAATAAAAGTAGGTATAAGCTAGGAATCGGTAAACTTTTTCTTTTTTTTTTTTTAGATGGAGTCTCTCTCTTGCCCAGGCTGGAGTGCAATCTCGGCTCACTGCAAGCTCCACCTCCTGGGTTCACGCCATTCTCCTGCCTCAGCCTCCTGAGTAGCTGGGACTACAGGCACACGCCACCACGCCCGGGTGACTTTTTTTTTTTTTTTTGTATTTTTAGTAGAGACGGGGTTGCACCGTGTTGGCCAGGATGGTCTCAATCTCCTGACCTCGTGATCTGCCCGCCTCAGCCTCCCAAAGTGCTGGGATTACAGGCGTGAGCCACCTCACCCAGCCAGAAACTTTTTCTTAAAGGGCCCAGT
This sequence comes from Homo sapiens, assembly GCF_000001405.40. NCBI lineage: Eukaryota > Metazoa > Chordata > Mammalia > Primates > Hominidae > Homo > Homo sapiens. Next base: position 34,678,123 of record NC_000021.9, on the reverse strand, counting down.
AATAAATATTGTGGGCTTTGTGGTCCACAGAGTCTCTGTTGCATCTACTCAACTCTGCTGTTGAAAGTGAAAGGAGTCATACAGGATACATCAAAGAACAAGCATGGCTGGGTTCCAAAAAAAAGTTTGTTTATGGGCCCTGAAATTTGAATTTCATATATTTTTCATGAGTCATGAATTATTCTTCTTTTAATGTTTTCCAACCATTTAAAAACATAAGTCATTCTTAGGTTGTAGGTGTACAAAAACAGGTGGCAGGCTAGATAGGACCTGCATGCCACAGTTTGCTAACCCCTGGTATATATACGCCAGTCTCATACCCTTGTGCTTGTAAAAGGCCTGGAGGGGGTTGGGGCACAGAATCCAGTTCTAGCCATTAGACACAGAAAAGTCTGCTGCAAGAGTTGTCAGGAGCATTTCTCCTCCCTGATGAAGGAGGAATGGGAATAAGAAGAAAAATCCTGACCCTTCCCTTTAGTTTCCTACTTGAGATATTGCTGGTCAGGATTTGGTGCTTAAGACTAAGGCATCCATTTTTTGATGATACAGGGAGACAGAACACAAGGAACTAATCTGAGCCCTTGATGACATGGGTAAGATGCTTTATCCACCTATCTCTGGATTTCTTGTTGTATGAGAAAAATATATTTCTGATTAAAGGCACTTGCTACTGGATAGTTTATTAATTGCAGCTGAACACACTCTTAATGGTGTTCTCTTCAACATTAAATACCATACTGTAGTACCAGCTGGGGCAAAAGTATTCTTTATAACAAGCTCTTAACATATACCAAATTGTTAGCCCATTTGCCACCTAACTTGAGAGCAAAGTTTTGAAAGCTTGGCAGAGCAGATGGTCCCCCATGCAAGAGCAGGAAAAAACAATAAGAGACTGTCTTAAATTCAAAACTGGGAAATTTTCATAGCAGCATTAAATGAAATAGATTTTATACCTAAGCACCAACAGCTCCAAATTAAAATGCTGCTTTCAGAAGGAGGAAGTGGGGCTGTCAATACAAGCACGGATTTTAGCCGAAGATGGACTTGGATACCGTCTCCCTGTGGGGAGGAGAAAAGGGCTGACAAAAAGCATGGGGGTGGTCTTTTGGAAACTCTCTATATTGTGAAGAAAATGTCTCCCCCAACTATGCCCAGATATAGGGCCCACTTTATAAATCAACACTCAGGCAGAAAAAAAAAAACAAAATTAATGCTGGAAAATTTTAGAAGATTTGAATACCTTTATAACTCTCACAAAAACTTTTTCTTTACTAATATGACAGGAGTTCAGAGAATGATAGACCAAAGATCACCTGTTTTAGAAAATCCTGAAGAATCTATACTAGGCATTATCAGAGGATCCCACTACTCTGTGGACTGGAAAGGAAAATGGTTGTGTCTCCCCAAATGTAATTAAATCAACAACTATTTAGTGATTACCACTGTGTCTGCAGGTCCTCCTGCTGCTGCTGCATGCTCCTATGGCCTGCTGCTCATCGTCCATCCCCCTTCCCTTCATACCATCATTAACTGGCTGGCTGTTATGTGTCAAACAGCATGCAAAGGGCTGAAAGAACAATGATGGGAAAAACTACATGGTCTTTGCAGTGCAGGCTTGCAGCCCAGTGGAGATGCTACAGACATAATGTACTACATTGCCCAATGTCTGTCTTCTGTGCTAGATGGTAAACTCTGGGAGGGCAAGAAGCTTGTCAGTCCTGCTTACCAATGTGTCCCCAGAATCTAGCACAGAGTCCAACACACAGTAGGTAATATATCCATATGTATTGAATTAATATATGGACCCATAGCATGAGGATCCCTCTGAGCCCTCAAGCATGGATTGGAGTGTTGGCTTTTACATACTCCTTCCACTTCTAGGTTTTATCTAGGTGTCCGAAAGGACACAATACATTCACATGACTAAAGGACCCAGTGTAGTATTTCTGAAGGTTTTCTGTGGGTCTTTAGATATTCAAGGAAATGGGATATCTGAGTCGGCCCGACAAAGGCTGGCTGTGTGAAACCAAGGACACAAAGGAAACCCCATGTGAGGGGAGGAACCCGTGCTGAAGGTAAAGAAACATAATTGCTCTCATGAAGCCACATGGCCTGTCAGCCCAGACAGAGACGGGAGCTGTGATGTGTGCACATGGCAGGAAAGAGCTTCAAATTCCCAAAGCCACCAGCATCCTGTAACCCTGCTGCCAAGAGGCCTTCATGGAAAAAGGTGGCTCTGTTTCTCTCACAAGGGACACTGGGCTGGGACAGTGGAGAACTGGGCTTGTGTCTTACCAATTAGCCATCCACCCGACCCACTATTTATCTGCACCAAAAAGCACAGTGGAGGGCCTGCCATGAGCCCACTGCAGTGGCAGGTGGTGAGAACCGAGAGGCAATGACGATAGGGCTCTCACTGAGTGTGGCAGGGGTATCCCCACCCCCAGCATGCATGTGCACACCTGCACCTGTTTGTATGCAAGAGGTTACGCAAAACATCATGCTCCACCTGTTTCCACCCCCAAGTAACCCGGTACTGATTTCATATGTGTAATTTGTAGGCAGGTTTTCTAAGACAATAAAAAAAAATTACAAAAAATTTGTTTTTAGGGGAGAATTAAAGTCTCAGAAATGCATCTTTGCTCACTTTCCTTCAGAACACATAGTTGTGAAAATAACATCTCCCTTTCAAGCTCCCTGGAGACCAAGCCCCATAGAACAAGTCCCAACATGCTCTCTCCCAGTGACATGTCCACAGAGAGCCACAGCTTACCGTTCTACCAGGAGTCCATCAGACGCTGGTCCTGGCTCATTCTTGCCCAGCCCTGTGGTATGGCAATGCTTGGAAGGCTCTTTTTTTTTTTTTTTTTTGGAGGGGCGGGGGCTCATTTCTGGGTGACAGTGCTTATTCAAAGGCCATGTCCTTCTTGAGTTTTACTGTGTTTCATCGGGTCAGTTTCACCTCTTTGGAGAACCCAAATGTGAATACAAATGCAAGTTTTTTTAGCTCAGCAATAACTGCATGTTTACAAGTAAACAGGTGGTGTCTAAATCCTGGGTGGCCCAGGACTAATCACTGGTCAACACTGAAGTTTTTTAAGTCATGTCAAATTTGCCAGGAAAGCCGTAGCTCAGACTGTCCCACCCAAAGACCCTGACTCAAAGCTTACACGCCAGATTAGGGGAACCAAAGCCGTAAGCAAGACTTCCTTGGCGACTAAATCTCCACTACCGCTGAACTCCTTACTTAAATGAAGTTCTTACTTAACTCTCTGCTGCTAGTGTTTTGCCTGTTGTTATTATGTTGTTGTGTGATTATGTGATTATGTTGTTACCCTTTGTTATTATGAGGAAAGAAAAAGAACCTTTCTTACTAAATATATTGCAGAGTTACCCTATAATTTGATGACAAATAATTAACACTTCTTTGAGAAAACAAAACTAAAAATTAGCATAATCAGCAATTAATTTACCACAAAATAATTTAAGACCTTTCTTGGCTGGTTCTATATGTTCCTGGCTTCTGTACAAGAATGCATCCTTGCATGCTTGTAAAATAAAACAAACTGACAAATTAATAACATGACAATTCTCATAAAGATGGAGAATATATTAGATGGCTAATTAGAAGCAAATGTGGGACAATTATTATTACATGTTACTACATAGTTAGCCATGACTTTCTGGTATATTTGTAACCAATATATTTATTTTTAACAAAATAGGAAGAGAGGCCAGGCATGGTGGCTTGTGCCTATAATCCCAGCACTTTGAAACGCCAGAGTGGGAGGGTCACTTGAGCCCAGGAGTTCGAGACCCTCTGGAGCAAAAAAGTGAGACCTCTGTCTCTACAAAAATTTTTTTGAAAAAACTAGCTGGGTGTAATGGTGTGTGCCTGTGGTCCCAGCTACTCAGCAGGCTGACACAGGGAGACTGCTTGAGCCTAGGAGCTGGAGATCAGCCTGGGCAACATAGTGAGACCCTGTCTCAAAAAAAAAATTGGAAGAAATGTGAAAGCTAGGAGTTCCCAAATAAAATATGGGCTAACTGATTTTAAAATGTGTTTGCTCAGCTGTCATATGAAGGCTAGGAGAATGTTTGAGAGAATATTGCAGTACTTTCCTTTAAACCCAGCTGTGAATTCCACACTCCAGCTATGCCATACAAAACCCACCATGAAGACGCATCTAGGCATGTTCACAAAACCCAGCTCAGGTGTCCACTGTAGAATAGAACCCAGACAAAACTGAGCCCAAAAAAGGAGCCTAGAAAAGGCTAATTCTGGCAAAGAAATCCTATTCTGAACTAATTTCCAGATTTTACATCAAGTATTTCAAACTCAGAAAATATGAGTCTAAAGGGTGTTTTTTTGTTTGTTTGTTTAGTTTTGTTTTTTGCTTTGATGTCTGTCTTTTTTGTTTTTGTTTCATTTTGTTTTCAAAGAGCATAATTGGTAGGATAAGAAGAAACTGAGACACAATATCAATACTGTGAGGCTCATGATAAGTGACCCCTCAGAAGTTAACAAATCTCAGCCAGGTGTGGTGGCTCAAGCCTGTAATCCCAGCACTTTGGGAGGCCACGGTGGGTGGATCACCTGAGGTCAGGAGTTTGAGACCAGGCTGGCCAACATGGCGAAACCCCATTCTACCAAAAACACAAAACAATTAGCCAGACGTGGTGGCGCATGCCTGTAGTCTCAGCGACTCAGGAGGCTGAGACACAAGAATCACTTGAACCCAGTCTGTGGAGGTTGCAGTGAGCTGAGATAGCACCACTGCACTCCTGTCTGGGTGACAGAGCAAGAACCTGTCTCAATTAAAAAAAAAATAAAAAAGTTAACCAATCTCATCATTTGGAGATCTATCTGTTTCCTTAAGAAAAAAAAAAGTTAGCAACTGAGCACCAGATCAATCATCAGAATAAAGCATTGTGGGTAAGCTGCTCGTGCTGGGCCGCTGCTGGTGCTAGGCCACATGCTTCTGCCCACACAAACTCCTCCCAAGCAGTATTTGAGGAAGCAAGTTGTTTTTACTTTTCACAACATTCTTATCCCTAGAGATTGGAGGTAATTACGTACCTAGAGGGATTTTCCCTAAAAATAAATAAAATAAGTAATGGCAGGGATAACTGTTTCTGTGCAAAATCAGTGCAAGTTATGCGAGCAGCACAGATGTAACAATAGGAACTCACATGTGTACTAAGCTTATTTCCAGCCAGGCACTTTTCTAAGTGCTTTGTGTAATCTAATTCTCAATTTCTCACGGTAACCTCAAGGGCTAGGTACTATTACCGTCCCCATTTTATCAATGAGACCACAATGATACCAAAAGATTAAGTAACTTGCCCAAGGTCACACGGCAAGAAATTAGCAAAGCCAAGATTTGATCCCAGACCCACTGGCTCTAAAGTCCGTGTTCTTGATCACCACACTATCCAGCAGCTAGCCGCCCATTCAAGCCTTCACCACATCCCACACCTGTGTTCTGCGCTGGAGATAGAATGATGAATTTCACACAGCTGAGGAAAGAGACATAGCAGGCTGAGGGCAATGCCTTAACAGGGTCATCCGACTGGGACTGGAAGATATGACATCCATGCTAACTCTTGGACTTGTGGCAGATAACTAGGCAGGAGGGCAGACAGGGGCGAGGAGGAGAAACTCCATTCAGACAGAGGGTACATAATGTAGAAAGTTTCAAGGCAGGAAAGAACGTGGCTCCCTCAAGGAACAGTAAGTAGTTTAATCCAGGTGGCATAGCGAGACCACAGGTAACAAAGGGTGGGGACACCCAGCAATGCCAAGGCCAGAAAGAAAGAAGGCAGAAATAACATCACAAAGGGCCTTGTGGGCTGCCTAAGGAGTGGGGATTTACCTGAAATTCTGCAATAAACAACTGAAGAATTTTACACAAAGAAATAAAATGATCAGATCTTGTCCGCAGCTCACTGGCTATTACAAAGAGACTAGATTGGAGAGGACAGAGAACTGAAACAGGGAGACTAGCCAGAAGCTGCTACTGTCCATCAAAACTGTGCTAAGAGGCCGTGTGCCAGAATCATGTATCCTTACAACCACAGCAACGGGAAATTTCTAAAACCAAGGTGATGGAGAGGAGCAGATTTGGGGTCACACAGCAGCACTGCGCTCCAGCTCTTCCCAGCAGCCTCTCAGGGGCTGGTGTCCTGAGGTTATGTCCCAGGGTCTTGAAAAAAGCCAGAAACAGCACCTTCTCACTAGGGAAGAAACACACACACACCCCTTCTTTCCCAAGCCCCTCGCCACCCAAACAATTCTTAAAATTCTGATGTTAATCACATTGGGAGCATTTCCTTTTACTTATTAAAATGTGCTTGCATTTCAGCCAGAGAGATTTAGATGGTAACTGGTTTCTATAAGCCTGGAAGTATTTCTGAAGGATTATGATTCAACATGAAATGCACATTCTTGACCTTATTATCTCCAACTTTCCTGGGTCTGGCCAAAGGTCCTCAGAAAAGGCTTTTTAAACAAAGATCCTGGTGTGAACTGCTGCTGAGCTTTGTTCTTTCATTTTTCATGCCTTGTAAATAATTCCTGTTTAAATTCAAAACTTCCTCAGTTGTGTCTCTACAGATTCCTTCACAGAATCCTTGCTCTCTTCCCATGTGAACTGAGGTTAAAAACATGACATACAAGCAGATGATGTTCAAGTCACCGGCATCTTGTATTCTTCCAAATTCAATGTTAAAACGTTCAAAAAACATTATGTCAATAAGGCTCCATTCCCCCCTAAACGTACATTGTTGATTCTACCAAAATGGAATACCTTTTTGGAGTTGAAAACATTGACCAGCTCTGGGTCTCCGAGATTGAGTCTGGAAGGCACCTCCCACATTGAACCTACCTGTCTGCGTTTTTTGGCTTCAAGTATTAAAGCTTCCTTTGGCAGAAATCCCTTTGAACACCAATAGGGTGCGTTGCTTTTCTTCTTCTTCTTCTTTTTTTTTTTTTTTTTTTTTAACTTTTTAGTTAATTCGTTAATAACCTCCTGACTAGGAGGGCTGGTTAGGATGTTCAGGTCAAAGGACAGTGGGATGCTGAACCCACAACCCCACATCCTCATTGGCCCCCATCGCACTCCCCGTCGCCCCCACCCCCAAAGTCTTTGCTTCCAAACCATTGAGTCCTCCCGCAAATGCCCTGGAAACTCTTCTCCGGGAAATCCCGGCTGTCCCGCCTACCGCCCGCGCATGGAAGCGCCTGATGACAATCAGGATACCACCAAGGGTTCCTCCCTGCGCGTCCCTCTGGGATCTGAGATGACCAAGACCTCGAATGGAAGGGGGTCGTCCTAAGAATTGAGGGAAGCGAGCTTTACCTTGACGAAGAGGGTGATGTCGTGCTCCTGCCCCAGGGCCCGGGGCTCGGACGCCTCTCCGTCCTCCCGGCGGCCGTTCACGCGCGCGGCCTCGCCGCTACCCTCGGCGGGGCCCTCCTCGGCCAGGTGGTTGCTGAGCTGGGCCTCAGGCTCCGCGGCGCCCCTGGAGGCCTCCCCATGTGGGCTGCTGTCGGGGGATTCCTCTTCGCCCCCCGCTGCTTCCTCCTCCCTTGGCCCCTCCGGGCTCCGCTCTCGTCTCTCTTCGTCCTCCCCCGGCTCCTGCTGTGGCCCATCCCCTACCCTGTCCTCGCCAGCGTCTGCCCTTGCGTCCCCGGGGGCCGCTTCTTCGGACCCCTTTACCCCCGGGACCTCCGCCTCCTCCGCTGCGTCCCAGGCGAGCTCACCGGGGCTGCGCCCCGCACTCTCCCCGGCTGCGACCTCAATTGCCTCGGCCTGGGGCGAGAGGCTGCCGTCCCCCGATTGCTGCGGCTCACCCGAGACCCGGCGCGCCCTTCCTGCCGGACCCTCGGCGTCCATGCTGTCCCCCGCCGGGCCTTCGGCTTCTACGCTGTCCCCCGCCGGGACCCCCGCTTCTACGCCGTCCCCCGCCGGGTCCCCCGCCTCTACGCTGTCCCCCACCCGGCCCTCCGCGTCTACGCTGTCCCCCGCCGGACCTTCCGCGTCTACGCTGTCCCCCACCCGGCCCTCCGCGTCTACGCTGTCCCCCGCCGGGCCCTCGGCTTGTATGTTGTCCCCCAGCGGGCCCTCCGCGTCTACGCTGTCCCCCGCCGGACCTTCCGCGTCTACGCTGTCCCCCACCCGGCCCTCCGCCTCTACGCTGTCGCCCGCCGGGCCCTCCGCTTCTATGTTGTCCCCCAGCGGGCCCTCCGCGTCTACGCTGTCCCCCGCCTCCCCGGACGCGCTACCTTCCGGGACCTCAGGCCTCTGCTCCGCCTCCTCCTGCCTCTCGGGGGCCGCAGAGTCCTCGGGCTCCCTCTGAGCCTCCCCGCGGGGCTCGCCCTGCGCGCCGCGTCCCGGGCTCGCCCCCTCCACCTGCTGCGCGCCGCTTGTCTCCTCCCCTCCTTGGGGCACCTCGGCACCCTCCGGGGCTCCCTCCTCGGCCTCAGTCTCGCCGTGCGCCCCCCTCGTGCCCCGCGCCTCGGCCTCCGGGCCCCTGTCTGGCCCGCCGCCTCCTGCCTCCTTCACAGCGGCGGCGCCCCTCGGCGCCTCCTCTGCGCCCTCGCTCCCCTCCGGCCCTTCTGCCTCCCCGCCCGCGGCTCCTGGCTCTCCGGGTCTCTCAGCCAGAGGCGCGGGGACCTCCGGCGGCCCCTGGGGACCCGGGGCAACCCCCTCCGGCTCCGCGGCCTCGGCCATGGCCGCAGATCCCTGTCCTTGATCGGGACTCCTTCCTTGACGCTGCTTAAGGGTCGGTGGCGCTGGGCAAGGGGCGTGCTACGGGGCCCTCTGTGCTCCTTGAAGGACGCCGGCTCCGGGATCCTGCGGCAAAGGTTTAGCCGGGGCACTGGGGCCTTGCGCAGGACCCGCAGGGCAAACTCCGCTTGGCCCCAAGCCTCTGCGCCCCTTCTGCCCAGCTGAAACTCCCTGGACTCTTCCTCCACTGCTGGAGCTTCTCCCCGATTGCGCGTCTGCTTCCCACCGGGACCCCAATCTCGCCCGCGGGCCGCGGAGGTGCAGTGCACGGCTGGAGAGGGCTGCTTCGCTCCTGCGCCTTTGGAAGTGCCCGGCCCGCTGTCCGCTGTCCTGGGGTTGACCAGAAGTCCTTGGTGCCAACTCCATCCCCTGGGGCTTGGGCGGGGTTTGTCTTCCCCTCCTCCCTCCTTTGTTTGGGTAGCCTAGGAGCTTGGCCAATGACAGCCTTTCTCGTGACCCTTGTGGATGTTGATGAAAAGATTCTGGTTCTCCTGGCCGCTTGGGTGTTGTTCTCTAGAATGGCTTCAAGTTCCAGAGTCACTTAAATCACCCCCTCCAAACACACACCCCGACACCCAAACACCTAATCCCCACCTTACCCCAGGAGTGAAGCATCAAGCTCCCCCGGTACCCAACTGAAGATGTCCACATTGTGCCTGATGTCCAAGAGCAAGGGTGTAAATCCCTGAGAGAAGAAGCTGGGGAGGCTACGCTGGCCGCCTTCCCATGTCTGCAGGGCCCCCGGAGAGGTTCCAGAGGCCCCTCATATAGACGCACAAGGAGCCAGTCGAGTTTCTCTGACCAGAGATGGGCGCTGTTGTCCATGAGGGTCCGCTTCTCCGGGCCTGTCTGGAGGATCGTGGGAGCCCTGCGCTGGAAAAAGGTTACACCTTCATCTCCCGGGTCTCTTAAGACTGTAAGAGTCTGTGTATCTTGCTGATTCTCCTAGATTTCTAAACTCACCACCAGTGCTTCTGCCTCCAAGTTAAGAGCTTGGGAATCTGGAGGTGGAGAAAAGAAAATCCAAGATGTGAAAGAGGGGAGCTATGGAATTCCCTGGGTTAGGGTTCTCCCAGGATCACAGACCCAATACCTACTTTAAAAAGGAAGTTATTATGGTGAAAAGTATGTCGTAAGTTTATTATAAGCCAGGCTACTTCTAGTGGGTTACCAAGAAACTGGGTTACCCAAGGTGGCACTATGTAAATGTGGTGGAACGGGGATCCCAGCTCAAGACTGACTTGATTCATCAGGCTTTATATGGCTTTGATATTGGCCTAAGATACATGAGCCCCTCATGCCCACAGAAGGTTGTTTTCGTTGAAAGAGCTGGGTGTGCCTTTGATGTGGCTTGGGGTCACACCTTTGGCCATGAACATAATGTGTCTCCTTCTACTTCCCATTGCTCATCACTGATGGATGACAGGACAGGAGCCCAGAGACACTCAGCTTCATGCTACCTTTCTCCAAGGCTGTGCTCTGTCTGGGTAGGTACAGGCCAGAAGCTTCATCACCACAAAGTGGCATCTAGTCAAAGCATGACACTCACACAGGTGAGCCAGAGATGCACGTGAGCCGTAAAAGCTCTAGGCACCTAGAAAAGGAATCCTGCTGCATTCACCGGGGCAAGGTAGCAGCCATCACCCTTATCTTGTAAAGAAAGATGAAGCCAGCACGTTCAGCCCGGAACAGCAAACACAGTACAGGTTTACAGTGCTTTATGCAAATCCCATGAGCCCGGATGTGTTTCAGAAAACAGAATTGTTAGAAAGATGATTGAGTGATTTTACTGTATATTACATAACACAGAACATCACTTTGTGATCAAACACATTAATATTTCTGCAGTAAGACAGGCATCACATTTGGTGAGATATGGTAAAATCATACAAGCTTCAGGCCCCCCACCCCCAGTTTAGGTTCACCTCCAGCTGAGTTCAAGCCTTTCTGGTTCTGATTCTAGATGAGTTCCCAAAACAGCTTTCAGTATTCAGAGCCTTTTAGGATTTCAGAATGTGTATAAAAGGATTGTGGACCTGTGAACCATTGAAGGGCTCTGGGTTTATTTGCGCTGCTTAGAAAAATGTGAGATTAGTTAGATACATAACTTTGTCCTTAATAACAAACCGTCTTCAATGCTCAATGTTTACAAAGAACCAAATTAAAGACACTCATGCGAGTAATAATATTTAGCAAATTCTTTTAGCAAAGTCAGTAGATAAGAATTTCTGTCAATAGAGTGTCTTGTGACATTAGCTTACCCCCCAAAGTATAAAACTAACTGAGGAAAGTATTTTCCAAAACTAGTTCAGGTTGGTGCATATGTATTTGAAGGCACGTGTGTATTCAGTCATTCAGGAAATATTTCATAAACTCTAACTCAATCAAACTTGATAGAAATGTGCTGGCTATTGGGGGGGGGTGTGGTTGGAATATCTAGAAAAACCTCCTTTTGAATTGAGCTAAAGATGATCAGCTACTGTTTGCAGACTTGGCACAGTCGGAAACAAAGCTGTTGGCTGAGTGGCTGAGAACTGGCCTGAATAATGTCCTTGCAGAAAAACAATGCTAATAAAGTCTATTCTGTCCTGGAAACTGATCCTGTGGATCACACAAGGCTATTTGATCTTATAGGGTTTGGATTTATTCTTTTATAGGGTTTGGGGTCATTTACTCACATTAACATTGGCTCTCAAAATAACATTCTGTCTGCAGAATGTAGAATTTTTCACTTAATGATAATAAGCATTTTAAAATTTTCTATTATATAATTTTGCAAATTTGTTCAATCTTCTGAAATTAAATAAAGTTTGTTTTTAAATAAATGCAGGCTCAATGCTGAAAATGCAGAAGACAGAAAATAACAGCTCCTTACAATTTTTCTGTAACCACATTACCGATAGCTAAATACTTTCTTTTAAGAGAGAAAGAGAAAGAGACAGATTGTTCCAGACACTGGATATACAGCAATAAACAAGACTGGGAAGGTCCCTCTTCAAATGGTATAAAGCAAAAAAAAAATAAAAATAAAATAAGTAAAAAAAGAAATGAGATAATTTTGGATAACATTAAGCTTTATGTAGACACATATGCCAACGTGTGCACAGACATGCCCAAACTGAAAACCTTAGCTCTTTTCTTCCAAACCCTACATCCAACCTGCCAGTAAATCCAACTGGCTTCACTTTTTAAAAATATATACCCAAAGCCAGGCATGGTGGTGCACCTGTAGTCCCAGCTACTCGGGAGGCTGAAGCAGGAGAATCACTTGCGCCCAGGAGTTCTAGACCAGCTTGGAAGCAGCATAGTGAGATGCCATCACTAGAAAGTACACAAACACACACACACACACACACACACTCACACACGTAAAATCCAACCTCTTCTCTCTATCTCCATTACCACTGTACCAGTCCAAGTCACCATCACCTCCTGTCACCTAGATTATTGCCACCACCTCCTAACTAGTTCCTGGCCTTCGACAGTCTGCTCTCCACTCCACAGCCAGCTGATCCTCTTTGGAAATCATGAATCAGACCATGCCACTTTTATGCTCAAAATCTTTCAAAGGTTTTCTGTCTCACAGTAAGAAAAAGTCAAGTCTTTATGCATGAAGTATAAGGTCCTATAAAATCAGGCAATCCCAGTCTCTTTCTGGCTTACTAGACTTCTGCAGCCCCTAAAACACCAGCCTGCTTGCCGTCCCTAGAACTTGCTGGGCCTCTGCCTGGGATGCCCCCTATATTCTCATGGCTTACTCCCTTACCTTGCTGCAGTCTCTGATTAATTATTTTCCCCAAGCACTCCATTTTACTTTTATAAAATGGCTAGAGTGCAGTGGTGTGATCTCGGCTCACTGAAGCCTCCAGCTCCCAGGTTCAAGTGATCCTCCTGCCTCAGCCTCCCGAGTATCTGGGACTACAGGCGCATGGCACCACATCCAGCTAATTTTTGTATTTTTTTTAGTAGTGATGGGGTTTCACCATGTTGGCCAGGATGGACTCGATCTCTTGACCTCGTGATCCGCCTGCTTTGGCCTCCCAAAGTACTTGGATTACAGGCATGAGCCACCATGCCCGCCCCAAGCATTCCATTTTAAAACACAACCCCTACTCTCTGGCATCCTTCTCTGCCTTATTTTCCCCCATAGCAGTTATCTTCATCTGACACATAATATATTCTAGTTGTTATCTGTCTGCCCTACCTCACCCCACTAGGATGGTGATTCTGTGAAAGCAGGGGTTTTTGCTTGTCATTGCCTAGGATAGACCAGGCACATAGTAGAGCTCCATAAATATTTCCTGAATGAGTGAATACACACGTGCCTTCAAATACATATGCACCAACCTGAACTAGTTTTGGAAAATACTTTTCTCAGTTAGTTTTATACTTTGGTGGGCAAGCTAATGTCACAAGACACACTATTCACAGAAATTCTTTTTTTTTTTTTTGAGACGGAGTCTCACTCTTTTGCCCAGGCCAGACGGCAGTGGTGCTATCTCGGCTCACTGCAAGCTCCGTCTCCTGGGTTCATGCCATTCTCCTGCCTCAGCCTCCCGAGTAGCTGGGACTACAGGTGCCCTCCACCACGCCCGGCTAATTTTTTGTATTTTTAGTAGAGACAGGGTTTCACCGTGTTAGCCAGGATGGTCTCGATCTCCTGACCTCGTGATCCACCCGCCTCGGCCTCCCAAAGTGCTGGGATTACAGGCATGAGCCACTTACAGAAATTCTTATCTACTGACTTTGCCAAAAGAATACTTTAGCAAATTCTTTTAATTATTAGCAAGGGCTCAGTCAGTTCATATAAAGGAACACAAAGGAAATACCAAATAAATAGACGTGTGAAGGTCGCTATGAAGTCACTTAGAGACGTGCACGTTGTTAACCTGGCCTCCAACACTAGATTAGCTATTTAAATACCAGGGAGGGTTAAACAGAGGTGACAGATTCAGAGGTGGATGACAAGAAATGAAAGCGTTGATATTTAAGTAACTTTTAATAATTATACAGTCCTTCTGCCATATATTATAAGGAATCATGAAGCAGGTAAACTCGGATTACAAGAAAACCTTAAGGGCTTATAAACAATGTAAGGGTTTGTTGCTTTTGTTGCTTTTCCAGAAGGAATGGCCTCATCTCCATAGAAATCTGCTCTTTCTCTAGCAGGTATCTGCTCCTTTCAGAAGAGCCCGTGGGATTATAATGTATCTGTAACATTTAGATCACAGGATACACTTAGAGCTGAGTAAAGTTTCTCCTTGCCTGGAATTCTCCTCAAACAGTTGCACTCACTTACCTACAAGTGGCCCCAAACCCGCTTCTTAATCTGGCTGGCTTTCTTCAGTTACTTGGTAAGGTACATTTCAGTTAAAAGAAGAGTGTCACTGCAGAATAGGTTGTACTAGGAGGCAGGGATTTCAAAGCCTGCTAGTCAGTAGATCCTGAAGCACGTACACATCATCTTGCAGGTCAGTAAGAACATTACATGGAACTGACACACATGACAATCATGGTGAAATGGGTGGTTCTTGGATTAAATGGTCTGATTTAAATCCCTGCCCTATCTCGTAATAACTATATGATCTTGATTCAGTTTTTCATCTGGAACAGTGAGGGTTATAAAAGGAACCTTGTCATTGTCAGTTGTTTCACTGATACATATTTGTACATTATTTATGCAGTACATGTGATATTTTATTACATGCGTAGAATGTGTAATGATCAAGTCAGGGTATTTAAGGTATCCATTACCTAAAGTATTTATCATTTCTATGTGTTGGGACCAGTTCAGGTCCTCTCTCTTTGTTATTTTGAAATAGACAATATATTGTTGTTAACTTAACTATAGTCACCCTACTGTGCTACCACACATTAAAGCTTATTCCTTCTATCTAACTGTATGTTTGTACCCATTAGCCTACTTCTCTTCATCGTCCTACTCACCCACACTCCCTTTGCAGCCTCTGGTATCTATCATTCTACTCTCTACCTCCATGAGACCAACCATTTTAGCTCCCACATAGGAGTGAGAACATACAACATTTTGACCTTAACATAATGACCTTCATAGTGACCTTCAGTTCCATTTGTGTTGCTGCAAATGACATAATTTCATTCTTTTTATAGCCACATAATATTCCATTGTGTGTATATATATATACCACACTTGCCTTATCCATTCCTCTGTTGATGGACACAGGTTGATTCCATATCTTGGCTACTGTAAATAGTGCCACCATAAACATGGGGGTGCAGGCATCCCTTTTTTATACTGATTTCTTTTCCTTTGGATAAATAACCATTTAGTGAGATTGCTGGATCATATAGTAGTTCTATTATTAGTTTTTTGGTAATCTCCATTCTGTTTTCCATAGTGGCTGTACTAATTTACACTCTCACCAACAGTGCCCTTTTCACCACATCTTTATCAGCATCTGATTTTTTTGTCTTTTAGTAATAGCCATTTTAACTGGAGTAAGATGGTATCTCATTGTCATTTTGATATGCATTTTCCTGAGGATTAATGACGTTGAGCATTTTTTCATATACCTGTTGGTCATTTGTATGTCTTCTTTTGAGAAATGTCTATTCATGTCCTTTGCCCACTTTTTTTATTGTATTATTTGGTTTTTTACTGTTGAGTTTTTTGAGTTTCCTGTATATTCTGGATATTAGTCCCTTATCAAATGATAGTTTATATTTTCTCTGATTTGACACAATGTCTTTTCACTCTGTTGATTATTCCCCTTGCTGTACAGAAACGTTTTAGTTTAATATAGCCCATTTGTCTTTGGTTTTGTTGTTTGTGCTTTTGAGTTCTTAGCCAGTTTAAATCCAATGTTTCTTAGCTAATTTTCTGTCTAGATGATCTGTATAATGCTGATACTGGGGTGTTGAAGTCTGCAACTATTACTGTACTGAAGTCTATCTCTGCCTTTAGATCTCATAATATTTGCTTTATATATGTGGGTTTTCTGGTGTTAATACATATATGTTTATAATTGTTATATCCTCTTGCTGAATTTATCCCTTTATCATTATATAACAACCTTCTTCATCTCTTTTTGCGTTTTTGACGTAAAGTCTGTTTCATCTGATATGAGTATAGCTACTGCTGCTTGATTTTGGTTTCTGTTTGCATGGAATATCTTTTTCCATCACATTACTTTCAGTCTATTTGTGTTTTTACAGGTGAGATGAGTTTCTTGTAGGTGACATATAGTTGGCTTGTGTTTGTTTTTTATTTATTCAGCCAGTCTATATCTTTTAAGTGGAAAGTTAATCCACTTACATTTAATATTATTATTGATATGTGAAGTCTTATTCCTGTCATTTTATTAATTGATTTCTGGTTGTCTTGTATATACTTTGTTCCTTTATTTATCTCTTATTATTCATCATTGTGGTTTGGTGGTGTTCTGTAGTGGTAACATTTGAGTCCTTTTTCTTCCCACTTGTGTGTCTGCTCTACCAGTGGGTTCTATACTTTCATGTGTTTTCATGATGGTAGATATTATCTTTTCATTTCCAGATATAGGGCTCCCTGAAGCATTTCTTGTAGGACCAGTCTAGTGGTGATGAATTCCCTCAGCTTTTGCTTGTCTGGGAAAGACTTTATTTCTCCTTCATTTAAGAAGGATAACTTTGCTGGGAATAGTATCCTTAGCTGGCAAATTGGGTAGTTTGGTTGTTATCAGCACTTGGAATATAGCGTCTCATTCTCTCCTGGCCCGTAAGGTTTCTGCTGACAAATACACTGTTAGTCTAAGGGGAATTCCCTTATAAGTAACTTTATACATTTTTCTTGATGGTCTTAGAATTCTGTCTTTGTCTTTGCCTTTTGACAGTTTGATGATAATGTGCCATGAAGACCTTTTTGAATTGTATCTATTTGGGAATCTCTGAGCTTTCTGTATCTGGATGTCTAATTCTGTTGAATTTTTTAGCTATAATTTCATTAAATAAATTTTCTGTCCCTTTCATTGTCTCATTGCATTCTGGGACACCAAAAATTTTAATATTTCATAACTTTATGGTGTCCCATATGTCACATAGGCTTTGTTTATTCTCTTATTCTTTTTCTTTATTTTTGTCTGACTGGGTTATTTCAAAACACCTGTTTTCAAGTTCTAAAATTCTTTCTGTTTGATATAGTCTATTCTTGAACTTTTGATTGTATTTTATATTTCATTCAGTAAATTCTTCAGTTCAAGAATTTCTGTTTGGTTCTTTTTTATGATATCTATCTCTTTGGCAAATTTCTTACTCATACCCTGAATTGTTTTTTTTCATTTCCTTGCATTGTTTTTCTGTGTTCTCCTGTAGCTTACTGAGCTTCTTTAATATCATTATTTTGAACTCTTCCCCTGGGATTTCATATATTTCTTTTTCATTGGAATCTGTTGCTGGAGTATTAATGTCTTCCTCTGGAGTTACCATATTTTCTTGTTTTTTCATGTTTCTTATGTCCTTACATTGATATCTGCACATCTGGTGTAGTGGTTGCTTCTTTCAATTTTTTGAACTTGTTATAATAGGAGAGGATTTTTTTGCTAAAGATATATCTGTGGTATTGGTTGAGTAGCACACAGCACTTTGGCTTTGATTCTTGGTGTGTGCAGTAGTATACTCTCCATATGATTTCTTCAGTTGTAAACAGAATCTGTGCCATCTTTGATTTCCTCAGTGGCTTAGACTGTGGTGTTAGTAAAGCCTATGGTGAAGTGTTTTGCTGGGGACAGGAACATCAAATGAGCCAGTCCTTGGGTACCAGTGCATTGATGACAGCAGTGGACTGAGCATGCTTGTCCTTGAGCCTCAGGGCAGGATACACTAGCACTGGTGTTAGCAGGTCCAAGTGAACCAGTTCTTGAGCCTCTAGGAGGCTTGTTTGGGTGGCAGAAGTGGCAGTGGTAGGCCAGGTAGGTGGACAGATCCTCAGGTTCTTGAGCAGTGGGCATGGTGTGGGCAGTGGCAGTAGCAGTGGTGGGACAATCATCTGGCTCTCACATGGTCCGTGCTGGTGTTGATAGTGGCTGGGACAGGCTGGGCAAGCCAGTCCCCAGGCTTGCAGGTGGCATGTGCGAGTGAGTGCCACCTGTAGTGGTGGCAGCAGGTTGGGTCAGCCCATCCTTAGAACCCCAGGAGGAGTGCTCAGGTGCCAATGATGGGGCAGGGCAATCTCCAGGGGCAGGGCGCTCTCCAGGTCCCCAGGCAGCATGCTCAGACACTGGGGAGGGAGGATGGAACTGGGCTGAGTATAAGCACTGGCTGTGTTAGGCAGAGATGAGGTGATTTCCAGGCCCCTGGAGAAATACTCAGGTTAAGATGGCAGCAGCTGCACTGCAGCCCTGCTGCTGAGGAGGGCAGGGTTGCTTTCAGTGGCAGCATCTTTAAACAGGTGGCTGGGGAGCATGCTCTTCAGCCCTAGGTGAAGCTGCATAGCCTTTTTGCAGGGCACTTGTAAACGCATAGCAGCCCTGCTTCTGGGGGTGGCAGGATCACCGCCAATGGCCCGTTCTTAGGCTCTAGTGGCAGCAGCCAGCAGTGGCACCTGGCTATGAGGAGTGGATGTTATTGGGGCTCCAGGGATGTGGAGATGCAGGGGTTGTTGGGACCCAGGGCAGGATGCACTCTGGTGGAGTCTAGACTCTCAAAATAGCACCTTTCTGTAGCTGTTTAGGACTCAGGGGGTGTGTAGTACTCAATGTGAGCTCCCTCTCTGGAGCAATGTTGTGACAGTGCATGGTCTTTAGTTAGCTGCTCATGCTAATCTCAGAGCCGGCATGGATTGAGGAGCTTTCCCATGGGTAGGATTGCAGGGATTTGCAGTGGAAATGTAGGCTGCTGGGGGTCACTCACTTACCCTTTCCCTGCATTGGGGAGCCTCTCCAGGATCCTAGCCAATCAAAACTGAGCTCTCTGCCTTACTTCTCTCTTCCTCCTTGCCTTAGATGTTTCCTATCACTTCTCTGTTGAATTCCAGCATTCTCTGTTATGTGATCTATTTAAAATATGATTATCTACTTGCTATTTTGGTCCTAGTTTGTGGAGGGAGTGAGTACCAGATGCCTCTCATGAGCCATCCTAAAGCTCCTCTTCTGTGAGTTTTAAATTGGATATAACATATGTATCAAACTTAGCACAGCATTTGTTATTGCTAACATTATGACCCCATTATTAGTATTGTCCCAGAGAACAGAGCCGTCACATCTTGACAGGAGTGTGTAATAAGAGCTGAAAGAGTCATGGAGAACTAGGGGGAACACTTTGTCCAACTTAGCCAGTGACAGTCCCAGAAATCATGCCTGTTGTCTCAAAAGCGTGATTGTAAGAGCACCCCCTGTCACTCTCAAAAATGCTCTAGTTTGAACAATGAATTATATAATCACTTTACCATGAACTCATCTAGTTAGTAAGAATTTTTTGTTTTCTTTTTTATGTTCCATGTGATCTTGCACTGTTCTCAAAACAAACTAGATTTTGAACAAACATGTCCAACTATTGAAAAAATAAAGGAAGAGGAGGAAGAAGAGAAAGATGAGATTCCTCCATGATTTTATTGCTGACCACTTGCCAAAAGCCCTTCTAGAAAAGTATGCTATAATATGAAAGGGAAAGACATAGGAGTATCCTAGGCCTCAGATAGAATATGGCTCCCTAGTCAGCCCCAAGGTAAGTGTGGAAGGGTATGTAACCCTTGAATCAGGCTGGCTTCTGGACTCCTGGAGACTGCAGTTTGAACCTCTGATTCTCATATTACCTTCACTTCTGATGCCAGGAGCAACAGTAATGATACTACTGGAGATAGAAACAATACTAAAATTTAAGACAGGAATTCCATTTTATACTGTTCACCTCTATCTGTAAGATATTTGCTTAGCATTGTGGTGTTTTTCTAAACTGTTCAATCCTCTGTATTTGCTCTCTACAAGTTTTTAAAACTTGAGGTCTCATTAACTATTTTAAACCTCAAGCTTATAGTCTCCACCCTCCACTCCTCCAGATCCCTGAAATTTATGGTGAAGGATGTTGACCTGATGAAACAGATCTGTGGTCATGGGTTTGAGAAGTGGCTTTCAACAAGGGGTGATTTTGCCCTCCATGGATCATCTGGCAATGTCTGGGCACATGTTTTAGTTTCCATGATTGGAGGATGCTACTGGCGTCTGGTAGGTAGAGGCCAGGTAAGTTGTAAAACATCCTACAATGCACAGACAGCCCCTCAACAAAGAATCAACCAGCCAAAATTGTTAATCGTTGTGTTAGAGGAAGGTCAGCCTCGCTCCAGCCCCCTTATTATAGTGTATTCCATGGAAAAAGCCTTAATCCAATGTGTTGACTCTACCAGGAACTTTGAAGGTGTAGATAAGGGAATATAGTTTATGTGGAGAGGACCCATCATCCCTACAAAATCTCCCTACGATTACCAATGAATCCTGACGAGAGACCCCTTGGGATGATGGAGAGATTATGTGATTTGCATCTAGAAATCTGGGTTTAAATCCCAGTTACGCTGCTTACCAGCTGTGTTATTTTGGGCAAGCTACTTGTTGGTTATAAGACTACTGCATTGAGTTCTTCCGAGCATTGAAACATATAAGATGTGAAAGTGTTTTGCCAGCCATGAAATTTATGCACAATTGCCAAGTAAAATTATTAATTTGCCTGCAGGTGATGGCTGATCCTATTGTTTTTCACTGCCAGATACTGAAATTGACCTCATCCTTCTATAATACATGACATTAATATGAAATAGTTATCCTTTGACTGACTTTTGTAAAAAAGCCAACATCCACTGCCCTGAGCACCTACTGGCATATAACAGTTTAGATAATTCAATTTCCTAAACTTCAATGTCTTACAGGAAACACTAGGGGGAAAAAAACAGATAAATAAGGCTAAAGAGAAAGGATGTCACCAGAGTGTGTCTGGTTCCCATATATCCAGAAAACATCCCTCATCTGCCAGGAGATAGGTAAGTTGTGAATGGCCAAGAGATGTGCAAGCTGGCCATTGTGATACTTTACAATCTTTTGCTTTTACCATTCTACCTGTGACTACAGATCCATGGAAAAAACGTGTAGCGTATCTCAAAATTAAGTCGGCATCTCTATATGATATAGTCATAAAATTATGATCTAGAAAGACTATTTCTATACTATTCACAAAACTGAGAAGAGCTATCCATCCATTATCCACCCATCCATCCACCCATCCACCCAACCATTCATCCATCATCCATTCATCCATCATCCATCCATCACCCATCCACACATTCACCCATCCATCCATCCATCCATCCATCCACCCATACATCCATTTATCATTTCATGAACTTTTTCTGAGGACCTTTCTTGTGACACAGACTCACTGGTGTTGGAGAAATAATCATAAACAATCCAAGGTTCCTGCCCTGTTGTGTAACTCTGCAGAATGGAAAAAGTTGACTAAACTCTTGAGTTTCTGGTAGTTTCATGCTGATGTCTCATGCCATGCTTCATCAATAGTTTAAATTGCAGATTTATTTTGAAGTTCCCTAACTACACCCTATAAGCCAAAATATGTCAAGACCACACTTTGTAAAATTATTTTTACTACTCGTAATTTGAACTATATTTCTTAAAAACTTGGAATTGAGTGTTTGAAAATGTGTTTATGCAGCACACATAAAATGAAATCATTTAGCTTATGATTCTATTGTAGAGTATCTTACTAACATTTGAGTTTTTCTTTTTAATTTGGTTGAGTTCAATCCAGGTGGACCAGAAAGAGATAAGGGCTAAGAAGGGTGGTCTGCCAGTAGTGAGAGACTTGGCTTTGCTGCATATTCCCCTTGGAGACATATGTGTTTGACTCCACGAGTTCTGTGCTTTTGGATAATCCCTTTCACTTGATGGGGTACCACTCTGGATGCAGACCTTGGATCAGATGGTCTTGGGATTCTTTTATCACTTGAATTCTGTATCCTATGACCTAACATCTCACATATTTAGAAGTCACTAATCAGAGTGGAATAAAGCCCAAAATCAAAGAGTAAGCAAAAAAGATCTCCCAAAGCAAAAACTATGTAATAGAGTTTGCCTCTTAAATAAAAGTGTGAATCTTAAATAAAAGTGTGAATGTTTTCTTCAAAGATGAACAACCTGGACTCTCATTTGGAGGCTATAACTTTATTCTAAATTCATTCTAACCTGTTATCTGGTTTCTTAATCCAGAATACATTAGAAACAGCAAAATAGAGGGGCTTAAACAGTTGTCTTCATAAAAACAAAATGCTTAAATTGAAAGCAAAAATAATACTTGAAGTCTTAAGTTTTAGTTATCAATATGGTATATTTTCTAATTTCAAATGAACAAAAAATGACTTATTGATTGAAAGAAAGAAAAAAGGAAGTGAGGAAGAAAAGGAGGGAGGGAAAGAGGGAGGGAAGAAAAGAAAAAGCCTGATATGCCTGGCACGTAGTCGATAACAATGAAGGAAAATTTCAAAAGCAAATTGATGATTATGCATGTTAGGGAAAAACAACATAGATATTTGGTTTTATTATATTAATGAATTGGCATCATATTATTGGGACAAAACCCCAAAATGTGAATACTTCAAGTAGAATAACTTAATTTAAATAAACTATGTATAACTATGTATTATATAATTATCAATCTTGCAAAAAAAAGACATCATATATCAATTAGAAATTTACACTGGGTGTGGTGGCTTACACCTGTAATCCCAGCACTTTGGGAGGCCGAGGTGGGTGGATCTCCTGAGGTCAGGAGTTCGAGACCAGCCTGGCCAACATGGTGAAACCTTGTCTCTACTAAAAATACAAAAATTAGCCAGGCATAGTGGTGCATGCCTGTAATCCCAGCTACTTGGAAGGCTGAAGCAGGAGAATCACTTGAACCTGGGAGGTGAAGTTTGCAGTGAGCCGAGATCACGCCACTGCACTCCAGCCTGGGCAACAAAGTGAAACTCCACCTCAAAAAAAAAAAAAAAAAAAAAAAAGACAAGAAAGAAAGAAATTTACATAGCACATTTATTCTCTTCATATTCCCTTTACTGCAGTTTAAATTAGGATTTTAATTATTTTTCATTTCTCTGTTTCAAGCGTGATTGCCAAAAACAAGATTAAAGCTGTTTTTTTTTTCCTTTAAAGTTGGTTTCTAGGGGAATGGCAGGAAGCTGAATCCTTGTTAATAGAGTCCAACAGAAGAAAAGGCAATGAATAGATGCAAAGACGGGAGAAAGCGAACCAGAGGGAGCAGCTGTGCATCCAAGTGCTGGGATTGTTCCCAGATCCCTTGTCCCCAGAGATAGCATTTGAACTTTCACCCTTCACCTGCCAACCAGATGTGGTCTGCCAGACAAGCACATGCCATCCATACAGCAAGTCCTCAGTAAATATCTCACACTCTTTTAGAGTATTAAATCTTGAAAGACTTTGAAGATTGTTCCATCTAGCTCCCTCCTGTAAATAAAATGTCTTGCATTTTACCTCTGTAAAGAGGGCTCTTTACACATCAGATCTTATTTTAAGTGATTTAACACTCTTCACAACCCTGGGAGGTAGTTGTTGTCCTGGAGTGGGGACAGGGGTTGCCACAGAGTGAAAGGACAGAAGTTGAACTGGATTAAGTTACAAAAGAATTGTGAAAAACTGACTCTTTAATACAACATTTTCTAAAATGTTTCCGACTAGGGCAGCTTGATCACTTTTGGGCCTTGAGTAAAATAACAATCTTAGTAATAATTCCTCGCAGTCATGACGTAAGACTTTGCACTCCATTTCCATGTAGAACCGTATTTTGGGAAGCCACCTGCCTCTCTGTGCCACAGCACCATCCAGCAGGCTCACTCCTGCCCCTGCCAGCCTCCCAAACGCTGGGGCTAAATTTTGTTCTTTTGAATAGGCTTCAAAGTGCAGTGGCGCAATTCGGCTCACTGCAACCTCCACCTCCTAGGTTCAAGCAATTCTCCTGCTCAGCCTCCCAAGTAGCTGGGATTACAGGTGCACACCACCACACCCGGCTAATTTTTGTATTTTTAGTAGAGACGGAGTTTCCTTATGTTGGCCAGGCTGGTCTCAAACTCCTGACCTCAAGTGATCTGCCCACCTCAGACTCCCAAAGTGCTGGGATTACAGGTATGAGTCACTGCACCTGACCCCTCATGGGACTTTATTGTCTACACACCAGCTGAAGGAATGAGCTGGATTCACCTTTGTCAATGGTGGTCCAAGCTTCAGCTCTGGCCTGGTCCACTTTCATCTCTGGCCTGGACCACCTTCATCTGTGGCCTGGATCACTGCAATAGCATCTTAGCTCTTCTCCCTGCTCCATGCTTGTCTCTAGGGCCTGTTCTCAACCCAACAACCTGAGCTGTCGTAATAATAGGATGGATAACGGATAATGTCCCTGCTCTGCTGAAATCCTCCAGTGGCTTCAATTTA
The DNA here is from genome assembly GCF_000001405.40 of Homo sapiens. Taxonomy (NCBI): domain Eukaryota; kingdom Metazoa; phylum Chordata; class Mammalia; order Primates; family Hominidae; genus Homo; species Homo sapiens. Next base: position 34,653,876 of record NC_000021.9, on the reverse strand, counting down.
CACTTAGAACCAAATCTGAAAATCTCCCGGGGCTCTGAAAGTCTCCATAACTGGGCATCATCTCCCCTCCCCTCTCTGACCTCTGTCTCCTGCCTCATTTTTCCCCATCACTGTGCTGCACTCAATCTGAACGAGCTCCTGCCTGGAGCACTCTACCCCTGTCTCCGCAGAACTCACGTTATGACTTCACCTAGCTCCCTTGCTAAGGTCACCTCCTCAAGGCTGCCCTCCCTGATGTACTATGTGAAGCACTCCGCTCGCTCTCCATCTTTTCATCCTGCTCAGGGTTCTATTTGTTGACTGTCTCCCTCACAAGACAGGAAGCTCCAGTATGGCAGGGAACCTGGCTTTTGTTCACTGCTGTTTCCTCAGCACCTGAGTCAGTGCTGGGTGAATAGGAAGCTCTCAATAATCATCTGTTATATGAATGAATAATATTTTGACTGAGTTGACTTGATTTTCTGTCTAAACTGACCAGATGTTTTAGGATTGTTTGCACAGCCAATGCAATTTCTTAACCAGCCATCAAATACGTATTTACTGGCAAGTTCTTCTGTAATTCACACCCAGGTGGAGGTGAGCTAGAAACTTAGCTTGTGAACTATCTATAAAGTCAAGAATTAAATGCAACCGCCTCCTTTTCCTTTCCAGGGACTCATTTGCATATCTTCCTCTTGGGTCTCCCTTCTTTTGATTTGCCCGAACCCCAGGAGTTTCCTCAGGGAGAACCTGCTCTGGTTTCCCACCTCCACCCAATGCTGATACTCAAAACAGGGGACACTTCTCCCCTCAACAGAGAGACCTGCTCTCAGTCCCACAGAGGCTAAAACTTAGAGGGGAGATGACTCTTTCTTTGACTCCAGTTCCCTCCAGGTGTCCCCCACATCACAGTTCTCATGGAATCCTTCCATGCGTTTACACACCCAGCCCTTCCTGGAGCCCAAGCTGGCCCCAAGAGCCTGACATTAGGGCACAGTCCAGCAGCAACACACCCCATTGCCACTCCTAGATGTGGGCTAGCTTCTTTTTAACCCTCAGAACAAAAACACTCCTATTCTATCCTGACCCAGTACCCTAGGGCAACCCCATTTGTGAGCCTGTCTCTCAGTGAGCCCAAGATAGCCTCAGAAGAGGGCCAACCAGCCCTTCCTCTGCTGAGTCGTAGATGGCAGCTCCTTTCAACAAAGGAAAAATCAGAAAGAAATACTTGCTTACCATCCAGCATAACACCTCTTTGGAAGGTTCTTGACTACATTTGTAAATAAAAAACAGCTTTTTAACAACTCCGCTTTTTATTTAAGTCCTTGAATTTCACAGATGACACTTGTGGCATTTAGTAACAATCTCTTATTAACATGTGGGATTGCCTTTATACAAAATTTTAAGATAAACCTAGGAGCCAGTGGTGACTCACGCCTGTAATCCCAGCAGTTTGGGAGGCCAAGGCGGGAGGATTGTTGGAGCCCAGGAGGTCGAGACCAGCCTTGTTAACATGGCAAAACCTCATCTCTATAAAATTTACAAAAATTAGCTGGACTTGGTGACAGGCACCTGTAGTCTCAGCTACTCAGGAGGCTGAGGTGGAAGGATCACTTGAACCCAGGATTCAAGTGCAGTGAGCCAAGATTGTACCACTGCATTCCAGCCTGGAAGGCAGAGAAAGATCTGCCTCACACATACACAAAAAAAGGTAAATCAAGGGCAGACCAGCACTTTTTTCTCCCTCTTTTCTTTGTTTTCAGTCTCTAGATGTCTTTGGATGAGTCCCATAACACCTCTAATTCTTGGTTTCCCAACCTGTACTATTGGAAAGTGATCTCTTCCCTACATACCTTACAAGTTTATTTGGGACCAAGTAAGAATCTGTGTGAACAAAGTTCATACACTGTGAACACACAAAGGTAAAATATTTTTCATTAGATTTTTAGTGCTCAAAGGCAGTGATGCCCAAACAGCTGTGCATCAGAATTGATAGGAAAGTGTGTCTGAATGAAAGATTCCTAGGCCTTATTTTCAGAAATGATTTATCCAGTTGCTCAGATGCAGGACCCTGTTGTCTGTTCTGTAGGTTCTGTAGTAATGCCTCCTGTTCTTTCAGGTTTGGGAATACTGCTCTACGGACCAAACATCTATACCTTCAAGTGAACCTAGGTCAGTGAGCAATCACCCCAAAAATCCTATCCCTTTGAGAAATAAAAGAGATACTTTAAATCCTATCTCTCTTTGAGAAATAAAAGCTTTGCACTCATTAAAAATTTTAAGGCATCTAAGACCAAGTGGGAATCTATTTTTCTTGTAGAGAATCTTTGACAATTATTTGAAGTTACCCCATGTGAGAGCTCTGGTGAGTGAATGTAATTTAGGTACATTCTGACCATATGGAACTTGGTACGTCTAAAAGTAAGTTGGGCACGTGATAGGAAGTGAGGAAGGTCCTAGATTTTTTTGTGGAGTGAGAAAATGGGAGATGAGATATACTTCAAAATAACCATATTTTGTGAAGATTTGATTTTTTTGGACATATTTATTTATCCTTGTAAGTGGTTTTAGGGCATTGCTAGTCTGTAACTCTCTGGTGCATGTATATGCATTACACCTGAAAAAATCCTGTTGGGTGAGTGCAGAAGCATTTGGTATACATAAAACTCAAAAGCCATTTCATAAGCTGTCTTCAAACAAGGAAGTTGAATTTTCCCAGAATCAAATTGGCTCACATTTCAAGAGAAACTCAGAACTCACAAAATACCCATTGCATTTTTTCTATGCCTAGCTAAACTCTTCTTTGTATTTTTTTCACTTTTGCTTTAAGTGAGTGTACACTGCTATAAATTCAGGTGGCAGCTCTCCTCAGTAGAGATAAGATTGGACGTTTCACCTATCAGAGGACTTTGGGGGCTTTGTTCAAGTTCTCTTGCATCAGATTTGAAGGCATAATTGTTAGACTGTTGTAAACTGAGAAGTTTCTGGAGTCACAGTAACAAGTAGAGACTATGTAGCTGCTTGAAATAGGTGGGTTATGCACTAATCCACAGATGCGAGTCTGCAGAGAAAAGACTTCTATGTCTGCAGAATGGGAGTCAGCAAAAAGGAGTCCCCCCGCTTCCCTCTAAAGTTGTAGCAACAAAATGAGCTGGATCATCTAATTCTAAGGTGGCATGATCAAAGTCCCCAAAAGATACATAAACAGAATTCAAAAAGTTCATAAGGAAAAATCATATTTTTATGTTTACCAACCTCAAACTGAAATTTATCATTTCCTTTCTTTATGAATATAGGAAATAAAAGGTAATAATAATAATTGTACTTGTGACTTTGTCCCCAAGAAGAATCATAGATTTTTTATAACTTATTACAGATGTTAGTCATCTCAAAATATTATTTACACTCATCACTACTTGGAAATTTCTGTAGTTATTAGACCTGCCTCTTGATCTTATTTATTGTAATCATAAAGAAACACCTTATGTGTCTGTATCACATATTTCTTAATATTTGATAACTATGTATCCATATAATTGGCTTCCCTTGAGATCCTATGCATTTTGATTTTTGCATTGAAAACATTATTCAAAGAAGGGTTTCCCAGACTAGCAAAGGGCTCATAAATCAGATGAAGTTAAGAACCCTTAAACTAGAATTTGTTTCTCTGTGGTACATTACGTGAAACCTACATTTCTCTTGAGAGGACTGCAGGTTACACAGGTGAACTGATTTGCCAAAATAAGACAATTAATGAAAACAACCTAAAAGTCTTAGAACTGGGGAATGGATAAACAGATGTTTCAGTATTAAAAAAGAATAAGCTACAGATACTTGCAACAAGACAGATCAACTACAAGTGCATTTATGAAAAGTAGAAAAAGGCAGACTCAAAAGGCTGCATACCATGTGATTCCACTTATAAGACACTATTTCCAAGTCTAAACCATCATTGGTTGGCCAAGGGTAGAAAGCGGGGAACAAGGATTGCCAACAAAGAGGGACAGGGGACTTTGGGGGCTTATAAAATTTTTGTGTTTCAATATATGTGAATTGTATCTTAAAATACTCTAAATGTAATCCATATGCTAGTTACCTGAGTATTCCTCATCTTCTAGCTCTCTCTCAGTCTCACCTGGCTCCCTCTGCTCTAACCACCTGCATCTGCCCCATCTCAACCCTACCTCCACCTGCTACTCTCTTCGCTCCTCCTTGTCTTAGCCCAGGTGAATGCAGCCTCTTTTCTGTGGTTTTTCTAACATACCACCTCCCAGAAGGCAGTTGGACATAGTTAGGACATAATTTATAGCCAAACCCAAACACTTCTGAAAGTGAAAGTGATTACTCTGGGGCCACAGGTGCAAACCATGAGGCTATCCTGGAAAACTAGGATCCACAGCTCCTTGCTATGGGAGATGCTCACTCAAGGTTTGGGGCCAGTGATGGGCAGCGGGTTGGGGGCTGGTCCCTGCCCATGTCATCCCGAATCCTCTCTCAGCTTGCCCGCTTGCAACCCCCAAATCCCTCTTCATTTATTGTGCAAAGCAATTTATCATCCCTCTCTCTGCTTCATTCCTCACCCTGTTTCAAAGTCCAAAAGCCCAACAAGGGGCTCATACTAGTCAGGTCTCTCCCCTGGTATGATTCTACTGTCTGCTCTTGAACCCCCAGAGACAGTAGCAGTCATAGCTAGTGGGTCATGATTATTTAATATGCTGAGCTCTTCCTGTGGATTATATCACTCCTCCCTTTTAGGCCTCTGTGAGGTAATTAAAATCACTATGCCCATTTTACAGATAAGCAGACTGACGTTCTGCAGCATCAAATAACTCTGGAAAGCAGCAGAGCTAGGAGTTCAACCGAGGTGTCTGAGACAGCAGGTGCCCAGCAGAACCCTTACATCAGGCCAACATTGCCCTTGCCTTGTTCGGGGCACGGAGCACAGGTTTGCACGGAGCCAGTGTTTGCTGTCTGCCTGCCCCCACTCCACTGGCATGATTGCATTGTTTAAACAACCAAATGAACTCAACAGCTGACAAATAACCCAGTGGTTTCCATTGTATTTGGAGCTGTGTGAGCTCAAATGATCAGTGATGAGATCTGCCAAAGTGTGAGCTCATGAACTCCGGCTCAAGAACCAGGAGAATGTTTCTCCTCCACTCATGATAACCTTGTTCAGAATTGTGAAGTTGCTTCCCCTCAAGGCATTAAAACTTAGACTTGACACCACACCAGTAATTTCTCTATGACTCCAGATCTGTGAATGCAAGCTGAAAATGTAAATGGAGAATTCAGGTATTAGTCTAACTATTCCGTGGCTAAATGTGGAGAGTTAGAAATGCCTCCCGGGCGGATTTAACTTTTCCATTTCATCCAAAAGCTTGATAGTAAGGCAAAAACACCATGGCTTTATATAACTGATGTTCCCTTCTTTTTTAATGAATTTGTTGACAAGCTGGAGGGTAGGTACTTGAAATGTGTTTTTCTCATAGAAGTGAGATTGATAAATGGTGATTAGGTGTCCAGAGACGTTCATTCATGTGAGTCCTGGGAAGAGAGGGCCGAAAGGAGAGGATGGAAAAAAGAGAGTTTCATTCTCCTTTCTTGGACCCCAAATCAATCTACCATAAATGTTTGTAAAATGAGCAAGTCTCTGGAATCTTCCCACCCACTTCTCTGAGGGCGTAATGTTATACTTGAGAATTGCAGGCTCTTGGTTTCCTCTTACACATGAGGAACTCCCAATCTGCCCAGTCTCCCTCCAATCTGCCCAGTCTCCCTCCCTTCATCATCCCATCACCTGCCATCCCTCCTGAAATCAAAATTCTTATCCTGTTACCGAGTGTAAGTTCTATGAAGAGTTTTGAAGCTAGAACAGCAAACTCTTTTATGGTGCTGACGATATGCCAGGCACTACTATAAACACATAACATACATTAGCTCATATGATTAATATAATCCTTGACGTAAATGCTAACGATGTAAAGATGTGGGATAGAGAAGGTAAGCAATTTGCCCAAGGGCACACCGTCGGGAAGTGGTAGAGCCCCACAGTGCAGAGTGTACCCAGACAGCCTGGCTCCAGCGTCTGTGAACCTAACCCCATGAACGTAACCCTTCCTAAGGCTGGGGAAGCATGTGCCTGGTTGCAAGCATTGTGCCATGTGTGCATGCATTTAGCAGTCATGCACTGGGACCTGCTGGTTGCCAGCCACTGTGCTGGGGCCAGGGACACAGGGGTCACAAGGCCATCTAGTCTATGTCCTTGTGCAGCCACATTCCTGGGGGGCTTCAGACAATTAGACAAACAATGACAACATGAGGAAGTAAATGTTCTGCATATCTAGGAGTATTTAGGAGGAGTGCCCAACTGGGACCCAGGGCCAGGCCAGGTAGATGTGGGGAGGGTTGGTCAGCTCTGAGGTACACCTGAAGGATGAATAGAGGTTTTGCTGGCCAGGAAAAAGGTGGGAGATGGCATTCCAGGCAAGGAAAGGGCATGGGAAAAACCCAGAGCAAGGAGTATGCCAGGGAAAAAAGTTGTCTCAGTGAGGATGGAGCCAAGTGTGAACAGGGACAGCAGGCAACTGAGAGGCCTGGAGAGGCAGGCAAGGACTTCCCTTGGTTCTTACCTTTTAAATTTCTTTCATTTTTAGAGACAGGGTCTCACTCTCTTGACCAGGTTGGAGGTACAGTGGTGCAATCATGGCTCACTAAAGTCTTGCACTCCTGGGTTCAAGCAATCTTCCTGCCTTAGCCTCCCGAGTAGCTGGGACTAGAGGCACAAGCCACCACTCTTGGCTAATTTTTTATTTTCTATTATTTGTAGAAATGGGGTCTCACTGTGTTGCCCACGCTGGTCTCGAACTCCTGGCCTCAAATGATCCTCCCACCTCAGCCTCCCAAGGTATTGGGATTATAGGCATGAGCTACACACCCAGCCAAGGACTGCACTTTGAAGGGCCCCACAAGCCCCATCAGAAAGTCTGGGCTTTATCCGAAGAGCATTAAGGCACCCCAAGGGGCTGCCCACTGTGGGGTGGTATGGACCGCTGTGCATGTAGAACACGCAGGAGATGAGTTAGGAGGATGCAGTAGCAGTCCCAGGGGATGAAGGTGGCCTGGATGATGCCTTGGCCCCCACTCTCTACAAATCTAATGCAACCGCTTCCTGAAATCGAATGCAACCGCTTCCTGAAAAGTGGAGGCTCCAACCTTGGGAGTCCAGGACCTGAAAATTGTGCTGGGCTCAACATCAAAGAGTAATGGAGTGGGGGGTGTTGTCTGAAAAGGGCCTGACCAACTGCGGGGCTGTGATTTTTTTCCACCAGCAATTCTCAACCAGGGGCAATGTGCCAATGTCTGGAGACATTTTTGGTTGTCACAGCATGTGGGGGAGTACTACTGGTACCATGCGACCAGCCAGTGTTGCTCAAGGCTTTCTCTTCTTTCCTTTCCCACATTCCCAGAAAGGCTACAGGGCACCACTGGCCAGAGTTGGCTGGCGGCTCAATGCTGCGAAAATAACAAAAAAAGAACTGCTTATATTTACTTAAAGAAACACTGAAAGAGTAAACAAGAAATTGATCTAAATGGTTATGTAGGGGAAAGTGTGAGGGTGGGAATGATTCAACTCTGTGAATACTTTTGTAGAGTGTTTTTGACTTTTGATTCCTGTGCACTGATTACCAATTCAAAAATAATATTATTTTTAGCCGGGCGAAGTGGCTCACGCCTGTAATCCCTGCACTTTGGGAGGCCAAGACAGGTGGATCACCTGAGGTCAGGAGTTCAAGACCAGCCTGGCCAAAATGGTGAAACCTTGTCTCTACTAAAAATACAAAAATTAGCGAGGCATGGTGGCACTCGCCTATAATCCCAGCTACTCAGGAGACAGGCAGGAGAATCACTTGAACCCAGGAGGTGGAGTTTGCAGTGAGTCAAGACCACACCACTGAACTCCAGCCTGGGTGACAGAGTGAGAGATTCTGTCTTAAAATAATAATAATAATAAAGAAAGAAAAAATGTTTTTTTTAAAGAGATTAGCAATTCAGATTTCCAAACGTTAATCCCTTCTGGCCTTTATTTGTAAACTCTGGGTTTTTTTTTTCTTTTTTTTTTTTGAGACAGAGTCTCTCTCCGTCATCAGGATGAAGTGCAGTGGCGCCATCTTGGCTCACTGCAACCTCTGCCTTCTGGGTTCAAATGATTCTCTTGCCTCAGCCTCCCGGGTAGCTGGGATTGCAGGTGTGCACCACCACACCCAACTAATTTTTGTATTTTTAGTAGAGACGAAGTTTCACCATGTTGGCCAGGATGGTCTCGATCTCTTGACCTCATGATCTGCCCCCCTTGGCCTCCCAAGGTGCTGGGATTACGGGCATGACCCACCACGCCCGGCCAACTCAGGGTTTTTCTAATGAATTCTCTTCTTAATGAATCTGCAGCGTCTTTATTAAAACTCCATTCTGGCTGATTCATATACCTCCTACACTGTACTTCATGCATGTTTCACATGCTTCTTGTAAAATTTTCACAACTGATGTAGACCCTATTTCTTTAAAAAGGCCCAACCTTCCCTTTAGACTTTACTGAAGCCAACAATGGACTCGTTTCAGTGAGCCTTGTTTTGTTCCAGGGCTTACCTGTGAAATGCATTTATTCCACCAGGAAGCTTTTGAAAAAATCAGTCATCTGATCCCTTCTTGGTATCCATAGGCTCTGGGAGGTCAAAGTTCCTGTTTTCTTCCACTGGCATCATCCCTTCACAAGCCTTTTTAAGTGCTGCTGTGGCTTGTCAGGAGGGCGGATCATATATCCAAGGTATATAAGCCCCCTTTCAGGACACGTTCATCTGTGAAGTGGTTTTTGGCAGGTGATCAGCCTCCAGGAATTTAAGGCCTTGACTTGCTGGCAAAAGCCCTAGATCATGGGACCCAAGCTCCCTGATTTGGTGGGTCAGCCTTGGAATTCATGACGCACCTGACTGTATCAGGCAGGCTGGCATGCTGCTTCTGTGCTCAGATAAGTGGAATCAAACGCTTCCCAAGTTTCCAGGGGCTGGCCCTTGGTGCCAGCCGGCTTCCTTTGGAGGTGATGTAAGGCAAACAGAACCCTGAGTCCTAGATTTGGGAGCAAAGTGGGATTCATCAGCAAAAAGGGGACTTCATGCTGGAGGAAATTCAATGCCCTGTCCAGGAGGGAGTTTTCCATTTCTCTAGGATTTGAGGAACATGCAATGCCATCAGAGGACACTTCAGTACCAGGATTCTTCCCCCTGGGGACAGCACGCATTTTTTCACTGAAATAATTTCAAAGTGCAATAGTTTTAACGATGCTGAAATAGCCAGCTGTGAACACTGAAATTATGGCATTAGGGCCCCTTTGTAAGAGGTAACTTAGTAGCTAAATTGGCTTGTTTTCATGAACTCATAAAAACTTCATTTCGGCCGGGCGCGGTGGCTCACGCCTGTAATCCCAGCACTTTGGGAGGCCGAGGCGGGCGGATCACGAGGTCAGGAGATCGAGACCATCCCAGCTAAAACGGTGAAACCCCGTCTCTACTAAAAATACAAAAAATTAGCCGGGCGTAGTGGCGGGCGCCTGTAGTCCCAGCTACTTGGGAGGCTGAGGCAGGAGAATGGCGTGAACCCGGGAGGCGGAGCTTGCAGTGAGCCGAGATCCCGCCACTGCACTCCAGCCTGGGCGACAGAGCGAGACTCCGTCTCAAAAAAAAAAAAAAAAAAAAAAAAAAAAAAACAACTTCATTTCACAGATACATTGAATAAAACCTGTAATGGGAACTAAAATCTTAGTCTGTCCATATAATTTTTCTCTTAATGGAATCTTGTGCCAATAAGTTAAACATAAAGTTTCTGGTTTAACAGCATAAGAGAAAGAAACATATAATGAAAACTGTGAATTGCGTGGTATTATACTATACAGGGGAGTTTGACGTTATCCAGCAAAATTGTATAAGCATTTGCTCTTTGACCCAGCAATCCCACTCCTAGGAACCTTTCTCAAAAGTACACTGGCCAAAAATGCAAAGGAGATATGTGCACAAGCTACTCACTGAAGTGCTGTTTTTATTAGCAAAAGGCAGGAAACAAACCAAATGTCCGTCAATAAGGAACTGGTTAAGTTAGAAACTGGTTGAGTAAATCAGGATATATGCGCGCAATGGAGATGAGTGAGTAATTGTTCCCTATATCACTATGGAATGGTTTCCAGGGGACAGTTTCAAGTGAAAAAAGGAAGAGAGAGAGAAGAGTAAAAAAGGGTGAGATGGGGTACACACGCAAGCACACGTTGTGTTGGGACACGCAGGCCAGGAAAGAGGGAGATGAGAGACCTCTAGCTCTGGTCTCCAATGAGTCCAGAGAAAAACAGCAGAGATGGTGTCTCTGAGCAGAATTCTAGAGTTTCCTGTTGTCTTCTTCTTTCCTAGGCTGTTCCTGGATCCCTGAGTCCCTCAGTGGCAGTCTACTCTGAGCATCATCTCTAGGTTCTGACCCCCAAAGGCAACATCCAGCTATTCATATCATGGCAACATCATGCTTCCCTGCAAGTGTCATTAATACTCTTCTACCGTAGAGGGGCTCTTCAGAGGAAAGGGTATAAATTAGCAGCCAGGCTTGTTCACTAGGGGGCATTTTATAAGATCATAAATGGTAATGGAAAAAGGACTTGGAAGGTAAAATAAATGAACATAGGTACAATTCTTTTGCTACAATTTTTGTGACAAAAAACCCAGCCAGATGCGGTGGTGCACACATGTAATCCCAGCTCAGGAGGCTGAGGATCTCTTGAGCCCAAAAGTTCAAGACCAGCCTGGGCAACATAACTGGACCCAGTCTCAAAAATAAACTAAAATAGGCCTGAACCCTCTAACGTGCATCTAGAGAGACATCCAATGCTCTCACTGATATCTGAATAAATTGCCAGGCGTAATAGTCATTCCTGTGGTCACTGTGGTTGTCTCCCTATCATTCAGCCACACCATGGGCAGGAAGTGTGCAGACTGGTCTCTGCTATAGGGCTGAGTCCTGGGATCATTCCACCACGTGCATTTCCATTCACAGCCAACCACACCCATCACCCATGGCACATGTGATGGTGGCACCCAGCACCCAGAGCCAGGCAGGACTTGCCGCTGGTGCTCTCTCCTAGCTGGGAACCAACCCAGGAGGCTGTAGGTTTGAGCACTCCTTCTTGGTTCCCTAGGGACTGGAAGTTGCACGCACTGTCAGCCAGCCATGGCTAAAGAAAGTGAAAAGTGAGGGAGTGAGCGAGAACAGAGAAAGTCCCAGGGCTGGTGTTCCACTAGCGTGCTGTGGCTCTAGTGACCACCTCTGCCTCACAGGTCTTGCAACTGAGATACAAAAACTTTTGATTCTGTGGCTTCAATACCAAGCTCAGCTCTGTAGGTCTTTGAAGTGAGCCCATTCAAGCCAAAGATTTGAGACCTTTGGACATTGTGAGGAATCACAACATGACCAAAGGCAGGTGGGGACTTGAATCTGCACATTAAGGGAAGGAAGCCTGCCCCAAAGGCATCACACATGACTAGGCAGCAGGTGGGTGACTGATGAGTCTGGGTTCACATCCTGAAGCTTTGCCTTGTGGGTGGGGACCATGCTTTACTGTGAGCCCTGCACCTGCTCTCAAGCCCTTCAAGGTGCCTTTTCCTCTCTACTAATGATCTGAGCAATGGACTTTTGTAACAGATCCCGGGGCACTCTAGGCTACCACCCAAGGCACTGCTTTTCTGCCATCCAGGTATCTGGGAAGTCAATTCATAATCAGTAGGTTTCTTGGAAAACATGGACTAGGGGTACAAAGAGGCATTTATCATCGATTATGAGAGAAGTCAGAAAACACAGTGCCAGCCTCAATGGCCCTGGGTGCTGAGATGCTGTGTCCAACACTTTCTGACCTTCTCCCTTTTTAAAAAAATTCTAGACTCCATGCTGTTCCCTTGATCTTTCTTCAGCTGTTCTAAATATTGCCTAAGCCACAGGTTTCTCCTAAGTTCAGTAGGTCCACTGAGACTTCCTAAGACCAAGCTTACATTAATCTGGAGAAGGTGGTGCAGGATTCAGGAGGACGAGAGAGACCTCAGGTTGAAACAGGAGAGTTTTTACTGAGTGTACTCGGGCCCAGCTGACTCAACGTCCAAAAGACTGGGCCCAGAACAAAGACAGCACCTGACTTTTATACACACTTTACAAAAGGGGGTGGGCTAGCTTGAAGTAAGCTTACAGTGGCATGAAAGCAGGGATACTGAGGCAGGACAAAGACAGGATTGCACATGACCGTTGCCAAGCAACCCAGATGTCCGTTATCTAGTTTTGCCTGGGCATGGGCTTATCCTATAACCTTTACTATGGTGCCCAGGCAGCTGTAGTTTGGGCCTACTCAAGCTTCTTATGACCTTTGTTGTACTTCTTAGAGAAAACAGAATACTTGAAGTCACTAGTTACAGAGAAGAGGAACCTACAAACTCATTTCATAAAACAAAGGAAATTTTTTTTTCTATGTTGAGGGAGTGCTGGGAGAGTCTTCAGAGCACATTAGATAACATTATTAGGACCTTTCCTGGGTCTGGGCTGTGCCTGTTGCTGCCTCTGGGACAAGTCAGCCTAATACAGGAAAACTTTTTTTTAAATTTTATTTTTTTTTAATTTCCAGCCTCAAAGGGACCAACCCATCTTAGAGACTTCTACAGACAGCCCGTCCCCCTGTTAGGTGACGATTTTACCAGTGTAGACCTCCCAGGATGCATTATCACTGCCAGCATCTGAGGCACTTGTAGTAACCACTTTACGCGGACCTGAATCATGAATGCTTTCCATGGAAGTGACTCAGAGGAAAAACTATTTTCAAAGCAAGAATTGGCAGGGCAGTGGAACTGATTGGATGTGCAGTTCAAGCAAGAAGGAAGAATTAAAAGTGATGGAGAAGTTGAGTTCCTGAACACCAGAAGGTTTATGGACATGGAGCTGGGCTGGAGAGGCTGAAGCTGTCCTGAGGTGGGGGAAATTTAAAGGAGTGGGAAAGGTGTAGGGGACAACTGTCCTCTTTGCCATCCAGAATCTAGTCACCCTTCTAGTAAGCCAGAACCCTAAAGTTTCTCCAATGATCTCACAGAGTCAATGGACATGAACTTGAATAGAACAGGTTGTGTGAGCTGCTGCAACCATCTCGTCACCACGTGGAGCCTGAGAAAGGCATGCAGTGGGAGGGGGCAGGGACGAGATGGAGAGAGATCAGAGAGATTAAGAGACTCCTGAAGCAAGCTATATTGGTTCCACCCCAAACTTTTCTGTTACATGAGCCCAACATATTCCCTTTTTTGCTTAAGAAAAGAAAAATAAAATAGAATATTAAACAGTGCAACTGCTGTAGAAAAGTTTGGTGGTTCGTCAAAAAATTAAACATAGAATTATCCTATGACTCAGCAACTCTAATTCTGAGTATATATCCAAAAGAACTGAAAGTGAAACTCAAACCAGTATTTTCACACCAACGTCTGTGACAACATTATTCACGATAGCCAAAAGGTAAAAACAACCCCAGTGTCCATTAACAGTTAAATGGATAACAAAATGTAGTATGCACATGCGATGGAACATTGTTTAGCCATCAAGAGGAATGAAATTCTGATACATGCTGCAGCATGGATGAGCTTTGAAAATATTGTGCTAAGTGAAATAAGCCAGGCACAGAAAGACAAATGTCTTGTAACTGCACTTATATGAGGGACCTAGAATAGTCAAATTCATAGAGATAGAAAGTAGAATAGAAGTTACTAGGGGCAGGGGTTGGCGGGGTGGAGAGGCAGAGCTGTTGTTTAATGAGTACAGAGTTAACAATGGGGGAAAATATTTTAGGTACAGATAGTGATGATGGTTACACAACACTGGGAATGTATTTAATGCCACCGGATTGGATGCTTACAAATGGTTAAAATGATAAATATTATATATATTTTGCCACAATTTTTTTAAAAAACAGAAATTTATTATCTTGCAGTTCCAGAGACTAGAAGTCTGAAATCAACATGGGGGTGGTGAGGGTGAAAAAAAAAGATGATCAGAGAGTTTGGACATTTTTAGTGACAATCTACTCTGATAAACCAAGCACCTGAATTCCCATGGGAATAAGGATATGTATGGTCACCTTTACCAATTGACTGACTGTTTCCTCGGGGTCTCCGATGAGTTGGCTGTCTGGCGCAGGGTGCACAACAGTTCTTAAAGCCACACATCTGTCCAAAAGCTCAAAGAGGCAATAGTACATCTTACACTATTGCAGATCTTCCAGTAAGTACATATATATATCTCACTGTAGTGCTGGGAGTAACATGGTGGCCTCAACAACCCTGGCAAATTGCCCTGTAACAAAACAGCACTGTGGGAAGTCACCTTTACCAATCATTGGTGCATCATAACGAGAGTCTCCTCTTTCTTCTATTCAGGGTTATTTGAGTTCTTTTGCTAATTTAACTGTGGCATCTGGCCTGGGAACATCAAAAGACAACAAAACTCCTAATCATCAGGGGAAGAGTCAAGTCTCCCTGCCCCAGGAGTGATGACTTATTACAACAGCTCTGGGTTGGTGCTGATGGGTTTGCATGTTCCCCTTCAGAATCCATCCTCTGTGGACTTGAACCTACCAGGGGATCATGGTGAATTCTTCCAAGGTCTGGGGAGGGGTTGGTGCTCTAGGCCTCTGGTAATTTCCAAACGGTGTCTCTCTGAAGGAGGGCTGCCAGCCAGCAGGTTCCAACAGGGTCACACCATCCCCATCCACCAGCTCCTGGGATTTGCAAAAACACAAAAACAACTTTGCATTAACAGTCCATCTGAAACCCAGAGAAAGTGCGACCAGGCCTTTCACCAAGATGTGAAGCCTCTGCCTGGCCCAGAGGGATACATGTGTACTCCAGGCTATATTCTGAACCTTCATGCCTGTGACCGGGCCATGCCTCACATGTCGTTCCTACTAAACTGACTTGATCATGTCGAGCCCCTGTGGTAATCCATTCTCCCTTTTGGTTTTGAAACAGGGTCTCTCGTTGTTGCCCAGGCTGGAATGCAAAGGCACGACCACAGCTCACTCTAACCTCAAACTCCTGGGCTCAAGGGATCCTCCCATGTCAGCCTCCCAAGCAGCTGAGACCACAAGTGCGCACCACCACACCCAGCTAATTTTTTTGTTTTTTAAACCAGGTACTGTGAGTGCTCACCTGATTCTGGGCTCTAACAAAGGTGTTTTTTTATGTGTGTGGAGATAGTTGTTAAATTGGTGCCTTGCTGGGTGGATGATGGGTGGAGCCTTCTATTCTGCCATCTTGCTCCACCTCTCTCCTCCTTTTTATTTTTTTAAATAAAAAGGGGGTTTCACTATGTTGCCCAGGCTAGTCGCAAACTCCTGGGCTGAAGTGATCCTCTGGCCTCCCAAAGGGCTGGAATTACAGGCGTGAGTCACTGAACCCAGCCCATCTACTCTCTTAGTGTTCCCATCCCCACACTGTTCTGTCTTCCCTTTACCAGTTTATCCTGTTCTCAACTTTGGTCCAGATACAATGCCATTTTTGTGGACCAACCTTCCTCATCTTCACTGAGGTCATACCTGGGTTCAAACACCAGCTGAGACATCACAACCTCTATGACCTTGAGTAGCCATTCATTTTTTCAGGTATGCATCTGTATGATGGGCTTGATAGTTCCATCTGTTTCAGGCAAGGTTCCCTTGCAGTCACAGGAACCACTCTAACTATTTTAAGCAGAAATGGATTTCATATAGGAGTAGTGTGCTCACAAAACCTTCACATGGGTCAAAGAAGCAGGCTAGAGAAGAGGCCTGCAGGAAAGACTCATAAAACAATACTGCAGGACTAACCCACCAGGGAAGCCACCTCTTTTAACTCAAGCACAAAACTCTAGAATCAGGAAGTGGCACAGCCCCAGGACCTCTGAATCAACCTTTGCTTCCAGTGATGTAACACCTCAACTGTGATGGAGATCAGGGGCTACCATGACAATGTTTACCCCCATGGCCCCTCCACACCGACTAGATCTGCACCAACAAAAATATATATGACCCTTACTGCCACTCCCTTCGCACTTAATTCAGTTCCAAAGTCAGCTCTCTCATGGCTGCACCTAATCAGCAGCTTCCAAATCATATGTGGAGCCCTGTTTGCAAGGCAGGCTGGGAAATAGTTTCTGTCTCTTCAGCTCTGTAGAGAGGAAAAAGCAGAAGAAGGTTGCAGTGAATGGATGAGGTCTCACTCACCTCAGAGGGGTGTTGTGAAGAGTGCAGCAAGACTCTGACATCCTCATCAGTTTATTCATTCATTTACTCGGCAAATGTTTATTGCCAATTATTGCACCGGGAGTTCAATGATGAATGCCGCACAGTCCGTGCCCTCAGGGAGCTTACAGTCTATGCTATGGGCTGAGTTGTGTCCCCTTTCTCAAATTCATATGCTGAAGCCCTAACCTCCAATGTGACTATATTTAGAGCTATGGTTTTAGGAGGTAAAGCTAAACAGGGTTATGGGGTGAGATCCTAAATTGATAGGATTGGTGACCATATTAGAAGAGAAGCAGACACCAGGGCCCTCTTTCTCTGCACACACACACAATGGAACTGCACTGGAGGATACCTCAAGAAGGCAGCTGTCTGCAAGCCAGGAAGAGTCTTCACCAGGAATGGAGCCACGCTAGTCCCATGATCTCAGAATTCCAGTCTCCAGAGCTGTGGGAAAATACATTTCTGTTGTTGAAGCCACCAGTCGGTGGTACTTTGTTATGGCAGCCTAAGCAGATTAAGACAGTCCCGGAGGGTTCAAGCCAGAAAGCAGGCAAGTCCAGCACAGGCTGGTAAATGCTAGTGGAGGACAAGCACCAAGAGCTCTGAGAGCACAGAAGAGGGGCACCATTATAAGCCTTAAGGGGCCAAACGAGACATTTGGGAATCTAAGGGTAATGCCAAGGTTCAGAGCGAGGAGAGATCCTGGCATGATTCCAAACACAAGCAAGTCAATAGAGCTAGAAATGCCCTATTTCTAGGGTGTTTGAGGAGTTTGCAAAGGAAGGGGTGAGTGATCAGGCTAGAGCAGATCCTTCTAGGATGGAATCATTGGAAGGACTCAAAGGTATGCCACAGGTGCACTCATCTACAGCTTTAATAAAGGTGAGGGATAGAGCACGTCAGGAAAAGAGAATGGAGGCAACCTAAGAGAGGCTAGAAAACTTAGGCACAAACCCTCGCTGTCCTTTCTCATTTGCACAGCGTGAACTCGGTCTTCAGAATGACCCACCAAATGTGTGCACATTACCTTGATCGAAAGGGAGCTTTTGCAACTCTGCAGAGGGATCTTTTAGAGGCAGATGAGGCTGTGTAACTGGTTAAAGCAGATGTTACTATCAATCTATACACCCTGAAACAGTGTAGACAAGCCAGCCCCCAGTGCTGCTGGCAGAGTTGCAAACTTTAAATGCCACCTTGTAAATCATCTCATCTTTGTCTACTGCAAGAGTCAGTACCAGACAGGGTGAACAACCATTCTAGTTTGCCCGGACTGAGGGGAGTGTTTCAAGAAGACAGGATTTTCAGTTCAAAAACCGGGAAATATTAGTTTGGTACAAAAGTAATAGCAGTTTTTACCATTAAAGGTGAAAACTTTAATGTTTTTAAATATTAAAAGGTTTTTGCTGACCGGGCACAGTGGCTCATGCCTGTAATCCCAGCACTTTGAGAGGCCAAGGCGGGTGGATCACTTGAGGTCAGGAGTTCGAGACCAGCCTGGCCAACATGGTGAAACCCCATCTCTACTAAAAATACAAAAAATTAGCCAAGCATGGTAGTGCATGCCTGGAATCCCAGCTACTCGGGAGGCTGAGACAGGAGAATCACTTGAATGTGAGAGGTGGAGGTTGCAGTCCAGCCTGGGTGACAGGGCAAAATTTTGTCAAAAAAGAAAAAAAAAAAAAAAAAGTTTTTTGCCATTACCTTTAATGGTAAGAACCACAATGACTTTTGCACCAACTACAAGGGAAATAGCCTTATCTTACACAAGATAAATGCATGTTCAGATCTCATGGGCACTGTGAGCTGCATGCAGAGATGCTGTGGGTGCCCCACAGAATCCCTGAATCCCCTCTGCTCTCACAAGCCTTGGAGGTCCTGCTGCAGGTACGTTGGATTCCCCTGAAGGCTGTTTCAGCTTCCCTGGGGGACAGGCTGGAAGTGCTGCATACTTAATGACACCAGCAACAGACCTCAATGGGAGTGGGAGGACAGACACACACCCCTGCCTCCTTACCCTTTGGGTGGGCAACTCTGAGGGTGTTCCACACTCCCCCACAAGAGGGCTCCACCATGTTGTGCCACCATGGAACAATGGCGGTCCATGGCTCCTTGCTGCGTCCTGTCTTACTTCCCTGTTCCCCTGCCTGTGTTTCCCAGGATGGCATCATTTGCACCCAAACCCTTAACTTCAGGGCTATTCTGAGGGAACCCCAGCAAATACCTGCTGCTAAGGATGTTTGACTCTATATGGATTTAGAGAAGGAGGACAAGTAGGGCAGTGGCATCATCATATTTGTATTTTTATTAAGAATAGAAACAAAAATTCCTGCCTTCACGAAGCCTACATTTGAGGAAGGAGGCTGTGGTGGGCAGAATAATGGCCCCCTATGATATTATGAGATACTGGTTTTTGTCCGTGGTTTCTGGCTCGTAACTCCCATAGCTCTTGTTAGAGTGAAGAGAATCTCTCTGACCTTCTCCTGATCTCCTTTCACCTGTCTTAATTGTGGGTCTTGAAACTCTTATTCCAGAGAGGGTCCTGCCCCATAACCTGGATGAAGGAATACTGCATGGAGACGCCAAGAAGAGCCTGAGGACTTGCTGGGCTTAGATCACACTCTTTTTGTCCAATCACCTTCCGTCCTTCCTTCCTTCCTTTCTTGAGTCTCGCTCTTTGGCCAGGCTGGAGTGCAGTGGCACTATCTCAACTCACTGCAACCTCCGCCTCCTGGGTCTAACTGATTCTCCTGCCTCAGCCTCCCAAGTAGCTGGGACTACAGGTTCATGCCACCATGCCCAGCTAATCTTTGTATTTTTAGTAGAGATGGGGTTTCACCATGTTGGCCAGGATGGTCTCGATCTCTTGACTTTGTGATCCGTCCACCTCGGCATCCCAAAGTGCTGGGATTATAGGCATGAGCCGCTGCGCCCGGCCTCCAGTCACATTTATATGTGGTTGTCCATGCTTTGGTCATTCCTATCCAATGAAGTCTCCATAAAAGGCCCAAAGGACAGGGTCCAGTGGCTTCCAGAGAGCTGAGCACATGGAGGTGGACAGGAAAGTGAACAGAAACTCATCCAGGTGCTGGGAGAGTGTTGGGCCCCCACTCCATGGGGACAGAAGCTCCTGTGTTCAGGACCCTTCCAGACCTCATGCTGTGAATCTCCTCCTCTGGCTGTTTCTCTGTATCTTTTAATATATCCCTTGTAATAAACCAGTGAACATAGGTGTTTCCCTGTGTTTCGTGAGCCTCTCTAGCATATTAATCAAAACCGAAGGGGGTGTTGGAAATCTCAACTGGAAACCAGTTGGTCAGAAGTTCCTGAGACCCGGACTTGGGGCAGGTGGGAGGAGGGGCCACTCTTGTGGGACTGAGCCCTGGGCCCGTGGTTTCTGAGGCTGTCCCTGGGTAGATAGTGTCAGAATTAAATTGAATTGGAGGACACCCAGCTGGTGTCCGCTGCAGAACGCAGAATTGATTGCTTGCTGGTGTGTGGGAAGTAATCCCTATAATACCCACACATTTGGTCACGGAAGTCTTTTTTTTTGAGGGGGGACAAAGTCTCGCTTTGTCGCCCAGGCTGGAACACAGTGGTGTGATCTCGCTGCAACCTCTGCCTCCTAGGTTCAAGGGATTCTTGTGCCTCAGCCTCCCAAGTAGCTGAGATTACAGGGGCCCACCACCACGTCTGGCTAATTTTTGTATTTTTAGTAAAGACGGGGTTTCACCATGTTAGCCAGGCTGGTCTTCAACTCCTGACCTCGAGTGATCTGCCCACTTCAGCCTCCCAAAATGCTGGAATTACAGGCGTGAGCCACCATGCCGAGCTGGCCACAGAAGTCTTCTGTGTTTATTGTTGTTGTGATGCGAGGGCTAAGGAAAAATGCTTTGAGGTTTTTCTTCACATCCCCGTGAAAGATGCCCATGCCCTAATTTCCTGGAATCTGTGAATGTTACATGGTAAAGAGGAATGAAGGTTGCAGATGAAATGAAGGCTGCCGATCACCTGACTTTCAAATAAAGAGATGATCCTGGATTGTCTATGAAGGGCCAATGTAGTCTTAAGTGTCCTTAAAAGATGACAAAAGAAGGCAGAAGAGTTTTCAGGGTCAGAGAAAGAGATGAAGTGGGCCGGGCACGGTGGCTCACGCCTGTAATCCCAGCACTTTGGGAGGCTGAGGTGGGCAGATCACCTGAGGTCAGGAGTTTGAGACCAGCCTGGCCAACACGGTAAAATCCCATCTCTACTGAAAATACAAAAATTAGCCAGGCATGGCGGAGGGCACCTGTAATCCCAGCTACTCGGGGGGCTGAGGCATGAGAATCTCTTGAAGCCGGGAGGCGGAAGTTGCAGTGAGCCGAGATCGTGCCACTGCACTCCACCCTGGGCAACAGAGCGAGACTCTGTCTCCAAAAACAAAAACAAAAAAAGATGAAGTGATGAAAGCAGACGTCGAGATGATGGGATGGCTGGCTTTGAAGATAGAGGAGAGCCTCAAGCCAAAGGGTGCAGGCAGCTTCCAGAAGCTGGAAAAGGAAAAAGAAATTGATTCTGCCTCTGAAACAGAACACAGCCTTGCCAACACCTTCATTTTAGTGAAACCCAGTGAGACCCAGTGGGAACTTCGAATTCTAGAATCGTAAAAAAATAAATAAATAAAAATCGTGCATTGTTTCAAGCCACTACGTTTATGATTTGTTATGGCAGCAATAGTTAACAAATACAGGCACAAAAATGGAATATTTTACAATATTATAATTACAAATCTACTATGTGAAATGATGATAAATGTTATGGAGAAAAATGGATCAGCAAAGTGGGACAGCACTGTGGGAGGAGGAAGG
Source organism: Homo sapiens (assembly GCF_000001405.40). NCBI lineage: Eukaryota > Metazoa > Chordata > Mammalia > Primates > Hominidae > Homo > Homo sapiens. The sequence goes on along the minus strand of NC_000021.9, from coordinate 34,632,723 downwards.
AGATGCAACAGGTGACACAGCTCATGGCTCCAAGTCTTGCCATCAGCGTGCAGATGACCTACGTGGCAGGGGAGCATCACATTTGGGGATTTCCTCGGTTCCTTCTTCCTTTGACTTCTCTGTCACAGCTCTCCCCTTGATCCCACAACTCAACACCTAGGGCATCTCTGGGACTGTCATTTTGGAGCTGGTGCTACACATCCACATTACTATCCCTCAAAGCAGTTGGTTCCATTTGTGGCACGGAGCTCTCTGGTGAAATTGCCCAGATATAAAGTTTCAACAGCCTCAGAATTTCATAAGGCATTTTCATTTTCTTATTTCACTGTCAACGAGAGGTCTTTTAGGCATTTGCTTACAGTCCACAACTTTAATCGACACAACCCAGTTTCAGTTGGACACCGATTATTGATTCCCTTCAAGATCAGGCTATGATGAACCTTTCTCAGGGTGGGAGCCCCCAGAAGCAGCATAACCACTGTCCACTTGTTAAAATGCAGAGAACCTGCTCATATTCCAGTGGAGAGAGCAAGTTCAGATTTGTTACGAGCATTGAGGAGCTGCTTGGATGGAACTTCAGTCCCCATCCTCCTGAGCAGAGGCATTCAATATTTATGAGCAAATGACATCACCTGCTGTTTTCTGTTTCATAGGAGTCCATTCGGATTATCAACAATATATTAGGGTAGCTGTCAACAGGCACGCAGGCTTCCAAGCTGGCCCCTTATTGGCGCAGAAAGAGCTCAACAGACATTCCCCTTAGCTTGAAAGACCTCACATTCATAGATACACCAAAGGGACAGAAATGCCGACACTGAACTGCTGTGTTCTCCTGATGTGACATAACATGCCAGTCAAATGTGAAGATGGAGACAGAGGTTGGAGGGATGCAGCCACAAACCAAGGAACACCAGGAGCCACCAAAGCTGGAAAAGGCAGGGAGGGCTCCTCCCTTTGAGCTTTCATACTCAGGGAGTATGACCCCACTAACACCTGGGCTTCAGACTCCGTCCTCCAGAACCATGAAAGGGTCAGTTTCCATTCTTCCAAGCCACCCAGTTGTGGTACTCTATTAGCGCAGCTTTGGGAAAGTGATCACAGGGCAGTCTAGGTGTGCACAGCTCAGCAGTGACAAAGGGGCAGCGGAGGCTGATGCTGCCTGGATTCCCTTCATCATAGGAATTCTCCTCTGCTGAGGCAAAGTAACTTAGAACCAGCCACTCACTAACCAGCTAAAGTACTTCACCAGAGGCTGGTGAGTCTGCTGTGTTGCCCTTAGCACCCCCGCCCCCCTCGGACCTGAAGCAAAGGCAGGCCATGGCTAACTTTCCATCACCTCCCTGCTTCTTGCCCAGTGGGTCTTCCCACCCTGGGTGGAGATGTCCCTTTGAACACACCCTCTTAGCCAGGAGCCCTCCCTAGCTCCAGAGTTGCCCTCCAAAGTCTTCCTCCCACACACTTTTCATGATCAAAGGGATACATCTTTCTGCACTCAGGAAGGAGGGCTTGAAAGCTGCCCTTATTTCCAGATGATAGGGACAGTCTTTTGGATATAATATTTATCCCCAATGCCTACAGGGGCACCTGGCCCAGAACAGGCACCCCCTAGGCACTCATTGCATGAGGGTACCCTACATTTTTTGGCCTATTGCCTACTGTGGGAATTCACATCCAGTACGTGTGGGCAGTACTGTGGGGCAGGGGCGTTTTTAAGCAAGCAGGTCCTGCAGTGCCTTTTTTGTCTCTTGTCTATGTAGCAGCCTCTGAACTCTCCAGATCTGATGATTCTCCCTAGGTTGATCGGCCTGATGGAAAATGTTAAGTTCCTAACCACTTGGGCAGCCATTTACCTCTCTCTCCTTCCTCTATTTCTTCTTTCTCCCAGCTTTTATAAAGGGTTGTGAGCATGTCCCCAAAGTTATTGGAAAATGAATTCTGCAAAGCCTTAGGCCACGTTTTTGAAAGTCTGTCTTCTACCACTAGGTGGTAGTGTTTCCACAGCTTCCTCTCCCTCATCTTGCCATTTGCTTGGAGTGGCCCCAAAAGACAAATGCATTTTATTCTCTGCACATTTAAGGGGAGAAAAACCCTCACAATTCGCTACTCTAAAATTGAAATCATTCTTTTAACACATGTCCTCTATATTACCTTGAAGAGGTGCGATTTGCAAACTAGTTTGTTCTGGCAGGTTTATTTTCCCACTTTAAATCAGGTGGTTTGTGGGCATATTACTCGACAATTTTTTGAAAAAGTGATAGATTGTTTTTAAAGAAGTTTTAGGTCTTCAAAACATTGAATGGAAAATATATTGATTTTCCAGGTGCCCCTTTCCTCTGCCACACAGTTTCCCTATTGTCAACATTTTGCGTTACTAAGGAACATTTGTTATAATTGATAAGCCAATAAAGATACATTATTATTGACTCGAGTCCGTAGATCACATTAGGGTTCACACTTAGTACTGTACATTCTATGAGTTTTGGCAAATGTGTAATGACATGTGTCCACCATTTTAGTATTGTACAGAATAGTTTTGTTGACCTAAAAATTCACTATTCACCTCTTCCTCCCTCCCCCTAACTCCTGGATCAATGGTTATTGATCTTGTTACTGTCTCCATTATTTTGCCTTTTCCATCATGTCATGCAGTTGACATTATACACTGTATAGCCTTTTCATCTTGGCTTATTTCACTTAGCAGCATATATTTAAGATTCCTTCTTGCCTTTCCCTAGCCGGACAGCTCATTTCTTTCTATCATTAAAAAATATTTCATGGTATGGTACAACACCATTTGTTTATCAATAGGTGAATACCTATTGAAGGACATCTTGGTTGCTTCTACATTTTAGTAATTATGAACAAAACTGCTATAAACATTTTTTGTGCAGACATAAGTTTCAACTCATTTGGGTAAATACCAAGGGATGCAATTGCTGGATCATATGGTAAGACTATGTTTACTGGGAAAGTTTTATCAAGGAAGTTGGCTAAAGGAAAAGAATGCCTTGAACATTTTCATCAAAACATCATCTGCAACATTGGGGATCCAGCTGTTTTCTAAGGAAACTTGATTGTTCCTGACATAAAAGTGAGGTGGCCACAGGGATCCTGCAAAGGGCCCTTCCATTGTAATAAGGGAGGCCACGGTATCAGCAAAGAAATGGATCTGCCTCCAACTTGCTGCATAAAGAGTCTATGTTTAGAGCAGAAAATAACCTACAACTTCAACTGTCTTCTGGCCACAGCTAATAAAAAACAGGTGCATGGTGGTAGCAGAAGGAAAAACATTTATGTTTATAAAATAAAATGGCAGTGGTGCTTCCACATTGTAGGAGGGGGTGATATGGTTTGGCTCTGGGTCCCCACCCAGATCTCATCTTGAATTGTAATAATCCCCACATGTCATAAAAGGGACCCGGTGGGAGACAGTTGAATCATGGGGGTGGTTTCCCTCATACTGTTCTTGTGATAATGAATAAGTCTCATGAGATCTGATGGTTTTATAAAGGGGAGTTCCCTCGCACATGCTTTCTCTTGCTTGCCACCATGTAAGATGTGACTTTGCTCCTCCTTTGCCTTCCATCATACAATATATTTGCCTTCCATACATACAGTGTATACCTAGATACACACACTACACATATACAAGCATGCATGCTGCAGATATGCACACATGCACATGTGCACATAATACACACATAAACACATATATATACACACATATACATGTGTATATACAGCATACAGAATCAGGCAAAATCCCAGATGGCTCTTCCAATGAATGGAACAAACGTCTGCCAGAAGCTATGACATTCTTCGTCAATGCTGCATCCCAAGTGAAGCCCTCTTGCCTGCCACCATGTAAGATGTGACTTTGCTCCTCCTTTGCTTTCCACCATGATTGTGAGGCCTCCCCAGCCATGTGGAACTGTGAGTCCATTAAACCTCTTCCCTTTATAAATTACCCTGTCTCAGATATGCCCTCATTGGCATTTTGGGGGTCCACAGGCTGACAGCTGACTCACTGTCTCCCTCACTACAGCCAGACAGGCGCTTTACTCCATCCTTCCTTGCTTAGAGCTGCCACTCACCTTGGGGAAACAATCTTATTCAATAGCAAAGGAAATGCATGTTAGCTACCTAGTGTCCTTAGATAAATAAAGGCTCCACAGACATGCAAGGAGAATGCAAGCTAAATGAGACAGACCAGACAAATAAACTAGTAAGACTGTTTTGGAGGCTGCAGAGAATAACTCCGGGGACCAAAAAATATTTTAATCAAATTAAAACTCCAGAGAGATATAAGATAATAAAGCAATACTTTAAAAAGCAGGAAATTTATGAAAAGGGAACAGAAAGCGAGGAAGCTCTTAAAGATTAAATATATACTTGCTCAACTTATCAATAGTGACAGGAAACAGATTGGGGTACAGTGGGAGTGGAGGTGGGGATGGGAGGAATTACATAGAAGCAGGAAGATACTTGCAGGAGGAAGGATATGCTCACTCTCTCGAAACATCACATTGTACAGTTTTAATATGTTTAGTGTATGTCAGTTGTACCTCAGTAAGGTGGTTTCAAAAATATACTTGCAGGCCAGGTAATCCCGCAAGCCTATAATCCTAGCACATTGGGAGGCCAAGGCGAGCAGATCACTTGAGGACAGGAGTTTAAGCCTGGGCAACACGGCTAAACCCTGTGTCTAGTAAAAAAATCCAAAAATGGCTGGGCGCAGTCGCTCATGCCTGTAATCCTAGCACTTTGGGAGGCCGAGGTGGGCAGATACGAGGTTGGGAGATCAAGACCAACCTGGGTAATGTGGTGCAATCCCATCTCTACAAAAAATACACAAATTAGCTGGGTGTGGTGGCACGTGCCTGTAATCCCAGCTACTTGGGAGGCCGAGGCAGGAGAATCACTTGAACCAGGGAGTCAGAGGTTGCATTGAGCCGAGATCGTGCCACAGCACTGCAGCCTGGCGACAGAGTGAGACTCTGTCTCAAAAAAAAAGAAAAGAAAAGAAAAGAAAATCCAAAAAGTAGCCAAGCGTGGTGGCTCAAACTTGTATGTAGTCCCAGCTACTAGAGAGGCTGAGGCATGAGAACTGCTTGAACCCGGGAGGTGAAGGTTGCAGAGAGCCAAGACTGCACCACTGCACTCCAGCCTGGGTGATAGAGTGAGACTCTGTCTCAAAACAAACAAACAAACAAACAAACAAAAAAACAAAAAAAAAGCTTGCTCCACAAAAAGCTATACAAGCATTGGAAAAATCAATGTGAATTTGAGGAAAGTGATTAGAATGTAAAACAAAGAGACCAACTTTTAGGGTCTCTTTAGTGCTCCCTAAGGTGGAGGACAGATGGACATCTCAATGGCAACCTCCATACTCATGGAAGGTTGTCTGAAATGTATACAGTCCAACCATTATTGTAGAGTAAATTTATTCCTGAATTAAGCCAGATGGAGGATGGCACTGTCAGCTACCTCAGAACTGCTTTCATGTAACAAATGGGACTTGGGTTAATGTTCCCTGAGCTGGCATTTATGGAAACTCTGAGAAGCAGCCTTATAAAACCTGCTCTTCTGTTTATTTGAGGGCTGTTGGCAATCATCCATTTATTCCTTCATTCATCCATTCATTCCTTCAGCAGTCAGCTGTCAAGTGCTTGAGGTTGGGGGTGCACATATAATTATAAGAAGGTGGCTGGGCATGGTGGCTCATGCCTGCAATCCCAGCATTTTGGGAGGCTGAGGCAGAAGGATTGCTAGAGATCAGAAGTTCGAGGCTGCAGTGAGCCAAGATTGCACCACTGTACTCCAGCCTGGGAAAGAGAGAGAGGCCCCATCTCTTTTAAAAAAAAAATTATAAGAAGATGCCTCTTCTCAAATGACACACACATTTGATACCACAAGTATCAAATGTCTACTGTGTGCCTGGCATCATGCTGTGTACAAGGAAACCAGCACAGTTCCTGTCCTCAGGAGGCTCACAGTTTAGTGGAGAAGAAAGAGAAGAGTTCTAATGAAGTATGATTGCTGCATGTCATAAAAGTAATTAAGAGGGCATCATATGATGGACTGCATCTTATAGGGGACCGCAGCCTTCATCTGTTAGAGAATTGAATGATCTGTGTTTGTATACCTAGTCCTGGGAAAAGTTCCTGGTAATCAGATCAACCACGGGATGAAGAAGGCTCCAAAGTCATCAGCTCTGCCTTCAAGCAAAGATTCAGTCTCGAAGCAGCTTAGGTGATCCACGTAAGAAATGATGCAGAGAAAGAAATGGTTCTGAGCTGAGAGACCAGGAGTGGGACTCTAGGAGAGGGGGTAAACTCAGCTGATGCGGCACGATGATTCAGCAGGGAAAGTGGACAGGACTTGGCGACTGGCTGTGTGGAGTGGGCGAGCAGGTCAGTTGGTGGGGGAGTCGGGGATAAGACAAAGGGAGCAGTTTTCAGGGCTCCTGGGTTTCTTCCCCGGTTACTGAGCAGCTTGTGGGTAGAAATCAGGACAGAGCAGAGTGAGTAGACTGGATGGGAAAGATGGCTTTCATTTTGACCTGTTGTGTTTGATGTGTTCTTGGGAAATTAGCCTGTGTTTCTGACCTAGGTAAAGCCCCTCAGCCTGAAGTCGCAGTCCAGGGGTTAGAGCGAGACAGTCTGGGAGGAAGCAGCTCTCTTTGGTGGAGTTTTGCCCACCATTCCCCGCTCATCCACCCTATAGGTCAAGGTCTCCATGGTGGAAGGTGATGACCTCCACTCACTGGGATGAGTGAAAAATATTAGCGCTTCTGTTTATATTAGGTTTTTCTTTTTTCTAAAAAAGAAAATTATTCCTCTGCTGCTTTATTATGTGGGTTGACCCTGGTGCTTGCTCTTGCTGCAGAAGCCAGACAGGCATCAGAGGGGTGCACTAGGCCCCCTGATGGGCACCTGGGGTGCCAGGTGGTGTGGGCTGACATGGCTCCACACACCTTCTCTGCTTCCAGAATTGTGCTGTTATTGCAGATCCCAAATTTTCATTAAGAGAATGTGTGGTTTATATTATCTAGTCTTTAACTGAGCCAGTCCTCACACAAACAGGCAAGTGTCTGGCAAGGATGCCTGCTAAGAAATGGTATGAAGCTATTTCTTTTTTTTTTTTTTTTCAGGATTCTTTTTACTTATTTATTTATTTATTATTATCATTATTATACGCTGTGCACGTGTACCCTAGAACTTAAGGTATGAAGCTATTTCTAAGGACATAAGCAGAGATGAATGGCAAGAAAGGAACAGAGCTGGTACATCTCCCCTCTGCGCATGAGCAACTGCCAGCCAGGTTACAAGGTTCGAGCCATGGTGATGATTTAACATAAATAAATAAACCAGCTTGACCTGGCCCTTCAAGCACAAGATGCCAGTTAACAATGTGTGAGAAAGTAATCACTGTCTGCCAGAAACTTGTGCTACAGTAAGAATATCTTGAAAACAGGAGTTTGGAAAGGTTTCCATCATTAAGTGATTTTATTGCCAAAAAACGATGTGTGACATCTATAAAAGTTCTCATATCTTGCACTTTAAACTAGGAAACACAATTTTATCAGCTGTCTAAAAGCTTCCAAGGGGTTCTGTGAGTTTTAAAACCCATTTGTGAAACATAAAAACGAACAACTTCCAATTAATATGAAAAAACAACTCATTGATGTCAAGGAGCATGGAAATTTACTCGGTGATAATAATAATCCCTTCTAAATTTGGTGGATGGGATTGAAAAATGGATATTGTGATTTAGTAAGCACAGCACTCCATGCTGCTCATGGTTCTCCACGATTTCCCAAAAGGATGAGGCATGTTTAATAACATTACACTGACTAAGACATTGTTAATAAGTCATTGAGAATAACAGGAGATTTTTAAGAAAACAAAATATTTTTGATTCTGAATAAATAAGATATATTTTTCATCGTTTCTCAGCCTTTTGGTTAAGTTCAAGTATAAAATACATTTTTCATTAATTCATTTAATAAATATTTATTGAAGTCCCCCTCTAGGCCCAGGACATTCTAGGCGGGGCAGAGTGGTAGTGAAAATAAACAGCTTCCCTTCATCAAGATTCCACTCTAGATGAAATGAGGATGACAGCTCAAGACATATTTATATTTGTGTTTATTTCTCTATTCTTATACTTTAAAAATTCCTATTTCTCTTTATGTTTTATAACGTGCATTACATATATTTTGGATAGAGTGGAGGAGACAGATAAGTCATAAATACTTGTGTTTTTATTGCACATCATATAATATACACAATTTAATAATACATTGTAACATATCTTATCTGCCTATATTGCTATATTCATGTATGATGTATGAACATATATTCATATACCATCTAGTACATATTAGATACTATAGATTATAATTATGTTGCAGCATGTGTCATATTATACATAAGACATATAAATATATTTGCTTATATCTACTAACATATGTATATATCGTAATTGCATGTAAACATTAATATATATACATATATTTGCATGTTGTATACATATTTGATACTCATATGACATTGATACTCATATGACATTGGTGTGCATATATAATCCTCCTATATTTTTCTAGTCCATTTGTTCTCCCACATTCCTAGAAGATCACTTCACATTTTCTTCTCTTGCCTTCAACACTCAATGCCACCTTCCTCATCCTCACACTCAGACTCCTCTTTTACTGAGAAGATGGAGATGAACACAAGTGGCTTTCACCAGCCCTGCCCCAATATTTCATCGTCCCATGCACTGATGCCCAGGGTATCCGTGGTACATGCTGCTTTCCTTCAGTGTCGATGGACAGATTTGCTTTGCCACCTGGGACCCGCCTCTCTGTTCATGTACCAGGTGCTCTCTCTTTCCCATAGAGATGGCTGCAGAAATTCTCTCCCCCTCCCAGCCCCGGTCATCAAGCTTTCCTCTCTCCTGGATCATCCCAACCTGCAGACAGGCCTGGGGTGGCTTCTCCCATCTTCAACCAAACGAAACCCTCCCCTCACTCCCACTTCCTCTTCCATGTACTATTTCACTTCTCAGTTCTCCTCACAGCACAACTTCTTGAGAGAGTTGCTTACACTCATTATCTTCCATTTTTCTGCTCCCAATTGGGCTTTTACTTCTAAATAATTCTCCAAAATTTATCTTGCCAAGGTCAAAAAGGACTGCCAAACTTGGAAATCCAAACTCAGTTCCCTGTCCCCACAAAGCTGACCTCTCAGCAGCGCTAGTCACAGAGGGCTCTTCCCAAGCTGACTTTCAGCAGCGCTGGTTCCCTCCTCTGGGAAGCCCTTTCTGTTGTTGGCTTCCAGAATACCCCACCTGCCTGGTGGCTCTTGAGCCTCTCTGACCCCCCTTCTCAGGCACCACTGCTGGCTGGTGTCTGAGTGTCACTGTGCCCCTGGTCCAGACCCCAGACTCTCTTGTCAACAGCTACACTCACTCCCTAGGGGATCTCAGTGGCCCAGTGGCTTTAGATGCCATCTAGAGCCCTGTCCCCCCACTGTCACCTCTAAGGGGTCTCTCAATCCTGAATTGCTCCAAAGTAAGCTAAGGATAGCTGTTCCCCAACCTGTCCCTCTCACAGTCTACCTTATCCAGGTTAGAGGCAGCTTCTTCCTGTAGCCTTGGAGTCAGTCTTGATGCCTCCTTTTCTCTAAATATGGCAGATAGGCCGGGCACGGTGGCTCACGCCTGTAATCCCAGCACTTTGGGAGGCTGAGGCAGATGGATCTCCGGAGGTCAGGAGTTCAAGACCAGCCTGGCCAACATGGCGAAACCCCGTCTCTACTAAAAGTACAAATAAAAAATTAGCTGGGCATGGTGGTGTGCGCCTGCAATTCCAGATACTTGGGAGGCTAAAGCAGAAGAATTGCTTGAATCTGGGAGGCGGAGGTTGTAGTGAGCAGAGATCATGCCACTGCACTCCAGACTGGGCAACAGAGAGAGACTCTGTCTCAGAAAGAAAAAAAAAATAGCGATTCTCCTCAGAGCCCACAGAAGGAACACAGTTCTGCTGACCCCGTTTCCCCATTTTAGACTTATGCCCCCCAGAACCATACATTTGTATTGTTTTAGCCACTAAGCTTATGGTAATTTATTATCGCATCCATAAGGAACTAATACCCTGAGGAAATCCTGTTGTCTGAGCCTTCAAAATATAGAAAGAATCTTACCATTTTCTTACCACTTTGGGTCTTCCATCCAGACCCAAGTTCCCACCTTTTCCCACTGGGATGATGGCAACAGCCTCCTGAGAGGTCTCTGGTTTCCACACTTGTCCCCACACAGTGTTCTGTGCACACAGCTCCCAAGTGAGTCCTCCTAGTAGTTGTAAGAAAGATCAGGTTAGCTACTTTCTGCTCAAGCCTCCACCAGCTCCCTGTCTCAATGAGGATGAAACCCAAACTCCTTCCTGTGACCTACAAAGTTCTATATGATCTGACCCTATCACTTTTCTGAACTTTACACTACTCACCCCCTTGATCACTCACCCAGCCCCAGAAGAAACCTATCACAGCCTTTGCAGTGTTGCTTCAACAAGATGAGCAGCTGCTGCCCCCAGGACTTTGCACTTTCTCCTCTGCCTGGAGTGCTGTTTTCCAGAAGTAGCCATGGCATTCTCCCCCTTCTTCAGTCTTCCCTGGTTGCTAGAGCTGAAATCCTCCCTCCTCCCTATTTCCAGTTCCTTTTCTTTGCTTTATTTTTTTGTTCCTTTGTACTTCACCATGCATATCATCAACATCTACATGTTGTATTTACTTATTTTATGTATTGTCCATCTCTCTCCTTCCCTCCACTACCACCACTAGGAAGTACACTTCATGAAGTCAGGGACCTTGTCTGTTCTGTGGACCGTCATAGCTCCAGCATCTAGATAATGCTCTGCACATAGCATCTGTATTAGTCTGCTTTCACGCTGCTGATAAAGACATACCCAAGACTGGGTAATTTACAAAGGAAAGAGGTTTACTGAGGTTTAATGGACTCACAGGTCTACATGGCTGGGGAGCCATCACAATCATGACGGAAGTTAAAGGAAGAGCAAAGGCACATTTTACATGGCAGCTGGAAAAGAGAGAATGAGAGCCAAGCAAAAGGGCCTTCTCTTTATAAAACCATCAGATCTCATGAGACTTATTCACTACCATGAGAACACTATAGGGGAAACCATCCCCATAATTCAGTTATCTCCTACTGGGTCCCTCCCACAACATGTGGGAATTATGGGAACTACAATTCAAGACGATATTTGGGTGGGGACACAGTCAAACTTTAACAGCATCCCAATGAGTGTAGAAGTCCCCTGAGCCAAAGTCAGGCTGAGTCAGGCCCGGACAAGGCTTGCTTAGTGTTGTCACTTTAGCCCTCCTCTGGGTGAGTATACAAGCATGAAGGCATCATTATTCAACACACCAGGCACTATTCAACATCACTAGCAAGTAAGATATGACTTCTACAGTATAGGGTAGAATTAAGGAAGGAACGCATCACAGCAGTTAAAACCCTGAGGGAGGACACTGGGAGAAGTACCAAGGATGCCCTACCCCAACCCCTTAAAGCAAGTTCATCCACCCCACGGCCTGCAGGCTGCATGCAGCCCAGGGCAGCTTTGAATGTGGCCCAACACAAATTCGTAAACTTTCTTAAAACATAAGGAGATTTTTTTTTGTAATTTTTTTTAGCTCATTGGCTATCATTAGTGTTAGCGTATTTTGTATGTGGCCCAAGACAGTTCTTCCGGTGTAGCCCAGACTAGCCAAAAGATTGGACATCCCTGCCTTAAAGGAAATCTGTCCTGTTGGGATTATGTCAGTGACATCAGGCGGATCTCAGGACAGGCTGGCCCAGCAAACACAGGTGGCTTCCAAGGGAAGCCAGGGAAACCTGTCCATAGGGCAGGGATGGGGTGGGATGAGTTGTTAATGTACCATCTGTCTTGAAATCCAAAGAACTCATAACAAGCAAAACAGTTAACTGGTCCTGGATCCAGATTCTGCCCTGGTATTCACTCCTGAGAAGCTGGCCAGAGGGGAAGATCTATTTACTTATTATTTTGTGTTAAGAGGCTGTGACACAGAAGAGAAGGCGATCTTAAAATGAAAACCTGGGACGAAGAGAATTTGAGGTCCTGTCATTCTGAGCCACTCCTCCATGGCAGGCATTAGCTGGGCATGTGTCTGACCTCTGCGGCACCTCTGAAAGGAAGCTATTTATATCACCTTTTTACACACAGGACCTCAGAGAGGTCAAGTGGCTTCCCTGAGGCCAGAGAGATAATAAAGGACAGAGCTGAATGAAGGCCAGGTCTATCTGGCTTCTGGAGAGTGTGCAATACTCCTGCAGGAGCAGTGCTTTTAGCTTGAAACAAAGGAAGACCTTTTGAACAATGAGCGCTCCCTGGAGATGCTGGGGCTGCTGACTTTCAGAAGTGGAGGCCCATTTGCTTATGTGTCCATCCCCCACCTCTGATGGCCTCAACAGGGCCCAAGAAGACAGCCCGCTTCTAGGCAGCATCAGGGTCCATCTTCTAGACCCTTCCCGAGGCGATATTCTCACCTTAGGCTTCCAGAGTTGCCTTACATCCTTAATTTAAATGATCTCCTGTTTAAACTGGCTTCAGAGGTTGTGGTTACTGGCAACCAGAAGACTCCTAACTCAACATAAAAGTCACATGAGTGCCAGCACGCTTCAAAGAGAACTTAGAGAAAGGTCAAAGTCAGTGAAGTTCCTTTCCACACTTAGACAAAGTCACCAAAATCTACTATTTTCCCTCAAATCAAATTTATAACTATCTTTCTAAATTAAAAAGTTTCATAATACCATCAAAAATAACAGAAAATTTTAAGAATGGGTTTTAAGAATGAACTTCGAGTAGGGAAAAAAAGTTCCTATTGCTAAAATAAAACAAAACAATAATAATAAAATAGCATAACATTTTTATTCATTTCATAGGTGGTAACAAAATAGAGCCTTCCAAATGAATTATTTAAGGGGTTTATTCATTGAAGCAGTCTTTGGAACTGTTCATTCATTGTGAAAGCAAACACTCAGAAAGTCAGCAATTTGCCTTCCACCTTAAATGAATTTTTTAAATGTCTATAATTTCTCAGAATGTGCCGAAATGCCTTTGGTTCATTTAATAAACACTTGGCAAGTGACTACTGAACACAGCGTCCTTTAATTTCCAGAATAAAACAGGATGCAACTAAAAGTATCTAGAGTAAAACTTTCCCACCTGGCAAATGAATAGGCTCATTTATCCACGCATAGGCACGTCTGCATAACTGGGCTGCAATTGATGTAAGAGACAGGTGCTAAGAACAAAAATAACCAAACATGGCTTTCTGAGCGCCTCTTCTCCTTTTATATTGGGTAATTGCAATGGCTGACATGAAGGAAATGTAAGGAGAGGAAATGATTGGGAGGTGGTAGGATATATTAATTAAAATGTGTGTCCTTCCTCCATTTGAAAAAAAAAAAAGAATCACTGAGTTTTTTTTTTTTTACCTATTTTGGTTCCTTCCCCTTCTGAAAAGCTGGATCAAATCAGCTCCTTTGAGCCAATGAAAAAGGAAGGCTCTCTACTTAGAAGCCAAAGGGGGAAGCAGAGATGGATCTTACGTGCTGTTGCCACAGCTGGTAAAAGAGGCCCAGCTAACAATTTCCAAAGAACTAGTGAGGAATTTGTACACAATTTATGGCAGCACAGCATCTTAAGAGATTACCCCTAGGTATAGTTGATTTCACCCTTGGAGATGTCTGCAATTGTGTGGAAAGAGCATGTTTTATTTCATTTCTGCCTGTGCAGAAATGACAGCTCATAGATTCGCTTTTTTCTCTTCCTTGGGAGAGGCTATAGTTTATTTTTATTTTATTTATTTATTTTTGAGACTGTGTCTCACTCTGTCGCCCAGGCTGGAGTGCACTGGCTCGGTATCGGCTCACTGCAACCTCCACCTCCCAGGTTCAAGCGATTCCCCTGTCTCAGCCTCCTGAGTAGCTGCGATTACAGGCATGCACCACCATGCCCAGCTACGTTTTGTATTTTAACTAGAGATGGGGTTTCGCCATGTTGGCCAGGCTGGTCTCAAACTCCTGACCTCAGGTGATCCACCTGCCTCGGCCTCCCAAAGTGCTGGGATTACAGGCATGAGCCACCGCACCGGGCTCTCTGCTTATTTTCTTGTGCGAAGTTCATTTATCTCTTTGAGCCTCAGTTCTAAGAATCTGCAGTAATAACACCAGTTTGTTAAGATGATGTGGGCTAGTTTATGTGTACACCCATTAACGATTTAAGAGCTACACAGAAGAGACCAGTATTATTATTGTCGGAGTTATACAGACAAGTAATTGATCTGGTCGGAGAACTAAGAAAAGTCACCCTCTTCACTTAGCTTCCTGGGGAAGTGCAGATGGGGAAGGAGAGGAGAGAGGTGGGGATCCACAGATGTGGAGGGAAATGTTTGGTGTGGTCTGTATCTGAGTAATGACCAGCTGCATTCTGAAGTCAGTTACAAGTAACTGTCCTCACCACTCGCCTGAGGTTGTTCCTGCTCGCTCCTGTCTTAACACATCAGAGAGCCAGCTGCAAGGGTTTGCTCTGCTTGCATTTTGGCTTTCTGTTTTGTTGGTGCTTTCCTTCCTGTTGAACACTTTGTCCAACAGGCCCACTCTGCATGCTGTAAGTGGCTTATGGCAAGCCAGCAATGAAAGAGCATACTGTCCTAAGGATGAAAACATGGACCCACCCAGCGACAGGTTGACCGGGTGTTGTTTTTCCAAAACCAGTGCCTCATCCTTTTGTTACCCTTTTCACAATGCCTGGCCGAGTTTACCGAGACTTTTCGGCTCTGCAGTGTCATCCATTCTGCTGCACTTCATCCAATGTCTTGTGGTCTTTTAAAATACTAGCCTTACTGAAATATAATTTGCATGTCATGAAATTCACCCTTTAAGGTACAATTCAGTGATTTTTAGTATATTCAAAAAGTTGTGCAAACATCACCACAATTGATTTTGGAACATTTTCCTCACTCCCAAAAGAACCCTTCTACCCTTATACAAGTCATTCCCCATTTTCCCCTTTCAGAAACACTGGCACCCACTAAACTACCTTCTCTCTCTGTGGATTTGCCTATTCTGAACATTTCATATAAATGGAATAACATGTGGCCTTTTGTGACTGCCTTCTTCCACTTAGCATAATGTTTTCAAGATTCCTCCATGTTGTGGCATGTTATCAGCATTTCATTCCTTTTTAGGGCTGGAAAATATTCCATTGTATGGATATACTCCTGGTTTGTCCATTCTTCAACTGGTGAACATTTGGGCTGTTTCCACTCTTTGGCTATTTTGAATAATGATGCTATGAGCTTTTGTGTACAGATTATTGTGTGGGCATATGTTTTCACTTCTTTCTTTCTTTTTTTTTTTTTTAGACTGAGTTTTTGCTTTTGTTGTCCAAGCTGGAGTGCAGTGGCGTGATCTCAGCTCACTGCAACCTCTGCCTCCGGGGTTCAAAAGATTCTCTTGCCTCAGCCTCCCGAGTAGCGGGGATTACAAGCATGTGCCACCACGCCCAGCTAATTTTGTATTTTTAGTAGAGACGGGGTTTCTCCATGTTGGTCAGGCTGGTCTGGAACTCCCAACCTCAGGTGATCTGCCCGCCTTGGCCTTCCAAATTGTTGGGATTACAGGCGTGAGCCATGGCTCCCGGCCGTTTTCATTTCTTTTAAGTATATACCTAGGAGAGGAATTGCTGGGTCATATGGTCACTCTACATAGAACTTTTTGAGGACTTGCCAAATTGTTTTCCAAAGTGGCTGCGCCATTTTACATGCCCATCAGCAATATATTGTGAACCCTGAAAATTTGAGACAGGTCTCAATTAATTTAGAAAGTTTATTTTGCCAAGGTTGAGGGCATGCCCATGACAGGCCTCAGGAAGTCCTGAGGACATGTACCCAAGGTGATCAAGGCACAGCTTGGTTTTATACATGTTAGGGAGACATGAGACATCAATGAATGTATGTAAGCAGTACATTGGTTTGGTCTGGAGAGGCAGGACAACTTGAAGCAAAGGCAGGAAGACTACTGCAAAGGCAGGAGGCAGGAGGGAGCTTCCAGGTCACAGATAGGTGATAGACAAACGGTTACACTCTTTGGGTTTCTGATTAGTCTTTATAAAGGAGGCAAATCTGTCTCGGTGAAATGCATCTGTCTCAGTGAGCAGAGGGGTGACTTTGAATGGAATGGGAGGCTGGTTGGCTCTAAGCAACTTCCAGCTTTAGTTTTCCTTAGTGATTTTGGGGGCCCAAGATTTCCCTTTCACAGTATGACGGTTCCAATTTCTTCACATCCTCATATCATATTCTATTTTATGAGTTATCTCTAGATGGGTATTATTATTCCTCTTGGGTTTAGCTCCCTGAGGACACAAACTGTCCTAAGACTATGATAATAGTAATCATAGAACCGTGCACATGGCAAGTTCTGAATAAATCTCAGCTGTTGGATATACTTTTTGTTATAATTACTAACACTTCCTAACTAGAGAGTAAGCCTACTCTAAGAAAAAATATAACTGTAATTTCACAACCTCCAAAGAACCCAGTGCATAAACAGCTACCATTTATTAAGCACTGACTGAATTCTTAGTAATATGTCTTCATTTTTTTCAGATGAGGAAACTAAGATTCAGCTTATTTGTACAAGTAGTTAAAAAGCAAAGCTGAAATTCAGACCCAAGTTCTCACTGTATCATACTGTCCAAAAAAGAATTCTATTTTTCAGGAAGAGACATGTCTGCTCACTTGAGGTCCTCTTATTTTTCCGCTATTCCCCAAAGGAAAGGGGTGATCTCTTAATTCTTTCGTTATGTCCTATTGTACATAGCATATAATGGTAATTCAGAAAAATTACTTCTAATTACATAAATTTTCACAATGGTATAGTGACTAATACGCTGAAATAGAAAAGTAAGGCATTGTTATCATGGTCTAGTTCAGTCTTTATTGCGACTATATCTGATAATATACGGTAAGCATCTAACCACTTGCCAGGGGCCACAGAGCCACAGGGAGACTATGTCTCGCTTAAATTCCCAAAAGTGGGCCCCTGTGCTTCAAAACGTCCCCGCATGGGAACCACAAAAACGTTGCCTCCCCAGTTATCACCCCAAGGGCCCAAGAGCCGAGGACTCTGCCCGGCGTCCTTCAGCTGGCACCAGCTGTCAGAAAAGCGGAACTGGGGACGAGGACTTTGCCCCTAACCAACATGGCCGCCCTGAGGCTTCGGGCTTCGGGCGGCAGAAGGAAGGTCACGTGAAGAGAATTCCGTTCCTTTATTGGCCCCGTCTCCTGGAAGGGCGGGGTACAATAACCCAACCGGCGCCGGCCTTAAAGGGGCCACCGTTGGATCTGCCGGTGGCCGGCCCTAGGGGCTGGGGGGGCGGTCGCCGCGCCGGGCTTCTGCCCCTCCCGCGCGGAACGGTGACGGGCGGGGCTGGCGCTGGGAGGCCGTGTCGCTGGGAGACTGCTGACAGCCCGCCGCCTGCCGCCGCGCGATTCCGAGGGGGTTAACGGCGGAGCCGCCGGCCGGGCGCGGACCGGAGCGCGTGAGGCTCCGGCGCGCAAGCCCGGAGCAGCCCGCTGGGGCGCACAGGGTCGCGCGGGCGCGGGGATGGAGGACGGCGTGGCCGGTCCCCAGCTCGGGGCCGCGGCGGAGGCGGCGGAGGCGGCCGAGGCGCGAGCGCGGCCCGGGGTGACGCTGCGGCCCTTCGCGCCCCTCTCGGGGGCGGCCGAGGCGGACGAGGGCGGCGGCGACTGGAGCTTCATTGACTGCGAGATGGAGGAGGTGGACCTGCAGGACCTGCCCAGCGCCACCATCGCCTGTCACCTGGACCCGCGCGTGTTCGTGGACGGCCTGTGCCGGGTGAGGACCGCGCCGGGCGGGCCGTCGGGGCGGAGGGCGGACACTTGTTGCCCGAGGAGGCGGCGCGGGTCGCAGCGCCCAGTCCCGGCCGCGCGCGGGGCGGGGAGGCAGCGACGTCCCCCGGGCTGCTCGGCCGCGGACCCGTCAGGGCTGGGGCGTGGGGACGGCGCCCCGAGGGTCCCGGTCCCCTAGCACCCCCGGGGCGCGCGGAGCTCACTGCAGAGTCCCACAGGCTCGCCCCGGCCCCCGTGTGCGCCCAGGCTGGTGCGACTAGGGGGGTGAATTCGCTCCCCAAGGTGGGGCAGCGCCGCCGCCCCCTGCGCTCTCGCCATCGCCCCGCATTTACTCGCTGGAGGAGGGGGTCACCTCATTCCTAGGGAGGAGGAAACAGACATTGAGCGGCGACGTGACTCAGTGTTCATAAATAGGACGACGTCCCTGCATTCCCAATCTGCACTATTGGAAGAAAAGCCAATGTTTGGGTGAGGATCCGTGGTTGCTCATTAGCCAGCGGCTGGCCAGTTTTGGTGGAATTGTGTTGGGGGGAAGGGGACCATCTTTCAGACCTTTAGGATATTTAGTCAAGAACCTTGCCCCCTTGTGTGAAGGTGTGGCTTGCCGCCATCGGGGACACCCAGTACATGGGGAGTCGACTCCTTCCCCCGCCTCCCCCCACCCCCGCAAAATCCACACAATTTAGACACTTTGGAGGGTGAGGGGCAGGTATGAGTAATCAATAATGGTGGTGGGGAGGAAGAATTTATTTCAAATCTGCAGTTATTGTGCAGAATAAAATGTGGACAACGTGGGCGTCACAGAATGAAACCGGTCTTTGAGAGATGCCCCATTAGGAGAGCAGCTGTCAAAAAAAGCAGTGCTTTCAGCGCTTGGCTGTGGGTCCACAAATGCTGTCAATGAACTATAGTTGAAGGCTGCTGCCAATACAACACCACTGTGAAACAGAATGGTGTATGTAAGTGTCATTTATTTATAATTTATATGTTCACTTACTTTCTGAAAGGAATTACAATGGCCGTGTGCTTAGGTAAGCTTCCAGGCATGCTTTCTAGAGCAGCAATTGTCAGGAACTCAGGGTCTTACTGATTGATCTTACTCTAAAACCTTTTCCTCTCCATATAAACTAAGCGCTAGCCAGCATTTCAGACCTTTTCCTTAGGAGTTCTAGGCTGTCTTTCTGCTAGAACAAGGTCAAGTCACGTAAGACGGCACTTACTTGTAGTGTTGGAGACAATTTTTTCCAGTGTTGGATACAATCCTGAAATTGTGTTGTATGAAAGTTTGCCCACTTCGCTAGCTATTCATTTTAACAAATATTTATTGAGACTTCGCTACGGGATAGGTACTGTCCTAGGCTCTGAGGCTGCATCAGTAAATAAAATAGCATTTCTGCCTCCAGGGTTGACATTTTTTGGAAGGGAAACAAGCAATAAAGAAATATCAAATGTATCAGAAAGTAATGATGCTATAGGAAAAAATAAGACTTGGAGGGCAGGAGGAGGGAGTGGAGATCTGGGAGTGGAGGGGAGATTGCTATTTTCCATAAGATGATCAGGGAAGGTCTTACTGATATGGTGATATTTTGAGCAGAGACAATGTAGCATTGGTTCATTCAGGCTTTGCTGTCTATTGAGTGCTTACTGTGTTCCAGCCACTGGTTTAGGCCCAGAGGATAAAGCAGGGAACATTTCAAGCTCCTTGCTTTCATGGAGCTTAGGATCCAGTGGTTGAGGGGGAGATAGACAATAGGAAAAAGGCAAGTGAACAAGATCATTTCGGATAGTGATAAATGCGATGAAGAGACTGAAACAGGGATAGAGAGCAAGGGGAGGGGGCTTGGTCAGAGTGGTCAGGTCCTAACACTGTGGGGGTTTTGTTGAAGAGCTGGTGAATTGGGGCAGTCCTGAGGGAACTAACAAGGGATGTCCAGGCCTGCAGCCATGAGCAACAGCTGGAAGCTGGAGCTGGGGGAGGAAGTCACGTGGCTGGAAACCTAGGGGAGGAGCTGCCTGCCAGGAGCTGTAGACTTGAAGGTGTGGAGTTGAGATGCTAAGGCAGGGTACAGGCAGGGAAGAAATTCTCAGGCTTCTGATTTCATTGGCAGAACTCAAAGGACAGCTAGGAGGCAAGGGAGCCCCTGCAGTGGAGTCCATAGGTTGGGTCATCCTTTCAGGGCCCACAGAAGGGTAGATAATGGCTCTGGGGACAGTGTGGATAAAGGGGACTTACACAGAGGAGTTAGTAGGGAGCCACTTTAGATGGAGTGGCCCAGGGAGGCCTCTGCACAGCCTGGACCAGGTTGACAGGAAGAAGCTCCCTGGGGAGGTGTTTGTGTGGCCGGCATCCCGGCAGAGGGACTAGCAGGTGCAGAAGCTCCAGTGCAGGGTGAACTCCATTTTTAAAGGACTTGAAGGGTTGCATGAGAGACAGAGAGGCGATTGGTAGCTGAGGTTGGATAAGCAACCAGAAAACATCCCCCTGGGGCCATGGTAAGGATTCAGGTGTGATTCTAATTGCACATCTTGGTGGAGAATGGCTTTCAGGAGGGAAACTGGGTAGGCTAGAGAGGAAGCAAGGAGACCTGGTAGGAGGCTGTTGCCATCATCCAGGGGAGATAGGAAGGGAGTGGGACTAGGATGGTGGTATTGGAGATGGAGAAAGGGGCAGAGCCTCCATCTGAGCCTCTTCTCTCCATTTGGAGAATCTGGAGCTTCAGAATGGGGATGAGGGAGGGTTGTGCACTGATGTCCAATTCTAGGGTCCTGTGAGATATACAGCAATCAGTGAAAACCCAAAAACCAGGTGGGCTAAGGGAGTCCCAGTCTCTGAGGGCAAATAGCTCTATGCAGTGGGCAACCTGAGAGCTAAAGTCACAGCGGGTCCTTGGTAAGCCTTGCAGCAAGTGGACCATTTCTCATTTAGCTGAAACCATCCTTCTAGGTGGGAATATGTAGTTTCTGCGGTTTCAATGTGGCAGTCTTACTGTTAAGACTGGGGTGTCACCTTTGGATGATGTAATGTAAATGTAAATCTACTTTAGGTTGGTGGTATCTCCCCTTGTGTAAACAGATCATTAACTGCAATGCTGACAAAAGTCCCTGGGGGTCTGGCCGTCCCCTCCTTAGCCAGTCTGTTGGATCTGGAGAGTGATGGTGTGAGGAAAAAAGACTGGATCAAACTTCTTTATATATAGTCACATGATTCTGTAAGCTTAGTCTTCAAGGAAAGAAAAAAAATTAACCTGAACTAGAATTCTTTTGAAAATTTACATCAGAAGCTGTTTTGTAACTATAATTGCTTGGCCAGATATGTAAGATTTGTTTTCATTGGCTGGCTCAGGATCAATATTGTAAATACTGTATAATGAGTTTGTTAATTAAATGTATTAGATTCACACTGTTACAGATGAATGAAAACTTTTATTAAAATATGATTATTTTCTGTTTGTACAAATATTTGATGAACATATTCCATTATAGTACTCTTTTTGTGAGTCTTTTTTTCTTTTCTATTTAGAAAAGCAAAACAATTCAAAATGCTTTGAACCAGTAATTACATGTGCTTTGAATTGCTGAAAATGGTTAGTTGGTTCCCTGGAATAAGAGTTTATTCAGTCATCATCAAGCTGACCAGGAATTTAAGAGTTCTCAGATAATATTCCGTTCATTTCCAAGCAGTGAATATAGTTCCGTATAGTAATGGAAACAAATACCCTTTTTTCAGTTGTCTGAAATATGAATGTATATTTGATTCATAGAGCTTTGCTGGAAGGCTAAGTCAGAAAATTATAGAAAAATTTACTCTTTTCGCTTGAGTAAACTTACCTAAAAAAAACAAAAACAACTCACCTAAGATTTGTGATAGATGTAGTGCTATCATGACTTTCTTTTAATAACAAAATATTCGGATCAGCATGAAAGAAGTAGAAGTGACATCCTTCCATTCTTTATGTGAGTAGAGACCTTTGAGCAGTGCTCCCAACCTTAGCTGCACGTCAGAGTCTCTAGGGAGCTTTGAAAAATTCCCATTTCCAGGCCACTCCAAACCCATTCCAATCTCTGGGGCTGGGAATCGCCTGGAAAGCTCCCCAGGTGATTCTAATTGTTAGCTGAGGTTGGGAACCATTGTCTGAAGCCGGGGTTTGGCCTGACCAGAGGCATCGTTATATCTTAAAAAGATCACTGAAAATTTGATGAAGCTCCACTTCTAGCTAGATGACTTACCCTTTCTGTGCCTTGATTTCCTGAACCGGGAGCCAGGCCCTTGGTCTGCAGGCTTCCTTCTCCTGATTGTTGTTTGACCCTGTGGCCTACAGGCGGGGTCACTGGTGCCCACAGACCAGGAGATGGGGCATTTGGTTTAACCTTAGGTTACCTCCGTTCGCCTTAATGGGTGCTGCTCACTCTCCACCCAAACGGCAGATCATGCACTTGGCCTCCCAAAACTTGTTTTCTGGTCGCAGGACATCATTCGAAAGCAATTTGATGATTGAAGTGTTTTGAGGACCTAAGGTGGCCCTGCTGATGTACATAGTTTCCACTCCTGAGGTTGTATATACTTGGCTGCGTTTCTGCCTGTTCCTCTTCCAAGCCAGTCTGTTGTAGCATATTGTAAAATGTGACATCCTAGCAGGAGAGTAACAGTTGGGTTCTATTGCACTGGAAAATCCAGGCAGTTTTAGGCCATTTTCACTTTTCACCCTAGTGTGAGGGTGAGGCATGCGGTTTCTCAGATTTAAATTCTGAATAAAATTTCCCCTTAAATGATCTTATCTCCAATATGGTATAGAGTTTAATTTATTTGGGAAGGTTCAGAATGTTGTACATTTTTGAAAGCTACATGTTACATATGTGCGAAGTTTATTTTCAGTTTTCCACTATTTCTCTAATTTTAGGGTTTCTGACTCTAAAATCAGATGTTTTTCACATCCAGAGCTGCTTTAAATCCTCCTCACCACTCCACCCCCTAACAACTGCTTGGTTCCCCTCTCAGCTCAATCTGCTGTCACCTTCATTACTTAAAGCATTTTTTCTTCCATAGCAGTAGCTTTAAATGTTACTGCCTGCAACTTCAGGCTTTTCCAGCCTCAGGACAATTACATAAAGGAACAAAAAATAGGCTTTGTGCTAGAGCAGAATAGCTAAGGCAGGAGCTGTTGGTTCCAATGTTTATATTTCAGGCTATATTCTTTGTCTCTTTGTTTCTCTCCTTTTAAAAAAATGTGATCCACTCATTTTCATACATATCACCGCAGGGCCTGTTTGCGCAGGTCTGAGAACGCATCACTCCTGGTACAGTAATAGTGACTGTGCACACATCAGCATGTGTGGGATGGGTAGACCCTGGGTGTACATTGTCTATGCAGAATCATTAGGACTCATCTCAAGGATGCTGAGGAAGTGCCAGTCATTTCACATACAGTTCAGTTGTGAGAGACAATTTTTTCCTTTGTAAATACTAATCACCATCAAAGCATAAGAATGCTGATGAGACACAGCCGATCACTCTGCCATGATCTCTGAGCATTAGGAGGCTATACCATGGCAGTAGAAAGTAAAAATGTCTCTTCTTGGGAAAAACAGAAACATTTTCAAAGTGTAACCTCAGGAGAATATTAATTACCTTAACTCAAACTTTGACGTTGGGGAAAGGGTTGGCTTCATGTTGTGTAAATTTCAATCATCATAGAAATTCTTTACCATATTTGATATAGTTGGGGTAGGTTTTTTATTTATTTTCACCTCTGAAGATTTAGCTGGGTTTAATATGCTCACATTCCCCAGTGAAGTCTACATGAGGAGGCTGGGAAGCATACTGGTTAAGGCTATGGGTCTTAAGCATACCTTTCCCACTTATGCAGTGTGACTCTGGGAAGCTATTTATCCTACCGATGCCTTGGTTTCCCTGCCTGTAAATGGAGCTGTTGATAGTACTCACATTTTATGATACACATAAAATGCCTGTCAGAGTGATTGGGTCTGTATATACAATATAGGTTTGTGTATTAGTTATCTACTGCCATGTAACAAACCCAACACTTAGTGGCTTAAATAATAAATGTTAATTATGTCACAGTGTCTGTGGGTCAGAAATTCAGGGATGGCTTAGCCTGGTGCCCCTGCCTCAGAGTCTCTCCCAAGGCTGCAATAAAATATCAGCTGTGGTTTCATCTGAAGGCTGAACTGAAGGAGTGGTATCTACTGCCAGGCTCACTTGTGTGGGGGCTGCTGCACCCTCTCCATAGGGTGGCTTGCAGCATGGCAGCAGGCTTCCCTCAGAGCAAGCCAGATGGAATGGGATCCACCATCTTTTTGTAGCCTAATCTCAGTGATATCCCATCACTTTCGCTGTATTCTATTCCTGAGAAGCGAGTCGGTAAGTGCAAATCTCACTCAGGGAGAGGGAATTACAAAAGGGTGTAAATACCAGGACGTGGGGATCCCTGGGGGCCATCCTATAGGCCAGTGGTCCCCAACATTTTTGGTACCAGGGACCAGTTTCATGGAAGACAGTTTTTCTACAGACCAGGGGGCAGGGAGCTAGTTTCAGGATAATTCAAGTGCATTACATTTACTGTGTACTTTAGTTCTATTATTATATAATAAAATAATTATACAACTCACCATAATGTAGAATTAGTAGAAGCCCTAAGCTTGTTTTCCTGCAATTAGATGGTCCCATCTGGGGCTGATGGGAGACAGTGACAGATCATCAGGCATTAGATTCTCATAAGGAGTGGGCAACCCAGATCCCTCACATGCACAGTTCACAATAGGGTTCATGCTCCTATGGGACTCTGCTGCCGCTGGAACTCAGGCAGTAATGTGAGCAATGGGCAGCAGCTGTAAATACAGATGAAGCTTTGCTGGCTCACCCGCTGCTCACCTCCTGCTGTGTGGCCCGCTTCCTAACAGGCCATGGACTGGCACTGGTCTGTGGTCCGGAGGTTGGCGATCCCTGCTATAGGCTGCCTACCACAGTTAGATATTCATTAGTACATTTTTTAATTTGGAAACTTTTTTGACTTCTGTGGAGCAATCAGTGTTTAGAAATGCATATTAAGATTTCTTTCTAAGGCTGGGTGTGGTGACTAATGCCTATAATTCCAACACTTTGGGAGGCCAGGAGTTCCAGACCAGCATGGCCAACATGGTGAAACCCCATCTCTACTAGAAAATACAAAAATTAGCTCAGTGTGGTGGCACGCGCCTGTAGTCCCAGCTATTCAGGAGGCTGAGGCATGAGAATCGCTTGAACCCTGGAGGCAGAGGTTGCAGTAAGCTGAGATTGCGCCACTGCACTACAGCCTGGAATACAGAGCAAGACTCTGTCTCAAAAAAAAAAAGGGAGCAAATCCAAACGGATCCCTGACATTATTAAAAAGACTTATTTGGAGGAAAAAAAGAGGATTTTTTTCTAATCTGATTTTTTTCTTTTTAGCTTCAGCTCCATAAAAGAATAGTTTTAGCCACTATAGTTTAACATGGAACACTTCATTGAGAGGACTATAGCTAGGTTACTAAGTTTCTGAGTATCAAGAGCAGTTACCCACCATATTTCTGAACAAAGAACTCGGGAAGCTAAACCTTTTATAACTTGGAAAGGTCCAGTACTTTTCCTTTTGTTACTAATTTCAGCAGGTGCCGCATGAAATTCCCATGTGCAATCATAATTAATGCCAAAGAGAGAGGTATCTGAGGTCGGCCTGAATTCACGATTAAGAGACAAAAATATTATTTAATTCAGAAAGTTCCTCAACATAACAATAGCATGTCTTATTTTATCACTGTATTATTAATCTTCTCAGGCTGCCATAACAAAAAACACAGATTAGGAGGCTTGAGCAATAGACATGTATTTCCCACAGTTCTGGAGCCTGCAAGTCTGAGGTCGAGGTCCCAGCATGGTCTCTTTCTGGTGAGGCCTCTCCTCTGGGCTGCAGATGGCCCCCTTCTCCCTGTGTCCCTACGTGGTCTTTCCTCAGTGTGTGGAGAGAGGAGCAAGCTCTCTGGTGTCTCTTCTTATAAGAGCACTAATCCTATTATATTAGGGCCCCACCCTTCTGACCTCCTTTAGCCTAATTACTTCCTTAGAGGCCTCATCTCCAAATAAAGCCACACTGGGGATTAGGGCTTCTGCATTTGGACTTGGGGGATGCAAGCATTTAATCCATGATAATCACCTTTAATTTTTGTTAATCTTTGTGCTTTATTTTAAAGATAATAAAATAGTTTCTATTCATTAATATGAAGTGCTTTATTTTGTATATTAAGTACCCTATTTATGTAATACATGTCACGGGTGCACCTAGCCGGGGTCAGTGTCACAGGCAGTAAAGGAATTTACCAAGACAGTTGCAGGTAAAGAAAGCCAGATTTATTAGAGAAAGTATAAAAATATGTTGCAAGGGTGCAGCAGGCAGCACAGCAGAGAAGGGGCCGTCTGCCAAGCGGCAGAGGCTGGAAGGAAGTTTTATAGGGTTGCGCTGGAGGGGCCTATGTGCTGAAAAAGGTCACTGTGCCCGGGGTTGTTTGTGATTGGCCATTTCTCAGAATCACTGTTCATTGTTCTCTCCCATCTGGGGCCCCTTTCTCATTGTTGTTTACTTATCAGGACTCCACAAGACGTATCATTTTATCTTTACAAGAACTCTGTGGCATAGGTACTGTTATCATCCCCATTCTATAGAGGAGGAATCTGAGGCCAAGTAAACCTGTCTGAGGTCACACAGGTGAGGAACTGTTGATCCCTAGACTCAAACCCAGTTTCAGCTAACTCTAAAGCCTGTGCTGCTCATCATCTTTTTTTTTTTTTTTTTTTCTGAGACCGAGTCTTGCTCTGTTGCCCAGGCTGGAGTACAATGGCACGATCTCAGCTCACTGCAACCTCTGCTTCCCGGGTTCAAGTGATTGTCCTGCCTCGGCCTCCTGAATAGCTGGGATTACAGGTGCCTGCCACCACGCCCGGCTAATTTTTGTATTTTTAGTAGAGACAGGGTTTCACCATGTTGGCCAGGTTGGTCTCAAACTCCTGACCTTGTGATCCACCCGCCTCGGCCTCCCAAAGTGCTGGGATTACAGGTGTGAGCCACTCCACCTGGCTGCTGCTTATCATCTTAAAGCATGGCATTAATGCGAGTGAATTTTTCATATATCTTTCACATCTCATTTCAATCCTAGGATAGCTCTGTGAAGAGAGTGTTTTTACCTACGGGAAACAGAGATTCACATGAGTTACGACTCTTCATTCTTTCAGTCATGTATTTATATTATATTAGGGTTCTCTAGATGGACAGAACTAATAGGATAGATCGATATATATAAAGAGGAGTTAAAAGGGAGTTTGTTAAGGAGTATTGACGCACACAATCCCAAGGTGAGGTCCGACAATAGGCTGTCTACAAGCTGAGGAGCAAGGAAGCCAGTCTGAGTCCCAAAGCTGAAGAACCTGGAGTCTAATGTTTGAGAGCAGGAAGCATCCAGCGCAGGAGAAAGATGGAGGCTGAGAGGCTAAGCCAGTTTAGTCTTTTCACATTCTTCTGCCTGCTTTTATTCTGACAGCTGATTAGATGGTGCCCACGCAGATAGAGGGTGGGTCCGCCTTTCCCAGTCCACTGACTCAAATGTTAATCTCCTCTGGCAACACCCTCACAGACACATTCAGGAACAATACTTTGCATCTTTCAATCCAATCAAGTTGACACTTAATATTAACTATCACATATATGTAATGGATGTTTATGCATGCCGATGGCGTGCCAGGCAGGTGGCACCCTGCTGCTCAGGTGGAAGGCAGTGCCTGGACACTGGCACCAGGCAGACCCAGATTTGAATCCTGGCTCCATCAATCCATTCATTCATTCATTTATTCAACAAATACCTTTTGGGTGCCATCTCTGTTCTGAGCACTGTGCTGGTTGCAAAACCAGCTGTGGGGCCCCAGGCTGGCAGCCCACTTCCCCAGTGTAAGGAGGGCACAGCTCTAGACAGATCTTGGTGAATGACAAACACCACCTCTCCCTTCACGGAACTCACAGCCCACTTGCCTGTCATTCCCCACACCCTCATAAGGTAAATCAGAGTTTTCCATGTAGGAATCTGCTCAAAAAGAGCATTTCTTCAATGTGATTCTAGTTCTCTTCCACACAGCTTCTCTGGCTTACACCCGTACCCTGTTTTGTCCAGCATGTGGCTAGAGAGGAGGTACATTTCAGTCACTTAAACTTTGTGTCTTTAATTGGTCTTGGAAACATATACAGTACTGATCTGAGATGACCCCTGTGTCAGGGATGATTTAAATGACCCCAAGATGGCCGGGTGCTGTGGCTTATCCCTGTAATTTCAGCACTTTGGGAGGCTGAGGCGGGCAGATCACCTGAGGTCAGGAGTTGAAGACCAGCCTGGCCAACGTGGCAAAACCCCATCTCTATTAAAAAATACAAAAATTAGCCGGGCGTAGTGGTGGGCGCCTGTAATCCTAGCTACTCGGGAGGCTGAGGCAGGAGAATCGCTTGAACCCGGGAGGCGGAGGTTGCAATGAGCCAAGGTTGTGCCACTGTACTTCAGTCTGGGCAACAGAGCTGTGTCTCAAAAAGAAAAAAGAAGTGACCCCAAGACGGATTCTGTCCAGTTACTGCTTGAAGATTTGCCAAAAATAGCCTCACAAGGCCAGATCACTTGAGTAAAATGTTTCTCAAAACATCTGCCAACATTGAAGACTTTTCCAAATGTCATGATGGCAATTATTGATTGATAAGGTGACATGTCTCATCCACTTTGTCCATCCTGGCTTATGCCTGTCATCCAAGTGAAATCATTAGTAGCACCCTCTCCCACTCTGAAGCTTGAGTGATAAATTATAATTATAGGTCCTCTATTCACTTAGCACTTACAATCAATTATACTTACAATCAATTATAGGTCTCCTATTTACTTAGCACTTACCACTTGTGCCAGATATTTTAGGTACATCATCTCTTTGAATCCTTCTTACAGCCTTCTAAGATATATACTATTATTTCCCCATTTCATAGATGAAGGAGACTTCTTCACCCTTTATAAAAATAATAAGCACTGTGGAATCCCGG
The DNA here is from genome assembly GCF_000001405.40 of Homo sapiens. Taxonomy (NCBI): domain Eukaryota; kingdom Metazoa; phylum Chordata; class Mammalia; order Primates; family Hominidae; genus Homo; species Homo sapiens. Next base: position 34,603,655 of record NC_000021.9, on the reverse strand, counting down.
GGTAACTGGATATCCGACTCTGGGGTTCTCGAAGTCCTGGGACCAGAAGGTTCTTCCAAGGCTGTGCCTTTCATCTCTTCAGTGAGAAATTCGTGCTGAGAAGGGTGACGAAATTTCCTCAAGGGTGCTCAATAGATACTAGCAAAACTCAAAAGCAGGTCTTTTTTTCTTGCAGCCTGCTGGTTTTACTCTGCCCACTTAATTCTCCAACGAATAATGTTCTCCCCTTTCCCAGCGCCATCCAAAAGAACCCGGAGCATACAAACCGGGGGACTTCGGGAGTCCAAGCCAGCTGGAACCCGGTAATATTGCCAGGGAAGGCTGTCCCCAGGCCGCAGGTAGGGAGAAGCAGTCTCCAGCTTGTGGAGGGGCCGGAGAGCTTTGCACCGAGGGCCTGTCCAATGCTGTTCAAAGACCAGCGGTCGCCGCCGGGGGGCAGTAACTTCATGTGTGTGCTGCAGTGGAGCTTGCTGGTTGACTTACACTTTATTTCAGGCATCAAAGGCAAAGTGCACTTTCAGAAGGGAGAAGTCATGCCTTGTGCTGCAGAGAAGCTATTATTATAAAGATAAGTGTGTAATTGAACCTTTCAAGTGGAGAGACACCCCTCTCCCTCCAGCAGAAACTGTGCAGGTGAGAAAGCCGCTTCCTGAGTGGACCTATTCCCTGCTGCTGGGAGATGCTGCCCGCTTTGTTTAGAATACAAATAGGGGAACGTGCTCACCTGAAGGGGAGACTTTTGAAAGGAATGACCCTCCTCCTGAAGATGACTGAAATTATCAGCATTATTATGAAAAGAATATGAAATATGAAAATATCAGCATAAAGAAATACAGAGAGAGAACTCAGATGAAAACATTTTATTTCAGAGATAATGGGAATTTTCTGAGCTGGCTTCAGGTATTAGGTTACTCAGTAGATTAAGAAGGAAAAGCTTTTGCTGGTAGGCAGGTCACCCGGATGATTCCAGAATTACCACCACTCTAGTCAAGTAGTGACAGTGTTCTGGGCTGGAGTCACGATTCTGGGGAATTTGTACAGCTTCCCTCACATGCATCCCAACCTGTAGATCTCAGGTGGTCTGGTCCGCAATCAGTAAAACTGCTGTGCAGCCCCTCAAAACAGACCACCCTTCAGAAAAATTCACTGTGTTACAGTTCATGAACTGCCTGGAAACACCTGCAGGTGTTTGGAAAGTGATTCAGGGTTCATTTGTATTGGTATCTCTTTCTAGAATAGCTAAATTCAAGATGTATCTTTCAAACTAGACACAGGGTGAAATGGGGTGCGGGTATAGAGCTTGTTGGTTGTGGGGGTGACTTCCTGCATTTAGTGAAAGGGGTGGTTATGCAGAGGCAGCACAGAGCATTCTGTGTTGCATTTGTGGCTTGGAATGAAGTGGACCCAGCTGGCTGCCTTCGGGGCTGTGCCTGAGATTCTGAGCATCTTCAGCTTTGTGTCTGTAAAGAGGTCTAGATGGTGGCTTACTAGGATGCTGTGAGAATTGCATGTAGCATGGTAACGTTTGTGATCGTATCAAGGACAGGAGATACTCAGAAAATATTTATTTAGTCTTTATGAAGGATCTTGTTTTAATGTCAATGAATATGTTGTTACCAGTTTTATATTAGGTCAATGTTTAATTTTTTGCTTATTTTTCTGTGCATCTATTTTCTTTAGGTGCAGGTTTTGTTGCTGCTTATTAATCTTAGTAATTTTCATGGCTCAGCTGAGAGTGCAGTGAGTGTGAAGGTGTCTATACCTACACATGTGATCACTGTTATCTCTGAATCCTGAATGTGGACAGCATTCACCTTCTTTTTTTTTTTTTTTTTTTTGAGACAGAGTCTCACTCTGTTGCCCAGGCTGGAGTGCAGTGGCACGATCTCGGCTCACTGCAAGCTCCGCCTCCCAGGTTCACGCCATTCTCCTGCCTCAGCCTCCCAAGTAGCTGGGACTACAGGCGCCCACCACCACGCCTGGCTAATTTTTTGTATTTTTAGTAGAGATGGGGTTTCACCGTGTTAGCCAAGATGATCTCGATCTCCTGACCTCGTGATCCGCCCACCTTGGCCTCCCAAAGTGCTGGGATTACAGGTGTGAGCCACCGTGCCCAGCCTAGCATTCACCTTCTTTATAGATGGACACCCACCTTAGTTTAGAGTTGTTCTTGTTAAACTACATCAATGTACAGCAGTAAGGAGGGTTGGTCTGGATTCAAATCCCAGTTCTGCCAGTAACCAGCTGTGTGACCTTGGGCAAGTAACTTAACTTCTCTGCACTTAGGTCTCCTGGTTTATCAAGTGGGATTATAAAAGCTCCTACCTCCTGGGGTTGTGTTGTGAGGATGAAAAGACATAATACAAATAGAGGGCTTACAATAATATCAGGCTCATAGTAAGTATTTAGTATGAGTTAGCAATTTTATTAAAATGCAGAAATTACAGTGTCTACATTGCTTGCAGCTGCTTAACCTGTTCCTGGGACAGTGCCTGCCACATAGTAGGCACTTAATAAATATTTGTGTATCAGTGGAAGTAAAACATCATCATGAACAAGAAAATATTGTTAAGTCCATTAAATAATAAGCTTTATTTTCCCATGAGTAACTTAGGCACTTTCAGAAGCTGTGTGCATTTTTTCAGGCCAGGGGGTCCTGCAGCTTAAAAATTTTGCAGTGGTGTGTGCCTGCATGCATGTGTGTTTGTGAACACACGTGCATGTGTGTATGAAATGAACAGATTTAGATACTGAATATTCAGAATACCGCAGCACCATATATGCTATGCCAGCAGACTGGCATGGCTTATTAACACTTATAAATGCTTAGAAAAACCTGTATTAATTTCACTATAGTATGTTGAGACTTTGCTAAAAGGATGTTTTAATGTGAAATGAGCTTTGCTACAAAGTTGCAAACAACTTAAGACTCTAAACACTTTTTTGAAAATAAATCTCAACATAATGAATATGAAAGCCTCATGAACTATAAAGCATAAAAATCATTATTATTGAAGAAAGAAATCCTAGGCTTCTTAGCACAACTTAAAATAAAAATATTGCAATTGAGAAATAAATGCTAATGCTTGGTGGTGAGGTTTTTCTCCTGTCTCCTCGCCTCCTTTCCTTTCCCTCCCTCTCTCCTGATCTTCCCCTTCCCCTCCTTTCTCCCTTCTCTCTCTGGTTCCTAGAATGCCTTTTAGAGGAAAAACAGACCTTTTCAGAAATACATTGTCATCTGCTAAATCTCCACCTACTGCACCAGCCAGCCTCAGCACCCTGCTAGGAGGTGGCTGGTCATTCTTTGCCGTATCTTACCTTAAGAGAGCAAAATCAACTTGTGATGGTTCCTATCTCTGAATGCTGCCCTGGTTTCCATTAGAATATGCTGGGGAAGATGACCTTTCTTAATGAAAGTAGGCAGCACCCTGCTGTGCTTTTAATTAAATGAACTAACCTTTAAAAACGCGATTCTTAGCCCTGCAGCAGCATGCCACCCAGCAGTCTGTCCCCAGTGATGGTTCTGTGAGCCACCTGTGTCATAGGGAGGTACCAGGGGACTGAAGATTGGAGTGAGGGGCTTTAGCATAGCGTGATCTGGACTCTTGGTTGTTGGGGCCAGTTCTCGTGCTTTAGGTTCAGGGTAACTTATCCCTTATCTACCCTTCTAGCCAGAGAACACAACACAGCCATTACAAGCTGACTTAAGCAAAAAGTTACCCACCAGTTGCAATAGGTCTACACCTATTGGTCATGCTGCCCATGAGGCTATTTAATGGCACTGGGGAGAAATGCATGAAGAGCATGACTCATAGTAAGTACCGTTTGCTGATAGTAGGCACCAACTATAGATTGTCACATTCGTTAGATGATTTTTTTATGACCAACTATCACTTTGTTAATTACGCCTCAAATCACAGAGGCGTAATTAACTATCAAAGTAATAGTTGGTATCCCATCTTCTCTCAACCCTTCTTTAGGGATAGCCTCTGTTGAGTGTATGTATACCCTTTCACACACATGTATAAACATATGTGGTGTGTTTGGAAAGATAAATACACTTAAATAGGTACCATCTGCATGTTTACATTACGTAGTATTAGATTGCATACTATATTTTGCTACTTGGCTTTTTAACATGTTGTGGATATCTTGTCAGTAGACTCAATGTATTTCTTTTTTCTGAAACAGTCTCACTCTGTCGCCCAGGCTGGAGTGCAGTGGCGTGATCTCGGCTCACTGCAACCTCCACCTCCCGGGTTCAAATGATTCTCCTGCCTCAGCCTCCTGAGCAACTGGGATTACAGCCACCTGCCACCACACCCAGCTAATTTAATGCACTTCTTTTGATGACTCCCTGATGATTCATGATTAGAACATAACACAACTCAACCAGCTATTCCTATTGATTGTCATTTAGGTTGTTGCCAGGTTTTTTTCCCTATTATAAATAATGTTGCAAATAGCATTCTTTGTTTCCTTATGTAAATGTATTTGTAAGATACATTGCTAGAAGTGGAATTTCTGAGCCAGGAGGTATGGTTACTTTACGTTTTAATAGATACTGTCAGTTTGCTCTGCAAACTGTTTATACTGATGTATTACCCCCAGCATCGCATGAGTTCCTCTCTGCCCACATTCTCACCAGTACTGGGGATTAGAAATCATTTTGAATCATTGCCAGGATCTCTGATAGACGTAAAATAGTATCATCTTGTTTGAATTTGCTTTTCCTTAATTAGGAACAAAGCTGACCCTTCCATATGCTTATTAGTCAGTTGTTGCTTTTTTTCCTCTATAAACTGATTGTGTATATCTTGCGCTACTTTTCTGGTGAGTTTATCGTCTGTACTTAGGAATATGTAAGTTATTTGCTTATTAAGGAAATTAGTACCTTACTGCACATATTACAGATATTTTCTCCAGTTTGCCATTTGATTTTATGGTGTTTTTACTCCATAGAATTTTGTATTATTTTTATTTGTAGTTCAGATGCAGAAATTTTGCCTTCCTTTCTCCTGAGGTTGTTTCATACCTAGGCCAAGATGTATAGGAGTAGGTTTTCTTCTAGAACTTGTACATTTTTGTTGTTGATGTTTGCTTTTAATTCACTGGACATTCTGGTATGAGGAGTGAGTTAGATTTCTGGTTTTCTCGTTTGCATGTTACCTGTGGGATGTTCCAATGTTGTTTGCTAAGCAGTGCTCTTTCTTTGAAGATTTGAAATACCACCTAAATGATCAAATATGCTCTTCTATCAGGATTCTTCTCTTGATCTTTTTGTTCATTTCTAAGCCAGTTTCATACTACTGTTTTCATGACTGTGATCTTACATTTTAGCGTGATTTAACAATTAATACAGTGAATTGTCCTATTCTTTTTTTCCAGTATTTGTTTTCCTGGCTAGTATCATTTGCTGCTTCTTCTTTGGGAACTCTAGAAGTATACTGTTACTTTCAAACTGTCCTCTACTCCCTTACAAGAATGAAAACGAAAATGGAACATCCAAACCTGTTAATATTTTGAGTGAGATTGCTTTGGGTTTATAGTTACTTAGGGAGAGTTGACGTCTTTACATCCTAGGTTCCTGTGGTGTTATTCTACTTATGTAAGCCATCTTTTCTCTACTCAGTACAGGGTGGAAGTTTTCTTTATATAGACCCTATCTATTTCTTTAATTTGTATTTATGTTTTAGATTCTTCAATATGAACATTTTTATGTAAATTTAAGAAATTATTTAAAAATGGGATTTTTAAATTACACTTATTTTTACCTCTATATAGAGAAGATTATTGTTTCTGTGTATTAATTTTGTAACCAACCACCTGTGCTAAAGCCTTTGACTATTTCTAATAGTTGATTCTTTTGCATTTTCTAGGTATAAAATCGTATCACCTGCAAATAATGATGATTTTTCCATCTTGTTTATAATACTTCAAATTGTATTTCAACATTATAGAGGCAGCAGATGGGTATTCTCATCTTATGGAAACACGCTAGTCTTTCACCACTGACCATAGCTTGGGTGTGGCAATATGGTATTTTATCTCACCTTCAGGTATCTTGATGACTTTCCCTGTTACAGACCTAGTTACCCCAACAGACACATCTAGCTTTCTTTCATTACTTTTACATAGGCTCCAAGCTGACACACAATTCTTCTTTAAAGAAGCAGCTTCCCGAACGTTCTGTGAGCCACATCTCCATCTGCACACTCTCGATGCTGCCCTGTGGAGGACTCCCTAGGGTGGTGGGAGTGTCCTGTATCCGCACTGTCCACTGCAGTAACCACTGGCCACTTGTGGCCACTGAGTGCTTGAAATGTGGTGGACATGACTGAGGAACTGAACTTTTAATTTTTTTCATTTTAATTAATTTTCATTTAAATTGTCATGTTATTGAGCACTTAAAATGTAGCTAGTACTACCGAGGAGTGTTTACTTTTGCTAATTTTCATTGACATAGCCCCATGTGGCTGGTAGCTGCAGAACTGGGCTGCACGGGTTCCTCGCTCATTCATGGAAGGGTAAGATATGAATGCTAGAAAGGCCCTGGTGGCCACTCATTGTGCCCAGAGATGCTGAGATTGGGCCCACATCACACAGCAAGTTCATGACGAAACTGAGACTGGGAGCCCAGGATTCTTACTCTCTGTCTCAAGCTGGTGTCACTGTCCAACCCCTTCTTTACTCCTCCCCTCCCATTTCCCTTCTGTAAGTTATCACCGAAGTCCCAGTGTGTGCAGACCAACGCACAGCACAGTGAGCAGGCCCGAGCCTCGCAGACACCTTCCCTAGTGTGGGTCCAGCCAAGGGCTGTGCAGTTGTTGAGTTTTCAGCCGAGCTCCTTCACTCCACAGTGCAAAGGTTCTCGCAAGATAAAGGCAGGGAGGCAAAGTCCTCGGCCCTTTGTCGAGGTGGAAAGCACCCTGAGGTACTGTGTTGGTGTTCCAACATCATCAGGAAATGCCCATCCCGGTTCGAATGTATTTTCCAGTGCTTCTAAAAGAAGACTTTCTGCATCTTCTGCATGGCAGCGGGGGTTGCTCCTGTCCCTGAGACGGCTCTAAACCTTACGAGAACCCAGCCTGCCGTGGTCAGGGAGTGGAGAGAATATAGAAAGCAGAGCCTTCGAGAAGGCCCTCAGCTGAGGCTCCAGTGGGCAAGGAGGCTTTCTCGGTCATGCAGGAGCCACAGCCCTGCTTGCACTTCGAGTTTTTTCTACTTTAGCCAACTCTTTCTCTCTTTCCCCAGTGAGGGGGTTCCCTGCATCAGTCCCTGGGCCCCTGTGGGTCTCCTCAGCCTTCCCTCCCAGTCGTTCATTCAAAAGAAGCAGGAGGGAACCACGCTACAGAGACTCTCGGCTTTTTCTGGAGGGCAGGAAGGCCTCCGCTTATACTGGAGGTCACCTGTTGGAGCTTAGAGGTTAAGAAGGCCGGGCACTTGAGCTTCTTCCTGGCACTGCTGCTCCCTGGTAGCATGGACATGGGTGCTTCAGTTTGCCCACTTGTAGGATGGGGCTCATAATAGCCACCTCACAGGGCTCCGGGGATGGGGACGTGAGTCCACAGACAGAAAGTGCCGAGAGTCCACTCTCCACAGATGTCAGCACTGATCCACACTAAGATGTCTTCTCTACCTGCTTCAAGGGCAGGTGACCTCCAGGAAGGGCCCCCTCTGCTCCTCGGCCAGAATCCTTGAGGCAGGCTTATCTGGGGAGCTTGGCCTGCATCTGCGTAGATGGACTGTGTGGGGGACCCCCAGACTCCCCTTTTCACACGTATGTCCCACCCCTGCCGGGGGGTGGTCAGCTTGTCTGACACCACAGGTCCCCAGCTCCTTGAGGCAGCCTGTCCGGCCTGCCCAGTGGCCCCCATCAGAGCCATCCAGGCAGCGTGTGAGTGGGTGTTGGGAGCAGTGCCCTTCCAGTGGCCGGCGAAGGCAGTGTGCATGCCTGAATCTGCTGCCAGTTGAGAAGTCAGCTCCTCAGGTGGGACAAGGACCCTGGCCTTCCTGGGAACCTGAGCAGATTGCGCAGTTTCCTTTTCTCAGCACGGCTCCTGCACTGGCTTACGTAACAGCAACAACCTGCAGAGCCTGGGCTCCGGGGCTCATTCCCAGACAGTGAAGTCTATGATGAATAGATGGGTCTGTACACTCTTAGCAGAGAGCCAGTAATTTGCTCAAAGGTCAAACTTAGCTTGATTCAGAACACAAAATTACTAGGATTCTATTCTTTCTGCGGGTGTTGCTTCTGTATTTTTCATGGTCAAGGAAAAGCTGTGAAGCACTTTCTTAGGGCTTAAGAGCTAAGGGATTTTTCCTCCTTTTTTGATGACCCTCTTTTCCAGCATCTCAGCACACCCCCAGATGGGAAGAGGCTATGATGAATTTCTCCCACCATTTATGCCACACCCACTCTGTGCCAGTTACTAGAGCAAGTGGTTTCCAGGTGTGTGTGTAAGGAAATGCTCTTAGTGCATTTGTTCTGTGTCAGGCACTGTTTTCCATAGTGTTTGTCCAGTGCCAGGTGCTGCTGTAAGTATGGCACTGCCTAGAAGTGTGAATGCATTTCATCCTCACATAAACCCTGTGAAGCAGATACTATGACTGTCCCCATTTTATGGATGGAGTCACTGAGGCATCTGGAGGTGAAGTAACTTGCCCATGTTGCACAGCTAAGTTGGAGGAGGGGGCAAGGTTTGAACCCAGGCCATCTTATTCCAGAGTTAGCATTCTTAACCACTACCCATGCTGCCTGTCCACCCTGGTCCCCCATTTCGTTTGCCACCCAGGATCCCTGTGAGGTATGCGCTTGTTACGATTCCATTTTACAGTGAAGACACGGAGGCCTGGCGAGTTTGTATGGGGGCCAGTGCCTGCTTGGGATTCCGATGCAACACCTGCAGGTCTGACTCCTAACACTGATCTCTGCTGTGCACCTGGCCCATTGGTCATTGTTATTTCTGAGCACCTGGACTGTGCCTTATTCAGTGCTCCTCACATTACGACTGTCAAATGCAAGTAACTGACTTAGGGGCCTGAGGGTCCCCTAAATGGGTACCTTGCCACCCTTCGTTTTGTTGTTGTTGTTGTTCTTGTTTTGAGATGGAGTCTCCCTCTGTTGCCAGGCTGGAGTGCAGTGGCGCGATCTTGGCTCAATGCAACCTCCGCCTCCTGGGTTCAAGCGATTCTCCTGTCCCAACCTCTGGAGTAACTGGGAGTACAGGCATGTGCTACCACACCCAGCTAATGCTTGTATTTTTAGTAGAGGTGGGGTTTCACCATGTTGGCCAGGATGGTCTCAATCTCTTGACCCCGTGATCCACCCACTTCGGCCTCCCAGAGTGCTGGGATTACAGGCATGAGCCACCGCGCCCGGCCCACCCTTCTTTTGTGAAACATTCTCATTTTTTTCAGCTATGTCCCTGACTACAGATTATTACATATTTCCATGTGCTTGTTTACTGGTTCTGTTTCCTCCTGTGAATTGACTGTTCATATCCTTTGCCCATTCAGCTCTCAGATTGTTTATTTTACGCAGATCTGCTTTCTAACTCAAGGGTCACGACAGGAACTCCTCTAATATAATCCATCATCATGTAACATTTTTGTCCCCTTTCTGTTTTGCAACAACTCTGAAAATAATGACTTGCCTATACTGCTAAATAAGAGGGTAAGAATCCATGCCCCACGCCTCCAGCCCCAGAATAAAAAACAAGTGGAAACTAACGATTTTTTTCTTACACGTATTATAGAATTTCTAAGTCTGTCTGGAGCAGTGGGCACCCAGGCATAGACCACTTCTTTAGACTGAGCACCTGCTCTTTGAGGGCAGGGACTGTACCTGGTTCCATTTTCCAGATATTTTTCCACTTGTTTATTTCCTAAACCTTTTTCCTACTCCGGAAACCATGCATATCCTTTCCCCATGCATCAGCTGGCCCAGCAGCCACAGCCTCAGCCCGACCTCCCAACACCTTGAGGTCCAGCTTCTCAGTCTCTGGCAGGCTGGCACGTCTGCTATCAGCAGGCACAGGTGTTCCGAGCCAGGCTGCCCCATGCCCCCTTCTGTGACTAAGAGACAGGCCAAGTGGGTCCATGCATAAGAGCTCTTCAGTAAATGCAAAAGGTGGCAGGTGTGCTAGCCTTATTTGGCATCGTTTCATAATGTTGTGAAAGGGTGGCACTTCTGCCTGTGTCATATAAGCCAAGTCTTTTTCATAAAGATGTAATGATTTGATAATTGGTAATGATGTATTGAGAAGGTTGGAGGAGGATGAGCCTTGCATATGGTGAGAACAGTTGTGCCTATTCTAGCAGCTCCAGGCACTCTGTAACCTGTGGTTGGGTGAGGGCTAGTAGTATTATGTTGAAACACATGAAATTGCCAATACTTGAACATTTTTGATGAAAAGTATTGGTGCTTCACTATAGTGTTCCCCTCTGTGATCAGGTTTTTCCTGTAAGACTATTTTATAATGAGCTTCTCCATAACTAAAGCAAGATTGGGAACATCATAAAAGATCCTAGTCTATATAAACTCAGGGTCAAATGTTATTGTAATCTAGATGAGAAGGATTTAACTCATGTCAGAGCAAAGGCAGGCAAATAGTAATTTTTAATACTGCACTGCATTGACACATAACCACTGTCCTCATGGGTCTTCTGTACTGAAGCCCTCATGGGTACCCAGAGTCCAGCTCCCCATCCTCTTTCCTTCAGTTCCCACATGCGCTTAGAAGAACCAGCACTGTGGTCCTTTACCATGTCCTCCTGGTGCTCCAATTAAGTAAAGCCATTGAGGTTTTCCTGTAGTTGTAGATTGATATCTCTGAGTTAATCACGAGAGAACATAGACATCATATAGGAAAATCTGGCCAGAAACAAGACAGCCTCAGCCAAGAAATGTTTTTTCTTGGAATCGGAAAACACAAGAAACAGATGATTGGGTTCTGTTCACGTTTGAGGGGAACGTAAATCATCATGGGTTTATTCATAAATGATTATCCTCTTATAGACTGGAGTCCCGGCGTAGAGTAAAGGCAGGCATGTAGACGGCTCCGGGAAGGGGGCCTCAGGGAAGGAGGTCAGGGATTTGTGAGGGTAAAAACTGCCCATGATATTACTTTGCCATCTAATCCTAGTGCTGGGAAAATGGGACTTTGCTCCCCTCTGCTTGAACTGTAATCACCTCCTGACCAGTGTTTATGTTCAGAAGAACAGCAGCCCAGCCCTGATCCTTGGGGTTTATCGAAGCTTTTTTTAGCCCAGTCAGTCAGAAGACAGTGCCAAAAGGGTGTGGGCGTGTGGCGGACGCCATTATCAGGGACTCATGAGAGCTGTGCTGTTCCAGGAGTGTGTCTGAGCCCAGCATGGCATTGCACGCAGACCAGGGCAGAGGGTGGCCTTGATGCCAGGTGCCCAGGTGGGCTGTGAGGCTGAGCGCTGCCCGTTCCTTTCCAGAATGGAAATTCAGACACTGGAGTGCACTTGCGTAGTTTTCTCAGGTTTTCTGGCTCCCCATCATTTTTCTTTCGTCTGTCTAAGCCCAAGCACAGGGAGTTTTGATAAGACAGATCTGAAATGCTGGCAGGGTGCAAGGGAGGGGAACGCTTCTTTATTTCATTTGGTGGCACCTTTCCCCCCAGCTTTCTTAAGGCATGACTGACAAATTGAACTGCATGTATTTGAGGTGTGCATGTGATCTGCAGTGGTGGATACCAAGAAATGACTGCCACAGTCAAGTTGGGGAACACGTCTTGATGGCACTTTTTAGAGCTGAAATCCCGGTCATGTTGTAGTTTGCTATGTGACCACCTACATTCTAATTTGGGTGGGGCAGGGAGAATTGGTGCATCGAGATGATGGCCAGGTTCCCTGGACCTGTGTAAAATAATGGACATTTACGTATTAGCGCAACATATGGATCCACCATGCGAGAATCTCAGAGTCCTTTATCTAGATAAATTTAATCATCGAATTAGAACCCAGTGGCAGTTTAAGAGACTTAATGTGAGCTCTATTTAGTCTTAAAATAGTTGCACTCAAAGCTCAGCTTTAATTTTCCTCCACTTTATTCTGATCCTCCAGGGTTTCTCATGTCCCACAGGATAGAAGGTGTCCCTAGCGTGGCTGGTTGGACCCTTCCCATCTGCCACCGTGCTGTTTGAATACATCGTGTTCCCCCCCAGGGCCCATGCTTGCCTTCTCCTGGAGCAGTTTTCACCCAGAAAGCCATGGCTCACCTTGGTTAGGTCTTGGCTCCTCACTTTGCAGGAAACTGTCCCTGGCTACCTGACCCCATCCCCTGCTCTTCTGTCCTCAGCCTACTTTGTTTTTTTCTCTGTGCCCCTCCCTTATGTCCAGAGGGCACACTGTGTTGTACTGATTACAGATTGTCCATCTTTTCCTATCAGAATGTGGACAGCATGTGGGCAGGGGTTTCATTTTGTTCACGGCTACATTATCAGCTCCTAGAACTGTGCCTGGTATATAGTAGGTGCATAAATACGTATTTAGCATAAGCTGGGCAGTGTTCAGGGAGTGAGGACTGGATCGGGGATCTGTCTTGATTCCATGCCCTCCACGAGGAAAATAATTTTTGTGTGTCCTGTCAGGTTTCTTCTTCAGAACACTACAGAGGCCTCGCTGTGCACGGATCATAAGGGCTTTTATTCCATAAGCAAACCCTTCTTAGGACCTCCCAGATGAAGACATAAAATATTGCTGTGCCCCAGGATTTCTAGACCATCCAAATCAAGTATTCAGAGCACTCCAATATACAGCTATAATTCTGTAGATAAACTTAATATTTCAACTATGACATAGCTGTGTGTATCCATGAGATTCCACGCTTCTCAGATATAGGAAGCCTGTCTTCTAGTCCTCTTGTAATCTCATCCTGAAGCCCTGCACTCAGGGGCCATCAAGGATCTGACAGATCAGCCTTTCTCAGTCCCTGGCCCCAGCAGGGGGAAATGCTGTGTAAAAAAAGCACAGCATCCTGGAATGTCAGACCCAGTAAGGGCACCAGGTGCTGAGCAGGTGCTGGGATGGGAGGAGGATGAAAAAATATATGTCAGGATAATGTGGAGAAAACACTCACTTCAGGAGATGCAGTGTAGAAAGGAAATTCAGGACAGTTTTTTTGCCTGTAGGTCTCCAGTTCTTATTACCTTCTAGATCAGAGTAATAAAGTTAGTATCCTATGAGGTGTGCTCATTATATATTCATTTATGTATTCATTTGTTCATTCAACAAATATTTATTGAATTGTTCTGGCAATGTACCTGGACCCAGGGGAAAACAAAGCAATATCTTTGCTCTCGTGGAGTGCACATTTTCATGGGAGAGACAGATACTATTTTTTTAGTTTATTAGATTGCGATTGCTGCTGGAATTAAGCACATGGGGGCTGTGGTAAACAATAATGGGAGGTGCTGATGGGGCCCTGGAGGGCCGCTCTGAGGATATGATTTTTAAACTCAGCTCAGAAGGGGGTGGTCTGGACCTCTCTGGTAAGGTCCAGGCAGAGGAAATGGTTGGCACAAGGGCCTCTGGCAGACAGACTGTGGTGTGCTAACACAGGAAGCCAGTGTGAACAGAAGGTAATGATCAAAGGGAAATGGGTATTGAAGAATATTCAGTAGTCTTCTGCATCAATCAGGGTTCTCCAGGGAAACAGAACCAATAGGATAGACATAGCGGTAGATGTGTATATAGATATATAAAGAAATTTATCATGAGGATGTGGCTTACATAATTATGGAGGCTGAGAAGTCCCACAGTCTGCCATCTGCAGGCTGGAGACTTGAGACTGGCTAGTCCAAAGGCCTGAGAACCACGGCAGCTGGTGGTATAAATCCCAGCCCGAGGGTGGGAGAAGATGAGATGAGCTGTCCCAGCTCAGGCAGGCGGGCAGGAAAAGGGGGCAGACTCCCCCCTTTTGTTCTCCTGCCTTTTGTTCTCTTCAGGCCCCCAGCAGATTAGATGATGCCCACCCACATTGGGAAGGGCAGTCTACCTTGTAGAGTCCACCAATTCAAATGCTGATCTCATCCAGAAACACCCGCACAGGTACTTCCAGAGATAATGCTCAGTCTGCACACACCGGGGCCAGTTTGACACACGCAATTAACCACCACATCTTCTGAACTGCTCTAAATCTTCTCTTATTTTTTCAACGATCATGTCCTTTTCCAGGAAAATTAGCATCCTTTACCTATATCTCCTTCTTAAAACTTTAATTACCAATCCTGTAAAGATAGTAGTAAGATCAGAGTTTAAAAAGCCTTCCAGTTTTAGCACTTTGCTATCCACAAAGCTTTTTCACAACTGAAGCCTAATGAAAAGCAGTGGGAGACCCCATTTAATGGATCTACAATTAAATATGTTCTTCTTGATCCTTTGTATGATCCAAAGTATGAATACAATCTTTATTATGCTTTGATTTTTTTCTTTACTAAACTTTTAAAAATTGTGGTAAAATGCACATAACTTAAAATTTACCATCTTTACATGTACAGTTCAGAGGTATTAAATATTAAATATATTCACATTGTTGTGTAGCACATCTCCAGAACACTTTTCATCTTGTACAACTGAAACTCTGTATCCGTCAAACATCAACTCCCCATTTTCTCTTCCCTCAGCCCCTGGCAACCACCATTCTACTTTCTGTGTCTATGAATTTGACTACTTTAGGTTTCTAAGTATTTGTTTTTTCATGACTGGCTTACCTCACTTAGCATAATGTCCTGAAGGTTCATCTATATTGTACATGTTTCAAAATTTCCTTCCTTTTTAAGGTTGAATAATATTCTACTGTATGGATGGACTACATTTTGTTTATTCATTTTCCCATTGATCTACACTGGGGTTGCTGCCATCTTGGCTATTTTGAAGGATGCTGCTGTGGACATGATTGAGCATATCTCGTCAGGACCCTGCTTTCAATTCTTTTAGATACATACACAGAGGTGGAATTGCTGGATCATGTGGTAATTCTATTTTCAATTTTTTGAGGAGCTGCCATTCCGTTCTGCACAGTGGCTACACCATTTTACATTTTCATCAATAGTGCACAACAGTTCTGATTTCTCTACCTCCTTGCCAACTCTTGTTATTTTCTGTTTTTGATACTAGCCATCCTAATGGCTATGAGGTATAATCAATAAAAAGCTATACTTTTCTAATTGAAGTATAACATACATACAGAAAAATACACAAATCAAAACCTTGCTGAAATTTTACAAAATAAACACACCCATATCAGGTCAAGAAATAGAACAATGCCAGCACACCTGGAAGCATCCTTCATGTCCCTCCCCAGCTATTACTCACCAGTCACCACCATGGCCCACCAAGTTACCCACCATGCTGACCTCCATCACCATAGAGGAGTTTTGCTTGTCTGGAACTTTATATAAGTGGAAGCATGTTTTTCATCATTTGTGTCTTGTTTCTTTTGTTCAACATTATGTTTATGAAATGCTTATTGACTACAGCGTTCTCCAGAGAAATAGAACCAATAGGATGTATATGTATATAGGGAAAAGTTTGTTTTAAGAAATTGGCTCATACAATTATAGTGACTGGCAAGTCCAAAATCTCCAGGGTGGGTTGACAGGCTGGAGACCCAGGAATGAACTGATGTTACAGTTCAAGTGTAAAGGATTTCTGCTGCAGATTCCTTCTTTCTTGGGGTAGGCTAGTCTTTTTGTTCCGTTAAGGCCTTTAACTGATTGGATGAGCTCCCTGCCAATATACTTTACTCAGAGTTCACTAATCTAAATGTTAATCGCATCTCAAAACACCTGCACAGAAACATCCAGAATAATGTTTGTCCATATATCTGGTATCTGGGCACCATGGCCCAGCCAAGTTCACACATAAAATTAACCATTATACATGTCATAGTAGTTCACTTTTATTGTTGTTTCTATTCTGTGGTGTGAATATATCACATTTCCATTTGACTTTTCCAGTTGGGAGTATTATGATAATGCTGCAGTAACAATCTCCTACATGTATTTTAACATATATATATTCACTTTTCCTTGGTTATAGTACAGTATTCTTTTTTATGACTCTGGCTTTGTTTTACTATTATTTTCATTTTGTAATTTTATGTTTATGTTCATGAAAGATATAGGCTGATCACTTTTCTTTTTTATAATATTTTTCTCAGGTTTCAGGATCAAGGTTATGCTAAAAGCATAAAATAAGTAGAAAGGGCCCCTCCTTTTGTTTCCTGTATTGAAGAGTTGATGTAGGATTCATATTATTTCTTAAGTGTTTGGGAGATTTCACTGATAAAGATATCTGGGTGTAGAGTTTTCTTTTGAGAATGTTTTTAATTAAATATTCAGTTTTATAAATAGATATAGAACCAATTGATTTTCTCTTCTGTCATTTTTGTAAGTTGTATTTTTCTAGGAAGTAGTCCATTTTACTTAAAATCTTAAATATATTGGCATAATATTTATATAGGCTTTCTAATATCTGTAGGACCTGTAGTTATGTTTCCTTTTTCAATCCTGGTAGTGACAATTTGTGCTCTTTTCTTCATCAGTCCTGTCAGAGGTTTATTAAATGTATTAATATTTTGAAAAGTCAACATTTGACTTAATTTCTGTTTTTTTGTTTTCTGTTTCAGTGTTTTCCACTTTTTTTCTTCTACTTTTTTTTTTATTTTTTTAAACGGAGTTTCACTCTTGTTGCTCAGGCTGGAGTGCAATGGTGCGATCTCAACTCACTGCAACCTCTGTCTCCTGGGTTCAAGCAATTCTCCTGCCTCAGCCTCCCAAGTAGCTTGGAATACAGGAGCCTGCCACCATGCCTGGCTAATTTTTTGTATTTTTAGTAGAGACAGGGTTTCGCCATGTTGGCCAGGCTGGTCATGAACTCCTGATCTTAAGTGATCCACCCATCTCGGCCTCCCAAAGTGCTGGGGTTACAGGTGTGAGCCACTGCGCCTGTCCTTTTCTCCTTCTACTTTCTTTAATCTCTTGTTCTGTTTTCTTGCTTTTTAAGATCAATATGTAAATCATTAATTTTTAGTCTTCTTATCCCATATATTCACATAAGACTAGAAATTTACCTCTAAGTATGGCTTTTGCTGCATCTTACAAGTTTTGATATGTCATATCCTTATTATTTTCCAATTCAGGATATTTTCTGATTTCCAGTATAATTTCTTCATTGATCTGTAGATTGTTTAGAAATGTATCACTTTGTTCATAAACATTTGGGGTTTTTTTTTTAATGTTATTGATTCCTAGAGTAATTCCATTATGTGATCAGAAAACACTCTCAGTCCTTTGACATTTTTTCAGACTTGCTTTGTAGCTCAACAGTAAGTCGGTTTTGATAAGTGTTTCATGTGCACTTGAAAAAATATGCCTTCTTAACAACAACATATATAGATGCAGTCATGTAACAACAACGTATATAGACAGTTGGGTTAAGTTTGTTATTCGTATTGTTTATGTCATCTATGGCCTTACTGAATTTCGTCTATTCTTATCAGTGGCTGAGAGAAGTGTGTTAAAATTTCCCACCATGATTTGGATTTGCTGATTTCTCCTTTTTGTCCTGCTAGCTTTTCCTTCATATAGATTTGAGGCTATATTATTGGATATATACAGATTTAGGATTGTTGTATCAGCCTGGCAAATTGACCCTTTTTTATTATTAAATGTCCATCTTTTTTGCTAGTAATGCTTCTTGTCTTAAAGTCTATTTTGCATGATGTGCCAGCTCTTGTTTGGTTAGTATTTTTATAGCACATTTTTCCATCCTTCTATTTCCTGTCATCTTACTGTTTGTTTTCTGTTTGTTCTACTTGTTCTATATTCCTTTTCTTTCTTATCTTCCTTTGAATTATGTTTTTTTTTTTTTTTTTTTTTTGAGATGGAGTCTCGCTCTGTCACCCAGGCTGGAGTGCAGTGGCACAATCTCGGCTCACTGCAAGCTCCGCCTCCTGGGTTCACACCATTCTCCTGCCTCAGCCTCCCGAGTAGCTGGGACTACAGGTGCCCGCCACCATGCCCGGCTAATTTTTTGTGTTTTTAGTGGAGACGGGATTTCACCGTGTTAGCCAGGATGGTCTTGATCTCCTGACCTTGTGATCCGCCCACCTCGGCCTCCGAAAGTGCTGGGATTACAGGTGTGAGCCACTGCGCCTGGCCTGAATTATGTATTTTTAAAAATTGTTTCATTTTCCCCCTCTACTAACTTGCCTGTTAGACATTACTGTTCTTTTAGTGGTTATTCTAGATATTACAAAATGCATCCTTGACTTATTTTATTAAGGTCTAATATGAATTTAAAATTAAAGCTGATATCTTAGCATGTGCTGCTTCTGTAGCTAATGACATTAGCATTATTCTAAGAATGCTTATAAATGTGTTTCTTTTTTGTATAACAAAATGGCCCTTAAAGGCCTCTTAGAGCTGTTAATGTTATAAATAATCACCAAAGTAAGTGATTATTACCTTAAATACATTAAAAGAGTGAAGTTGAAATCTTAATCTTTAGAAATTATTCAACTTTTTTGAAATTCTGTTACTAATTCTCCTAAAAAAATTTTGTTTTAAACAAGAATGATTTATAAATTATTTTTCATAATAAACTACACTGTTTGTGGAAACTGAACATTGCCCTTGGAGCAGGCAGAAGTAATATCCATTAAATGCATAGCAAAACATGACCCTCAGATAATTTTTGTTTTCAGTTTCTAATGCCACAGATTTACATGAAGCGATTAAGGACGGGTGGTTAGTGTATATTTAATTTTGTTATTTGGATTCAGGATGCTCTTATGAATCCTCTGGTGAAAGTCAGAAAGCAGAATTATGGGTACAGGTTGATTTTCAAAAAGACTTTGTCACCAGGCAAGCAGGTACACGCTTCTGCAATGGTTTGAGGAAGGTATTATCTTTTCAGTTTTTACCTCCTTTGGACTGACGTCCTCTGTGTCCTTTGTAGTTTTCCCCCTGGCTGTCCCTAATTACACCATCTCATCTAGCAATTTGATGAAAACCTCAATAGGTGTTACTATCAACAGGATTATATTTCACAGTGGAATGTAATTTTCCACTGCAGTCAGTGATGGAAGAAGAGTGGTCAGTAAGAGAAAACCTTTTTTGCAAGAGGGATGTATTTGAGGATTTATTCACAAGAACGAACTATCATTATGAAGTTTTATTTTTGCAAGGTACAATTTTTTTTTTAACCATGGTGACATCTGTTTTCTTAGATGTGGTAGAAACATTCAAAAAGAGAAATACTCTGGTGTTGGAAGGCTTATTTTTCATCATCATTTTGCTTTGAAGTTGTTTGGTGAATGCATTCTGAATGAGACAGTTTGGCTATTTCTAGCACAATTGAGTTTCTGATTTCCCTTTGGATTCTTAATATCTTTTGAGGGCCAGGGAGGGATATTAATAGAGATTACTTGAAATAAGCTGTGAGATTTTTCTGCGTCTAGAATACAGGCAACAAATTGTTGCACGATGACAGCAGCAGGCTGTGATTGTTCCAGGCTGTCCTTGGCCAGTCCTATCTTCAGGAATCCAAGTAGGAGCAGGAACAACCATTCCCTTATTCCATTCAGGAGGAGGCTCAAAGAAAAGTTGTTCCAAGTTAATTGGGAGTAAACAGAAACTCATAGTTAGACTTTATGATTATAATCAATAACAAATATGTGTGTATGTGTGTGTAATAATAAATTGTGTGTGTGTGTATGTGTGTGTGTGTGATATAGGAGGGTGTAGTTTTTTCAGTGGTCAGCCTTCAGGTCTCTGCAGTGGCTGATATGGTCATGGGGTCTCTAACTTGTGGTTAACTTTGTCAACTCATAGCAATTCAAAGCAAAATTGAGGCTATCTCTATCAGTGTGCTAGGGCAGCTCTAACATAATACCACAGATTGGGGGCTTAAACGACAGACCTTTTTTCTCTCACAGTTCTGGAGGCTGGAAGTCCGAGATCATGGTGCCGGCAGCTTTGGCTCCTCCTGAGGCCTCTCTCCTTGGCTTGTAGACGGCTGCCTTCTCCCTGTGTCCTCACATGGTCTTCCCTCTGTGCACGCACATGCCTAGTGTCCCTTTATGTGTCCACATTCTCTCCTCTTACAAAGACACCGATCAGATTAGATTGGGGCCCCACCCTCATGACCTCATTTTAACTTAATTGCCTCTTTAAAGGCCCTATCTCCAGCTGAGGTGGGTGGATCACCTGAGGCCAGGCGTTTGAGACCAGCCTGACCAACATGGTGAAACCCTGTCTCTACTAAAAATACAAAATTAGCCAGGCATGGTGGCACCTAACTGTAATCCCAGCTACTTGGGAGGCTGAGGAAGGAGAATCGCTGAACCCAGGAGGCAGAGGTTGCAGTGAGCTGAGATTGCACCACTGCACTCTAGCCTGGGCGACAAGAGTGAAACTGTCTCAAAAAAAAAAAAAAAAAAAGGCCCTATCGCCAACTGTGTAGTCCAGTTCTACGGTACTGATGGTTAGGGCTTCAACACATAAACTTGTGGGGAGTGAAGGACATGAACATAGTTCAGTCCATAATGCTGTTAGAGCCAGCTGAGCTCTCTCAGTTATATTCAGAGTGTCTGCAGGAATTTATTAGCCAACACTGTTGTTCCTAAAACAACCAGCAAGAGGCTCTCTCTCTCTCTCTGACACTCTTTAGAATGGCATCAGCCTCCATCTCCACACCGCACAGCCAACCCAGCAGCCAGTCCTGGGTGCCTCTTCAGATGATGTTCTGGGCTCCTCTGCTTTTTACCCTCCCTCTCTCACCCCTGTCTAAACCAGTGTCCTCCCCTGCCTGTGTTATCGCGGAAGCCTCCCCATTCTTGCTTCCCTCTTGTCACTCTGGAGCTCTGCCTCTCAATGGAGCAGCCAGTGGTGTTTTGAAAACATGAATCAAACCTGGCCACTCTCTTGCTCTGAGTCCTCTGAGCACATTTAGCGCGGGCTCCAGATGCTTGCCTGGGCATGTGAGGACGTGGCCCGCTCTGCCCTCTCCAGATTCAGCTCCTCCTCGCGTCTCCAATACCACAGCTGGGCTACTCTGGCCTTGCTGCTACTGCTCCCATGTGCCAAGTGTGGTCCCTTCCTCAAAGCCTGGAATTCCCGGAAGGTTCTTCCCCCAGATACCCACATGGCTTACTCCCTCACTCCTCCCAGGTCGCTGCCCAGATGCTCCTTCCTCAGAAATGTCTTCCCGAGCCCCTAGCTAAGCGAGCGCACCATTCCCCCCACCCCAGACCATCTGTCCTCAAAGTGTCTTCATAGCACTGGTCACTCCCCAACATCAGGGTATATAATTGCCTGTTGTCTGTGTTTGCTAGAACGTCAGCTTCACGAAGGCTTTTGTCTCATTTACCACTAGGTGCCCAGTACCTTAGGAGCTTGGAAGTTCTTAGTACCTAAGAATAGCACTTGCTTCATGAATATGTATTAAATTGATAAATGACATTCTGTGGCTCAAGTGAGTCCGTGGTGTCAAAGGTTATGCTGGGCAGACTGCCTTTGGTAATGAGCATAGACCCCTCTTTAGGTCCAAAGCAACCCCCGGGAGAAACTTGCATCTTCCCCTACCTCGTGCCCAGAATACACCTTGCCTTGGATGATGAGTTGAGAAGCTACCCACAAGGGTAGATGACTCGTCTGGCTTGAAAGAGATCGGCCCTGTTGGCATTTTGATAGCAAATTTAGAGTTGGGAGGTCACTAACAAGGCTAGTCCCCAATTCTGCGACCTAAATGGAGAGGCAGTTGCTTTGCAAGAGTACTGTAGAGCCCGTGGGAGACACGCTTCTCAGCCTGCCTTTTGGTCCACATGTAGGCCAGCCACTTCCTGGGCTGCCTTTTTTTCAAAGATTTTTTTCATGAATAACGGTATTAAAACTTTCATGCAAAGTGCCCTGATAGTGTGTAATATTTTTAGGGCCTGTAGGCAATGGAGGCTTTACATTTTTAGTGATTTTTTTTCCTCATATACACTGGCATTGACCCTGGGAATGATGGCTGTTTTTCTTTTAGGCTTGCTTGACTGCCATAACCAGAGACGTGGAGCAGGGGATTTATTCTGTTTCCTCCTCCTCCTTCTTCTTCCTCTTATTCCTCATCTTTGATTTGAGGGGGCTTTTCAGGTATGAGGGCAGAGGGGCATGAATAATACTTCCTCAGACTGAAAGGGTCTTTGGGGGCAACAGCAATTCATTTTTCAGCTCTCTGAGATACTCATTTTGTTTTGTTTTTGAATACTCCTTAACTTGTAGTCTTCCTTTCTCTACCCAGTCTGAGAACTGCCTAAGCAGAGGCAGTTTGGACCCTACAAACAGCGTCTTGATTTGGCTGGGATGTTGGAATAGGGATTGGACCCTAGAAACAGCATCTTGATTTGGTTGGGACGTTGGAATAGGGATCTTTCCATTCTAAGACCTTAAAAAAAAAAGTTATTAGAGAAGTGAAAACATTTTAGTTATTTAGACTTTCCAGTCTAGAAGGCATTTTCAGTGGTTTTCCCTGTAGAGACTAAGGCATCTCTGAGACAACGGTGGGTCCATCTCCACAAGGACTTAGAACTCCCGACTCGTGACTTCTGGGTGGTTCTCCTAGTGCTTGTCTAAAGAACATTTTTGAGCTTTTGGCCTAAAACTCTCTTCTTCCTTCTCACCCCTCCTTTTCCATAGACCTCCCCTGTGTTGCCTGCCTGCCTGTGCTTTGCCTTGATTTACAGCATCCATGTGCATACGTAGGTGCACGAGACAGCCAGGTGCTAGAAAGTTTGCAAGGCCAGGAGGGATATCACAGGGTCCTGGATTTGGGTCCCTTCTTCGTGCAAGCACCAGCCAGACACTTGACCTCTCTAGGAAGGATTCCTTCATCTATAGAGTGGGGCGGAGATCATGGTGAGCCATGCACAAAGGTGAGGAACTGTAGAGAAAGCATCCGGGAGCCAAGTCAGCCCTTCACAGGTGTCTGTCTGTGCAGGCAGTCACCACACCCATCTCTCCACCCAGCTTCAGCTCCAAGGAGCCTGCCTGGCCTGCTTTTGCAAACACTGTCTCCAGCTGCTTCGGGTTGCAGCATCTCATTCCTGAAACCCGGAGGACGTGACTGGATAATAGCCGGGCAAGTGAGCTGTGGTGATATTTTAACACAGGCCTGATCTGATCATTCCTCACTCATTCAACCCTAGGCAAGCCTGGATTCATACTTTCCATGGCCACCCGTGCCAGCCAGTTTCCATATCAGCCAGGGCCTCAGGAAGGTGGAAGGACACACTGTCATTCTTTCCATTTGCGCTGACCCTGCCTACTATCAGGCCTGAATGCCAGCAGGTTTAGCTAAAGAAAGTTGCAACTGCTGACCAGGCTGTGCAGGCCGGCCTCTGTCTCTAGCATACCCGGGGGTAGATAAGATGGTTCCTGATGCTCTAAAGCTGGGCTTGACTTCCCAGGAAAGTAAATCAAACAGGGCCTCTTCCATTCTCACTGGGAATCCTTGGTTGGGCTCTTTTTTATTTTGAACCATTGAAATATTTGTGCAGACACGGTGGGTCTGAAAGTAATGCACTGTGACACTTTCCCCTCTGTTCTCTGACACCGGGTGTTAGTGGGAGAATCAGACGGATAGTAATTTCCCTGTGGATTCTCAGCAGCCCTAGGAGATAGGTTAGCAGTGGTTATTTCTATTTTACAGAGTGGAAAGGCAATTTTAAAGAAAAAAATATTCTTCTGCTCAAGGTCACAACTGCAAACCAGTGGCCTGGCTCATGGCTCTGGACCTGCCAACCTGTCGCTCTCCTCTTCTGAGGACTGGGTTGTGGCTGGTACTGTGTTTCAGTTTTAGAAAATGTAATTTGAAGGAAATGGGAGACTGGGGTCTATTTTGAGACTCTCGAATAATTCATTTTACTCTATTTTCTATAAAGCCTAAGAGTGATTCATTAGCAAGCATAAGTAATGTCTGAGTGATGCAACTGTACTAGGTTAGGTTTTGGGACCTGGTTGTTGAATTGGTCATGAACATTTGTCACATACATGCATTGAGTCATACATTGCTAGAGATGGAAGGCAGCTTAGTAATCATTTAGTCCAGTGGGTCCCAAATCTAGCTGTTTATCAGAATCACCTATAGAGCTTATTAAAAATTCAGATGCCCTGGTGCTACCCAAGGCCTGGGGTCAAAGATCTGGACCCTTTATCTTTAACATTGCATTTTTGGGGGGTGGGACTCTCGCTGTGTCACCCAGGCTGGAGTGCAGTGGCGCAATCTCAGCTCACTGCAGCCTCTGCCTACCAGGCCCAAGTGATCTTCTCACCCCAGCCTCCAGCCTCCCAAGTAGCTGGGACTACAGGCATGCACCACCGTACCTGGCTAATTTTTTGTATTTTTGGTAGAAACTAGGTTTTGCCATGTTGCCCAGGTTGGTCTCATACTCCTGAGCTCAAGTGATCTGCCCACCTCAGCCTCCCAAGGTGCTAGGATTACAGGCATGAGCCACCGCGCCCGGCCATAACATCGCATTTTTAACAACTCTTCCAAGCAGTTCCTAAACAACTGGCCTAAAAACCTTTGAGGGACCCCACATTTGAGAATCACTGGATGCAAGTCCTTTTTTTTGTTGGCTTGTTTTTGTTTGTCTGTTTGTTGTATGTGTTGTTATTCAGGTGAGGAACCAGGGGCCCAAAGGGTAGATGACCTTGCCTGGAGTCACACAAATCTGTCACTGTTGGAGTCGGGATGGGAAACCCAGCTACGCTCTTCCCAGGCATGGTGTGACCACAGCCCAACCGAGTGGCCAGGAGGACCCACTCTGTTGGGCGCTGTATTTAGAGCAACCGAGACCACTTCTGGTAACACTTGGTAACATGCCCTGCACTCTTGGAAAGGCACTCTTGTCAGGGCGGGTGTCTTAGAGAACCCACAAAGTTCAGGAGATTCTTCCAGAGCCCTTAGCAAAGGGCCATCTGCAAAGCCTCTCTTCCTCCCTGGGCAGGTCCATTCCCCCAGGGCCCAGAGTGGGGCCACCAAGACCAGAGCAGACACCAGGAATTGACCCTGGTCTGGAACTAGTCTGTCTGTTCTGATCTGCCGCCCTGTGACAATCACCTGCCTGGGAACCCTGCTCACAGATGACCAGGCCCAGTGGAGAGATGATAAGAATAGGTAGTTTGTTCTGATGCA
This sequence comes from Homo sapiens, assembly GCF_000001405.40. NCBI lineage: Eukaryota > Metazoa > Chordata > Mammalia > Primates > Hominidae > Homo > Homo sapiens. The sequence goes on along the minus strand of NC_000021.9, from coordinate 34,578,440 downwards.
GATTCCTAGGGGATCTGGCTGATGCTGGCTGATGGCTGCTTACAGCAGGAGACCTCAAGTTTCTCAATCTAATGTTCTTAGTTCTGCATCAAACAGATGGGTTTATTTTCTGGATCCTGTCTATTCACGGAACTCATTTAATATGGAGGGCGTTATGATGTCCTGCCTCATCTGCTACTCAAGCTATATATTTGCAGGTGAGGGGAGAAGAATCATAAGGTAAGCTCTCAGAGATACGAGGGTCAAGGAGAATATAAGATCTTACATTCCCTAACGCACCTCTTGCTCTTTTGTGTTTTTGCATGTGGCCTTCATGCTGGTTGTCCTCTGGACTGTGTGACCTTGGTGCCCTCAGTTTCCTCATCTTATTGGTCCCTGTACTTCTAATAGTCAGTGGGCTGACAGTCCACACCCCTCTGCAGGGCTCCAGACCTGGCTGTCTGACTTTCCAGCAGGCTGTCCCCTCGGTCATGCCGCAGACTTTTCACACTGTGTCCGAAGCTGAGCCTTGATCTGTTCCTGAACTTGCTGCCCCTCTTTTGTCCTCTCCCATCCACTCCACTGTTTGTGCTAGAAAGTGGGGAGATATTGTTGGCACCTTCCCTCTCACTCCTACATATTAGCCAAAGGTTTTATAGATTTCACACCTAAGCAGTGATGTTTCAGCCTGCTTCCACTCTCCCGTGCTCAGGATAACTGCCTTGGTTCAGTCACTTTCATGTAACACTCCTGCCTGGAGTACGCAGCAGCTCCTACCTGGTATTCTGATTCCTCTCCGGCACTCTTCAGTGGCCCTCTAGTGCTCCCTGAGTGATCTTTTGTTTGTTTGTTTGTTTGTTTTTGAGACAGGGTCTGGCTCTGTCACTCAGGCTGGAATGCAGTGGCATGATCACAGCTCACTGTAGCCTCTACCACCTGGACTCAAGTGATCCTCCCACCTCAGCCTCCCAAGTAGCTGGGACTACAGGCGCACACCACCATGCCTGACCAATTTTTGTATTTTTTTGTAGAGACAGGGTTTCACCATGTTGCCCAGGCTGATCTCAAACTCCTGGGCTCAAAGGATCCACCCACCTCCACCTCTCAAAGTGCTGGGATTATAGGCACGTGCCACCATGACTGGCCCAAGCGATTTTTCTAAAAACCTATGTATGTCATCATCTCACTATCCTGTTTCTAGATACTCTTCAGTACTTATCTGTTGTTCATAAGGTAATGTTCAAAATCCTTACTTTGTGAATAAGGCCTCTCATTTGGACCCTGTTGTGTCTCAGCTCTTGCTTCTCCCTCACTCAGCTCATTAGTGCAGTGGTGCTCAACTACCTGAGGTTCCCAGGACACAGGGCACCGTAGGATGGAAACTGCAGTTGCCTCCGCCTGGGATGCCCCAGACCTCTTCTCCATGGAGCTGACCCCTGCCGGCCTTCTGATGGCCTTTTCTCAGTAGAGGGTGACTCTGTTCCCAACTAATCTCTGATGTTCTGGAATGAAGAAACAATTTTAGTATTGCCAGCTCCTAGCACAGTCATTGCCATGTTATATGTGATCAATACATGTTTGATGAGTGAATGAATGAGTTAGCAGCTCCTTTAGAAACCAAGTCCTATAATTGAACCAAAGACAAAGTATTATCCATTAGCTATCTTTGGATTTTCTTCCACCTGCTTGTTTGTGTTATAATATTGATGTGATTAGCATAGATTTCTTGCTGAGCGGTGATTAGAGTCTCAGTAAACTCCATCCAGTTTAAACTTTGAAACATTCACAGACATTGACCAAAATGTTCAGACTTCTCCAGTGCTAGTACATTGTTTTCAACCTCCTGTGACTTATTTCTTCTAAAGACTACTTGCTGGCTGATTTGCGTTTTATTTTTAATATTCATCATTCTTCCTGTGTGCACACAAGACAATCAAAGACTGATTTAAAGTAAAGGGAAAAATACCATCAAGCCTGGAACGTGTCACAGCCACCCACCCCACACTTGGGTTTGTGTCCGAGTTGGACAGTGTCCCTGGGGCTCTTTTTCTCTTGTCCTGGGTTCCTCTGGAAGCTGTCCAGATCCCTGCCGTTGGAGGGGCCCCAACTCTTATTGCCAGAAAAGAACAGCTCGGGTAGAGGACACAGCCTCCAGAGAGGGGTGGTGCAGGTACGAACCTGCAGAGCTCTGTGACTTGTTTATTGCACTTATCTGACAAAGGTAATGCAAAACCCTGTGCTTTTATTGGGAAATAGAAGGAGGAACTTGTTGGACAATTATGGAATCAGAGAATGATGTCACTGGGTGGTTCCTTAGGGATCATCTAAGGTAAACTACATTGTTGAGCTGTTGGGTATGAATAAAAATTTTCCACAAGCTTTCCTGCATTTCTTCCCCTCCAGTCACCATATTATAGGGCACAGCAGTTTTGGAGAATTCCACAGGACCCTGGCTCACTCAGAGTTAAGGATCCCATGCAGTGTGATGGAAGGAACCCAGACTCTAGTGCTAGACAGACCTAAGTTGGGCCTGTCCAAATTCTTTGAGTTTATTTCCTCATTTGTAAAATAATGCCTACCTCAGGGCTGTCCTGAGGATTAAATGACACCTTTTGGGGTCACTAGTGGTCCCTTAACACACCGCTGTCTCGTCTCTTCTTCTGAGGTTCAGCTACAGGAGCTCATTTTGCACGTGTCGTTGCTGTTAATGGAACTGCGCTTAGGAAGTCCAGTCACCAATCTTCCTATGTTAAATGCCTTTTGAAAAACACTTTCACCTGGCACGGTGGCACACACCTGTAACCCCAGTTGCTTGGGAGGCTGAGGTGGGCAGATTGTTTGAGCCCGGGAGGTTGAGGCTGCAGTGAGCCATGATCGTAACACTGCACTCCAACCTGGGTGACAGAGTGAGAGCTTGTCTCTAAAAATATACATCTAAATGAAATAAAAAACACTTTAACTTTGCATAAGCTTCTTTCTCACCCCTAGTCATCAATTCTCCGGGCTGTAGGTTTGACCTCCTTTCAGTGGGCTCGCCTTGAGAATAAGACCGTCTCAGCCATAGTGCTTGGCATACGCTAGAAGCTCAGTAAGTAGGAGAGGCAAGAGGGAAGGAGGAAGAGAAGGAGGAAAGGAGGGAAGTGGGAAATGCTGCTACTAGCAAATGAGCATAGCCGCTCCAGATGGGGAGAAGGTGAACTGTGTTTGTGCTCCCATGGAGCCCTGTGATGCACACTGTGCAGGCTCGGATCCTGAAGAAAGGCCAGGTAGCTGTGCAGACAGAGGCTCCTGACCACATCCTCTGAGAAACCCCAGGACCAGATGTGGTAGAGAGTGACCCACGGGTGCTGTTCGCAAACATTTGATGTAGATGAACTAGTTTTAGCAGATGCCCTCACATTTTGCAGTTGTGAGTTTCCTCCCATTTCTTCTTGATTCCCATCTGCCCGTGCAGTTCTGCCTCCATCAGCCATGCGTTGACATTTAGGTGATTAACACTTGATGCCGTAACCATTGTCCATGTTTTATTCATAATTTGACGCTAAAACCTGAAAAGTTGTCAGTACGGTTTATGCTAATACAGCTATAAAAATGTTCTTCGATGCCAGCTAAGCAGCTGGTGAGGATTACGTTCCTTCTGAGTAGGTCTAGCTTCTGACGCGGGAGGCACCCGAGGAGAACGTGCTCAGCCGCGGAAGCAGACAGACACTCCGTGTTTACACTCAAACAACTGCTGAAAATCATTTCATGTCACGTTTTACTTCATATTTGGATCTGACTTTCTTGAATGGCATTTTTA